>NC_000021.9:37984157-38294111 GCF_000001405.40 Homo sapiens | reverse complement strand
ATCTACTTGGGGTTCACTGAGCTCAGGAGGCTTAAAACAATTGAGAATAAAGGCTTAGCTCTCCTCCCTGGGCTCCCTCGACTGTGGTCACAGGAGCACATGCACCATGACCTTTGGCCTTGGCCTTGGGCCATTTTCCTCCCTACACTACGCAGCAGTGAAGGATCCGCTTTAAAGGCTGGTCTGACTGTACAAAGTCCAGCTTTTAACTCATCCATACCAGCCAAGGGCACAGATAGCTTTGCCAAGTGGCCTCAGAAACAGACATGTTCATTGAAAACAAGCAAGGTGGACAAAGTGGATTCTCAGCAGATTCCAGAGGGCAATCCTTCGGTTTGTATCTCCTGAGGAAATTCTACTTTCCTTCTGCAAAAGCACTTTTTCCTTAGACTACTGAGGACTGAAGGATGGCCCAGAAAGAATGACAGCTCCTTGGAGGCTGAAGAATCACTCATTCTCCTCCAGGGGAATTATCAGGATTTCAGGGGAAGCACCAGTTGAGATTACAGCACACTTGGAAGCTAGTTTCCTCTCAGTGACCTGTGTTTGGAAGATGTGTTTGAACTTGGAAACTATTGGTAGAGCTGTGACAATTTGGGAGGTTGTGGTTGATGTATGTTGCTCCCAACTATTTGCTGTGCCTCTCGGCTGGGTCCTTCCACAAAGGATCCTTCACTGGGACTTTCCCTGCCCGGGCGTAGCGGGGGTGGGGTGTGTGTTTCCTACTCCCTTGTGTCAGGTGTGGCCCTGTCACCTGCTTTGGCCAATGGAGTGTGAACAGCAGTAACCCACACCATGCCTGAAGAGAGGTGTCGGGATCATCACATGGCTTGCCTTGCATGTGGGTGGGTCATGGATTGGGCTGTTCCTTCCTTCTGGTAAGTGGGAAGAAGGAAACTTGGAACTGAGCCATAATTCAACTACAGCTGACTTGAAACACAGGTGAGAAAAAATTCTTGTTGCTGTAAGCCACACAGTTCTTAGAGTTGTTAACAAGGCAAAACCTAGTGAAACCTGACCACAGAGACATTTTCACGATTAATACATATTTTTTTATCTTAGGATTATATGCCTGACCTAAAAGGTACTGCATTTAAAGGAAAGATATAAAGTTCTGAAATATTCCTTTTTTTTTTTTTTTTTGAGACAGCATCTCACTCTGTCACGCAGGCTGGAGTGCAGTGGCACAATCTTGGCTCACTGCAATCTCTGCCTCCTGGGTTCAAGCGACTCTCCTGCCTCAGCCTTCCAAGCAGCTGGGATTACAGGCACCCGCCATTACGCCTGGCTAATTTTTGTATTTTTAGTAGAGATGGGGTTTCACCATGTTGGCCAGCTTGGTCTGGAACTCCTGACCTCAGGTGATCTGCTCACCTCAGCCTCCCAAAGTGCCGGGATTACAGTTGAGAGCCACTGCACCCAACTGAGTTGTGAAATAGTCTTAATGTAAACTCTGAATGTTGGTCTATGACTCAACACTGAATACAAAAAGAACCCAAATTCAACAAGATTGTAATGGCAAGAATGGCTTGCCTTATCCCTAAGAACAACATAGAAAAGGTGACTAATTATCTTTTGATTACTTCTGAGTCAATATTTACATTTATCATGACAAGATAGCTTTTTAGGGAAAGTTGTAAGGGTATCATATCCTATCATTCTAATATTTTGTGGAGCAAGAAGCCCAAGTTTAAGGACCTAGTGGCCTCAGGATCTGTAATCACATAGACACACTGGGCCGCCCAGGTACCACTGTCATTAGGTCATTGATAGCTTTCATTTGGGAAGGGACAACTTAAAAGGGTCCAGGCACTTTTCAAAGCAGTTATAGATATTATCTTATTGAATCCCTCTCTTTACCTTGGGGAGAAATTATTTTCTCTATTTTCTAGGTGACGAAACTAAGCTTAGAGAAATTAAATAATTTACATGCATTCACAAAGCTAATACATGGAGCACCTGGTGAGCAAACCAGCTCTGTCTGCTCCCACGGCTGCACTCCTATCTAACCACCATCATCAGCATTAGCTTGCAAAGGAGTCTCGTGGTGCAGTGTGACAAAGCTAAGTTCCTGCTCACTACGCGTCAGCATCCATTATAGATTAAGCAGCTGTAATTAATTGACTCATTGCTCACCCTGTGCCAGGCCTGATATTAGGTATTATATATTAATTTAATTCTCACATAGACTCTGAAGTAAGTACTAATATTATTCCCATATTTCAGACAAAGGAACTGTGATATAGCACAAGGTATGTTGGAATCCATAGTCCATGCTTCTGATCTCAACACTGTGTCTCTAACTTCAGTGTGCTTTAGAATCACCTGGAGGGGTTGATAAAAATGCAAATGACTGGGTCCTACCTCAGAATTTCCGATTCAGCAGGTTTGGGGTGCAGCCAGAGGGTCTGTAGTTCTGATAATTTCCCAGATATCCCCGATGCTGTTAGACCTTAGACTACACTTGGAAAACCACGATTTATACTCTTCACCACTTAAAAGTTATCTGGAATATGGAGAAAATGAATAAGCCAAGAAATTAGATTGTCTAAAATTTAGTCTCATTACTTTCAAACAAAGGAATGGAGAAAGTCATTGGGATTAAATATATAAGTACTGCAGTGGCCAGGTGGAGTTTTTAGTTAGAAAATGTTTCCTTGGGGATAGAAATTCGGGTGTAATGTCTTGGCAAAAAGTTGAGAATTGCTGGAAAAAAGCAAACAGGTAGTAGAAAATTGCTCTCAGGTTTCTTCCTTGGATAATGGGTATCATTAAGGGAAGCTTTTAGCATTGGCCTGGCTGGGAACATTGGAGGACTGTGGGGAGAACCTAGATTCTAGGATGGGAAAGTTAAGGCTGGAGGACATTAGGGGTTCTCTTGCTGAAGTGTGTGATTCAGGTGTTCCATACACATAAAGGAATTTGTGGTTAAATACTTTTGGAAGGATTTGCCTACTGGAGCTGAAGCTGAGCCCCCAGACACCCCATTGTTTTCACTCTTTGGAGAGCCACATTGCACATTTGTTTATTACAGTTTCTGAGACGTCCTACAGTTATAAAACCTGCTTAACTGTAGCTATATATACGTGTGTGTGTGTGTGTGTGTGTGTGTGTGTTTAGCCTTTTTATGACATTTGAGAACACTGAGGAGTGCTGATCTGGTCTAAACTCTACACTTTATATCTAGGGAGATAAAAGGATCAAAAAGTTTGAGTAACTTGTTCAAGGTTACTGAGCCAGTAACAAGGTTAGAGCTGGAAACAAGCTTTTGTGAATCTTAGTCCATTTTACGGGTAGGTATCTCTCTTCGTGGTCACACTCTATGTTGAGATGAGTTATCCATCTCACTGGCTACTGGAAACAGGGTGGTATAGAATAGTGTGACCCTTCTCCCCTCATCCAACCGCAGCATCTCCATCGTCAGAAATGCAGGCTCTCAGGCTCCACACCTGAGCTACTTAACCAGAAGTTCTTGGGGTACAGTTCCCAAGAACCTGTCTTCAAAAGAACTCAATTTCCCCAAGCAATTCGGTAGCTGGAGTTTGCTAGTGATGCCTTGGCAAATTGGAGAGGTGCTCCTCTCACCCTACTATACATTAGAAAAGCAAAAAGTGTTCCTTTACAGACCAATCCACATTTGCATTGCATGTGAGCATGTAATAATGCAATTTGCCTCTGTGGTCAGATATGTAGCTTTTTTCCTATGTTTCTGTTCCATTATTATTGTTTGAAATTCCATAAGTACTAAAAAAAATTCTTTTCCATCTCTAAATGTGGTTTGCATCGTTGTTCCCTTTACTCCTCGATGCGAATTCTTTAAAAACTTTTTTTTAATCTCATAGAACATCAACCCTTCTGTACTCGACAAAGACAAGTTTAAACAGATTCCGGGCCCAACAGGGGACTCATTTGCCATTTTCCATGGCAAAGAATCTGAGCACTGGAATAAGCCAGAGGTATCATTTACTGAATATTTTCATAAAGACAGTTTAATTTCAGGCCCTTTATTTGTGAGAGAGCTGGCTAACCCAAATAAAACATTACACATCTGTCTGTTGTTACGAGTGACCAACCTCCGCTGAACATTATTACCTAATAACAACTAACTTCCCTATAGAGTGAGAGTGCCGCAGCGGAGGGCAAATGGAAATTTCCTGTGGTTTACCACCCTTGGCCTCTCCCTGCTCCAACATGCGAAGAACTTGGGTAATAAGCATATTCTCCCTCTAATCACAGCGTGGCTTGGACATGCATTGTTGTGAGATGACTGGCAAAACAGGAACACTGATGTCTGGAAGTGAGTGTGGAGGGGGTGAGGAGGCGAATTGTACTGTGTCAGCCTCCGTAATGCACTGCTCAATTTTCTTTTTTTCTTTTTTGAGATGGAGTCTGTCTCTGTCGCCCAGGCTGGAGTGGAGTGGCACAATCTCAGCTCCCTGCAACCCCTGCCTCCCAGATTCAAGCGATTCTCCTTCCTTAGCTTCCTAAGTAGCTGGGATTACAGGTGTGCACCACCACACCCAGCTAATTTTTGTATTTTTAGTAGAGATGGGGTTTCACCATGTTGGCCAGGCTGGTCTTGAACTCCTGACCTCAAGTGATCCACCTGCCTCGACCTCCCAAAGTGCTGGGATTACAGGTGTGAGCCACTGCTCCTGGTCCCAATTTTCTCCTTAGGAAAGAGATTTCTTCAACAGGCTAGTGGAATCTCACTCACTATTTTTGTCTGGATTAGTCCAAACCTACAACAGAGGAGAAGATGGCTCAAAACAGTACCATTTGGTTAAGGAGAAGGAAATCCACAGCGTTTGGGTTTGTCTGACTGTGGTATAAATCAGAGTGGAAGGCTTCTGTTTTTGCAGATAATACTGGTAGAGAAGCAAGTATTTGACCTTTTTTTTTTTTTTTTTTTTTTGAGACAGTCTTGCTCTGTTGCCGAGGCTGGAGAGTGCAATGGTGCGATCTCAGCTCACTGCAACCTCAGCCTCCTGGGTTCAAATGATTCTCGTGCCTCAACCTCCCGAGGAGCTGGGATTATAGGCATGCACCACCATACCCGGCTAATTTATGTATTTTTAATAGAGATGGGGTTTAACCATGTTGGCCAGGCTCTCGAACTCCTGACCTCAAGTGATCTGCCTGCCTCCGCCTCCCAAAGTGATGAGATTACAGGCGTGAGCCACCGCGCCCGGCTTAATGTGTTTTATTTAATGAAACTTCAAAGTGGACATGGTTGGAGCATTCACAGGAGATGACACGTGGGAAGTAAGCAGTGATGCTGGTTTTCTTAACTCCTGTTTCTGTGAGACATAAGAAGATGCTTGAGACTGGATCATGCCTTTTTATGCCATATCATTATATAATTTACAATACTTCCAAACTGACTTTCCCTTAAGTAAATCTATCTCTCTCACTAAGATGTTGAGTCTGCCAATTTTTACCACTCACATTTATCTTTCTTTGCCTCACATTTATAATATTTTGCACTACGATGAAGGCACGGAAACATAGAAAGTATGTTTTATAAATATGGGTAACAATTTCAGGCTGGCTTGTTTTCTGGCCTCATGCTGACTACTACATTTTCTTTTATTTGAAATAAATGTGGAGTTGTCAGTCTCTACAAATTGATGACTAATGGGCTCTGATGTAATTCACCTGCATGCAAAGGTAAAATTCTTATCTTCATTGGCATTCATATTAGTTATTAGCATGAATCTCATCCCAGGCAATGGAAATTACGACTTGTGCTTGATTTAAAACCAAATTATGGCTGGGCGCGGTGGCTCATGCCTGTAATCCCAGCACTTTGGGACGCCGAGGCAGGCGGATCACAAGGTCAGGAGATCGAGACCATCCTGGCTAACACGGTGAAACCCTGTCTCTACTAAAAAATACAGAAAATTAGCCGGGCGTGGTGGCAGGTGCCTGTAGTCCCAGCTGCTCGGGAGGCTGAGGCAGGAGAATGGCGTGAACCCGGGAAGTGGAGCTTGCAGTGAGCTGAGATAGCACCACTGCACTCCAGCCTGGGCAACAGAGTGAGACTCCATCTCAAAAAAAAAAAAAAAAAAAAAAAAAAAACAAAGAAAAAAACAAGTTATTTAACAATGGGACAAATGTCAAAAAGTTTTGAAATTCTGTCTCACTATCAGTCTACATTTTGACCACATTTCTCTGATATAGAAACTGTATCGCAGTGGAACACAGTTTATACCAAAATTTGCTTTAAAGACTGGTAGTATTTCTCAGTTGTTTGCTTGTCCCAAAGTTGAAAGCAGACTCTGTGATCACTGAATGATAATACAAAATTTCAAACTTAAAAATATCTTCACATTCAATCAAAAATTAAGACATTTGGCAGTTAACTAATTTCCATCACTGTACAGTGTAAGAAAACACATTCTAACCATCTGTAGTTAATTAGCCGGAGGACTATTGGCCCAAATTTGGTGTTTTTAGAGTTGCCAGATAAAATACAAGATGCCCAGTTGAATTTGAATTTCAGATGGACAGCAAATAATTTAGTATAAGCCTGTCACATGCTATATTTGCTATATGCTTATACTAAAATTATTCATTGTTTATTTGAAATTCAGAGATACATATGTACTATTTACATATATGTATCTATAGATTTGCATAGTACAGAGTGGCCTTACATTTGTATTTGCTAAATCTGCTAAATCTGGCATCCCTAGGGAAAAGCAAACTTATGCTCAAGAGTCATTCCTAAGGCCAAGAAACTTAAAGACAGGGTTTAACGTAAAGCCATCCTTCTTAGAAGAAAAAAAACAATCCAGATTTTCCCAGTACTAAAAACTCTGAAAACAAATCTAACCACTGCGGGATGGGGGTGCAGCCTTTTCATGCATGGCTTACCAGAGGTGTCAGAAAAGCTAAGAAGTTTGTCTCATTTTTAAGATATTAGCTCAGGGGCTCTTAACATTTTATGTTATGGTCTTTTTTGGTGGACTAGTGAGACACATGCCTGCCTTCTCAGAATAAAGTGTTTAAACAGATAAAAGTAAAGTCACAAAGATTACAGAAGACACCAATGATATTAAAATGCACCTATTACAGTACTGAAAAAACAAAATTATACTTTTCCAAGCATTAAATCAGAGCTAATGTTTTGAAGGTGTGGTGAGCAGCAATGTTATTTCAAGGTCTCTGAAATGACTGGAATGTGATATTGAAATGTCTGTGATTTCCACTATGACAAAGTCACAGTTGCAGCTAGTACATCTGTGGTTTGCTGCACACACTCAATACAAATTTTAGTTAGAGGCCATCTAAAATAAACTGCTGTTCTTTTCTCCTCATGTGAGATCGTGGATTCTCCTGAGTTCTACCCATATATTCTCCAGGCTTCATAGCCCTGGGATTAAATCTGACTGTGGATGAAGTTTCTAAATGCTGTAGATATTACCAGTAATTCTGGTAATATCACAGAATCAGACCAACCTATAGAGTCTTCCTTGATTTATTCCCCTCGTACACAATCTCTTGACATGTTTAACAGCCATCTCAGATACTGTGTCTTTTATGAAAATTGGCTGGACACTTAACAAAATCACAGCTAATTCCCTTTCCAGTAGGATATTCTTGCAGGCACTAATGTTAGTAATGAACATTACATTGGTGCTCACGTGATTGGAACAGTAAGACCAATGAGGAGACATTCCAACATCTTCTACTCTAGAAGTAATGGTACAGTTTCTTCTGACATAAAAACAGAGGGGGAAATAACAGAAAACAGCTCAGATACATACATAATGCTTGGTCTTCATAGCCTTACTGTAGCACTTCTCGGAAGTAGGAAGGTGGATTTTTGTTTGTTTGTTTGTTTTTGTTTTTGTTTTTTTGTTTGAGACGGAGTCTCGCTCTGTCACCTGGGCTGGAGTGCAGTGGCATGATCTCAGCTCACTACAAGCTCCGCCTCCCAGGTTCATGCCATTCTTCTGCCTCAGCCTCCCAAGTAGCTGGGACTACAGGCACCCGCCACCACGCCCAGCTAATATTTTGTATTTTTAGTAGAGACGAGGTTTCACCGTGTTAGCCAGGATGGTCTCAATCTCCTGACCTCGTGATCCGCCCGCCTCGGCCTCCCAAAGTGCTGGGATTACAGGCATGAACCACCGCGCCCAGCCAGGAAGGTGGATTTTTACAGTTAATATACCACTCAGTCACATGCAACTTTATATTGCCATGGTTTCAAGATAATTCTTACCAGGAAAGACAAAGCTTACTCATCTAGAGTACTAATTGAGACAATACTCCCTTTCATAAATCCTCCGGTATCTCCCACTGCTGACAAGACAAATCCTGAACAACTTGGAAAACCAAAAAGACCCTTAAGCCCTGGCTCTCGCTCCCTCTCTGGCTTTATTCACCTCAGAACAGAGCCTGGGTATATACTTGCCCCTTCCTGAGCAGCTGGGTGCCCTCTCAGCCCACATCTGGCACATGAATTCCTTCCTGAAGGTTCTTCATTTTCTCCCTTTCTTGGTTAACTCCCACCTGTCCTTCAAAAGTCAGGTTGAACATTATCTCTTCTGTACTTAAAAAAAATTAAACAATTCTTCAGAGGCAGTATAGCGTAAAGATTAAGAGCACAGGACCCTGCTTCTGTTAACACCAGCTGTGTGACTTTGGACAACTTTCTTAACCCCTTTGAGACTCGGTTTCCTCATATGCAGAATGGCGATGATGATCATTTCTATGCCTCATAGGGTCACGTGAAATAAAAACATATAAAGCACCATAAAACTCTGCCTGCTCGTATGATTAGTATAATGATTAGTATTAATCATTACACAAGTGTTAACTGTTATTGTCATATGCATACGACAAATAAAACATAAAATACGACTTATCAAAAGGAATCACATTTACCACGGATGAACAGCAGAGGGTTCATATAAAGTTTTCACAAATCAACAAGAGCCTTCATTCTCGTAAGTGGGCAACGTGTGTAGAAACGCAATTCAAAAAATGTTGAAAAGGTGAAAAGACATTTCAACACTTTAACATTTATTTATTGGTTTGTGTGGCAAGAATTTATTGAGCACCAACTATGTGCTAAGCATGGCACAGGATGCTGCTGATGAAGCATTAAGAGTGACTTGGTTTTTGCTCTTGGGTAGTTTGCAAGAAAACAGGGAAAAGAGGCATTAAATACATCATTAGATGAGTGATTTAAAGACATTTGTGGGAAGAACTGGGGAGAAAGTCAAGGATAGATGAGAGACTAGCACATGGGGTATATAACATGTCCTAGTCTGGAGTTGGAGCATGGAGCTTGGCACCTTCCAGGAAACGAGGAGGATATTGAGTAGGCGAGAGGGAAGCAGTGTCAGGTAGGAGCAAGGGCAGAGCCATGCCATGCCCCTGCATGTGGCTTTGTGGGCTCCTTGAGGACCGTCACCCCCATCCTTGGAGCACAAGGAGTATCTTGGGGTTTTATTCAAGGAAGAGAAAGGATCAAACTTGCTTTTGAAAGTGATCATGTTAAACGCAGCATAGGGAATGTATTGGAAAGAGTCAAACATAGATGCTGAGAGTCTGTTTAATCGGCACTTTCAGTAATCTGAGTTGAAATTACTGATGCATGGACAAGGGCGGTGTTTGTAGCTTGAGAGCTACTAGCCAGGAGCTCTGAGTGACAGGTCCCAGACAGAGTCAACAGGCGTCTCCAACAGGTGGATGTTAAGAAGACAAGGCAGAGAGAAGAGGAGGTCTCACCGATGACTCCAGGCTTCCTGGCATGGAAATGAGGTGTGTTGGGGTGGGCGGAGGCTATCTTACTGATTCAGAGGACACTGGATCTTCCTCTGTAATTTTAACATTATGCACATGTTATGGGACACCCAGATTGAATGTTTGGGTGTTATACCAGCATGGAGCTCACGCTTGTGCAGAATCCCGATGCAGAAGGAGGATCTCACCTCTGGGGTGCAGGTTTGAAGGTGTGCACTGGAGGCTGCCTGGAGACACCTAAAGAGAAGTAAGCACTAGGGTCTGTGCAGATGGGCCTGGCCTTCAACAGAGACACCTGGACAGGAGGGATGCCTTTAGCACATAAGCCAACGAGTGGAATTTGAGCCATGAAAGTGCAGGAGCTTCCCCCTTAGACAGTAGTGTGGAAGCAGCAACCCAGACTGAGCCTGAGTAGCCTTAAGACCAGGCAGAGTCAGAGATACAGGCAAAGGAGACTGAGGAGGGACCATCAGTCCAAGAAACACAAAGGCACCAGGAATTCACTTTTCACTTATCAAATTACCGAAAATTTTAAAAGACATGTGAACATTCTACATTGACGAGTTTGCAGAAATGAAGAGCTTCCTGCATGGTGTCCGATAGAGTAATCTAGCATAACTTTTTTGAGGGAGGCAGTAATTTGACAATGTATACTCAAAGTTTTAAACTATTTATGTTAGACTGCTTGAGTCAGTAAGTCTACTTTTAAGACTTAATAGGAAATGTATGATAGGATAATGTACAAGAGTGTTCTCTATATTTATTATGATATTAAAACATTAGAAGCAATCTGAGTCACCAACAATATAGGAATGGTTTTAAATTTATAAAACACTCATAGGCTGAAATATTATGCAGTGTTTAAAAATCATGAAAAAATGCTAAATATGTTTTTTAAAAGGCAATTGATACAGCTAAATATGCAGGGTAATCTCTCTGTTTCTCTCTCTAGGTAAGATCAAAATAAAACACCTCTAAAATATTAACAGCAGTTATCTCTCTAAAGGAAAACAAAATTAGGAAGGTTTTTCAACCAGATTTTCCATTTTTATGCAGTTAATCTGAAAATTCAGTTTCCCTAGCACAGACCATTTCCAAGTATTCCAGATTTTACTGTAAATGAGAAGTACTTTCTGTATTATATTACACAAAGAAACTTTCCACACAGTGTTGTGGCCAAACATTATGAAATCATTTACTCTCAGAGATATTTCCAAATATCTATTGCACAAATCCAAGAACCTAGTTTTCAGTCATCTTAAGGCTTCATTTCATTGACTGAATTAGAAGAGTTTGCACTTCACCCAGAGATACTGCTGATAAAGCAGATATCCTGCCCTATACCTTTGCTTAGGCTGACCCCTTTATTCCATATTTCTTCTTTGCTCTATGCCTGGTAAACTCCTACGCATCCCTCGAGGCCCCGCTCAAATGTCATCTCCTCCAGCATGCAGGTAGCGTTCACCTTGTTCCTCTCTTCTGCCTTCTCATTGTCCACACCTCATGATAATACTTACTGTGCTGCTGTAATGATCAGTCTTGGAGTTTAGCTTTCCCCATAGACTGGGCACAGTAGTTCATCCTGAGTGGCAAACACAAGGCCTGGCATGTGGTAGGAACTTAATGTTTAAGGGAGGCACACGGTGGGCAGAGATGCCATTCAAGGGGACTCAGCGTCCGATTTAGTAAGAATGTCACTTGCCTAAGGTTATGATGCCCAACGTTCTAGGTCAGAGAGGAATCCCAGAGAGGAATCCAGTCCACAGCTAGGCACATTGTTCGGGTGAAGAATATTTCACTGATTTGAACAATTCAATTAGAAATAAAGATTTCGTCTTCCTATTCTGATTCGTAGCACAAAGAATATGCCACAATGTTCTATCTTGAAGAGAAAATTAGTTGTACATCTCTCAAAATGACAAAACCGATAAAAACTATGGGCAAACATAAGTATATTCAATTTCATCCAACAAATTACTTCCTCTGTGTATTTCATGTTCCCCAGTACACTGACCATCATAGACAAAGAGTTCTAAGATTCCTTTCGGCTCTGTTTGCTTCTTTACACCAGATGTCTCCAATGTGGGGTACACCAGTAACCCAAGCAGGGACAGTGACAAAATGATAGAAGTATTCAATTGTAGCTTCCACTTTATCCTTTTAAGTGTTTATATCTTATACATATTTTAAAATGAATCCATGGTGAACTTGAATAAATCAACAAGCAAAAAACATATTGCTCCATTTAAAAAAAATGGGCAAAGGAAATGAACCGACACTTCTCAAAAGAAGATATACAAACAGTCAACAAACTTGAAAAAATGCTCAGCATCACTAATCACTAGAGAAATGCATATCAAAACCACGAAGAGTTATCATCTCACACCAGTCAGAATGGCTATTACTAAAAAGTCAAAAAATAGTTGCTGGCCAAGGCTGCAAAGAAAGGGAAAGTTTCTACACTATTGATGGAAATGTAAATTAGTCCAGCCACTGTGGAAAGCAGTCTGGAGATTTCTAAAAGAACTTAAAACAGAGCTGTCATTTGACCCAGCAATCCCATTACTGGGTGTATTCCCAAAGGAAACTATATCATTCTACCAAAAGACACATGCATTTGTATGTTCACCTCTGCACTATTCACTAGAGCAAATACATGGCATCAAGCCAGGTGCCCATAAATGTAGAATGGATAAAGAAAATTTTGTACAAATATACCGCAGAATACTATGCAGCCATAAAAAAGAATTAAATCATGTTCTTTGCAGCAACATGGATGGAGCTGGAGACCATTATCCTAAGCAAATTAATGCAGGAACAGAAAACCAAATACCATATGTTCTCACTTATAATAGAAGGAGCTAAACACTGAGCACACATGGAGATAAATATGGGAACAATAGACACTGCAGACTACTAGAGGGCTGTGGGGTGGTTTTAAAAACTACCTGTCAGGTACTGTGCTCACTACCTGCACGACAGGATTTATACACCAAACCTCGGCATCATGCAATATTCTTGTTTAATAAACCTGCACATGTACCCCATACCTATAATAAAAGTTGAAAAAAATAAATAAAATATATGTAATTTGTTAGAGCAAGACGAAAAATGTATATATTGTGCATGTATGTCCCTAAGTATCCTTGTGTGTGCTGCGAGAGGCTATAATTTTTGAATCCATTGCTTCACACCAATACTGATTAAACTTGCATACGAATTCCCTGAGGGCTCATTTAAATGCAAATTATTATTCAAAAGGTCTGCAGTAGGTCTGAGAATTTGCATTTCTAACCAGCTCCCAGGCGAGGCTGAGGCTGGAGGTGAAAGCTCACACTCTGCATAGCAAACGGCCTTTTGCAGCCACTGTTCCTCATCTGGACAACACGGTACTGAACCCAGAAAATGGTTTGAGTGACTGTGTTCTCATTTCTTCCATGGATGGTTATAGCAAGCATCACTCTAGACATATACAATAGAAGGTAATTTATTCCATCAGTGAATGCCGTGGGGCTTAATTGAGGCTGGCTTCTCTCACATGACTGTTGAGAAAGGAGCCACTGAGGAGCTTGCTGGACTTATAACTTCACCTATGGGGAGAAAGTTCAAAGCCACTAGATGACTTCATTCTTTAAAAAAACACAGCTTATAAATCACCCATACAGTATTACAAAATGATCCTGTAGTCAGCAATTTTGTTTAAGCATTTGGCTTATATCTGGAAACTTCATTTATGGGAAACATAGCTGGAAACCAAGATTTTGACCACACCTAGTCATCAAAGATTCGGTAGTGCTAACAGTAACAGAGTGCTAAGTCAGGCGTCGCTTATATTCTCACTAATAACAGCTACCTCTATATACCCTCACCCTGACGTGCCCCTGATGTTGGGAGTGAGTGGCTTACAAATGCTGTTTTCCCAAAGAAAGCGAACACACACCCACACACTATTGCCTGAATACAATGAATCTCTTAATTTACAAGGTCTGCTCAACAATTCATGTATGTGTGCCCTATTATGACTTCCAAAAGACTACTTTGGTCCCATTTGAACTATATATATGCCTTAATTTCTGAGACAGCTTGCACTGTGCAACAGTGGCTGCAAATAAAATTTCAAATATTTATGTCTTCTATACTGTGTAACTGGTGTTCATCCTAAGTGATCCCTGGTTAAGTTAGACAGGTGCTTCCTCTGAAACTAGTCCGCAGTCCACAGAAACACAATGTGGCCCACCAGGACTCAGTCTTCCAACCACTTTGACATGTTCAAGAGGGATTAAAGCCAATGAGGCAGGATGAAGACCCTTAAAATTGCCACTTGAGGGGAGTTGTTCCCCAGTTTAAACCTAGTTGGCCAATTCCCAGTGGTCTTCCTTGGATCTATCTTCAGCCCTGTTTTCAGCCAAGACATTGAACTTTCAGGAAGTAAAATTGAGAGTGGGACCCCAGTTGAAAGACCTTGGCAATGGCCTTCTGTCTGCTCTGTGTGCCATGTCCTATTTCATTCATTGGTAATAAAACCCATGGAGTTAAAGAGATCAAAATGCTTGTCTTGGGGTTGAGAGGAGAGACAATGAGTTTGTCTAAATAGAATGGCTTTCACTAAAAGCCAAGCTTTGGGGAGCAGAGTCAATGATATGGAGAAGAGCTTTAAAAAGGACAGAAGCGATACTTTGCTTCCACTTCCTTGAGGGCTGGGTGATTACTCTTCAACCAAGAGAGTAACCTCTCAGCTCACCACTCCACTTGGTCAGAGTTACTTACAACTCAGCTGGCAAATACATTTCATTCCTTATCTTCCTTGATATTTCCATAGCATTTCAGTCTGCTGCTACTCTCTTCTCTCAACTTGACCTCTACTTTTCTGATGCCTTCTCAGTTCCATCTGTAGGTTCTTCCTCTTCTGCCAATCTTGAAGTGGCATTTTCTCCAAGGCTCCATGCTCCAACTATTTTATTTTCACTAAAGACACACTCCTGCATCTACTCCCATGGTTTCAGATGTTACCTTTGTAGTTCATGAAGCCTAGACTTTTTGTGTTCCAGATTGCTCTTGCAAGACTGCCAGAACAACAGTCAACTGTGTGTGGTTCCTCCCTTTGATTGCCCACAAACACCCCAAATTAGACCCAGCCTAGCTTCATTATCCATTACCCAGGGCAACTCCCTTCCTCCCGTAGACCCTCAGGCACTGAAAAATACTCAGCACCCCGAGTCTACCCCAACATCCCTTGAAGCTGTCCATTTTCTCCCTTCCCACTGTCACTGCGTTGGTTTAGATCCACACATTTTCTTTCTTGGGTGACACTGCCTTGGTTTAGATCCACATACTTTATTTCTTGCATGACAGCACAGGCTCATAATTGAGGTCCCCATCTCAAGTTGTCCTCTCTCTATAGCATCCTTCATAGTCCCTCCTCAGTGGTGTCCCTAAAGCACTCTGCCGCCCAGCTTAGTGGCCCCATTGTCTACAAACCAAAGCCTCAGCTCCTGAAACTGACCCTTCAGAAACTGGCCCCACCTGCCTTAGTGCCAGCCACTCCTTAGGTTGTTACCTGGTCAGGTCATGCAGAATGACTTGCAGTTGCCCAGATGGATTAGTCCTCTATTGATTGACTTGATGCCATGCCATCTGCCCGAAAGCCCACCTCCTGTCTTGGCCAGCGTTCTCATGTCTATCCTTTGGGGTGTTACCCTTTCTAGGTAGGTGCTTTCTCCACCTGTTCCCATGGGTTTGGGGCTTTCTCTACATGATTGCCTATGCTTCTGTCTCCCAGAATATTTATCTCAGTGTACTAGAGATATCTGTTTTGCTTGTGTATATTTAATTATAATAATGATCCAACCAACAACTGCCACTAGTTGAGAATGAATATGTAACTAGTACTGTGTCGGCAGCTCATGTATGTATAACTCCACACTTCAGAGTAATGCTGGTAAAAATAAGTAAATGGAGGCTAGATAAGTTAAAGCATTTGCCTAGGGTCACACAACTAGCTAGTAGTGGCGACAATGTTTAAGATTGTAGTCTGACTCAAAAGCCAGCTCTTCATCCATCACACCCCACCACCTTCCACTGGAATGCAAGCTGCCATATCTCATCTTGTACATGCCAATGCCTAGGTTCTAGCAGGGCCTTAATGTCTGCTGAATGCATAAATGGAAGCAAAGGAAACTTGGAATCTTCCAGTTATAGAAAGCACCGCTGGGTCTCAAAAAGCAAGCTCCTACACATTGGTTGTGGTGATGAGCTGAGCAGAGGGAACGTCATTGTGTCTCAATACCCTACAGTACACATAGCTGTTTACTGATGCGTGATGCAGACGGAATCATGCCTGCAAAGTCAGTGTTCCCTAGAAGTTCTTTGAGGGCAGGGGTTGGGCCATGTCCACCTTTGTACCCTAAGTAGCACAGTTGCTGGCATGTGGTAGATGCTCCAGAAAAGTTTTAATGACTCATGACTATAAATGAGTCAATGACTTAATCCGTGGATTAATAATCTATAAAGAATGAATGAAGGTCAAAAACACAACCCAAAACATGTGAGTGCTCTCCATGCATTTATCATTACCTGCGTAGTTGTCTAAATTGCTTTTTGAGAGTGATTTATAGTGCACATTTTTCTATCTCTGTGGGAAATGAGCTTCCCCAGTGTTGAAATCTTCTGAGTTAAGAAGAACTTCCTTTTATCTGTTCTGACTCAGACCCTCTTGGAAGCTGCACTCGCTCTTGCAGATGACTTGGTAGATGACTCTTATGCCGTGAATCACCCGTATCCTCCAAGAGCACGTGGAAGTTCAGATACAGCTTTTCTCCCTGAGAGTGGTTTGCTTCTTAGTTATGATTAATTATTTCTGCAGTTACTTGTAGGATTAGGATTTCTACTGGAGGAGAGTAATTACTTTCACATGAACATCAGCTCCTCATTCATTTAATTTGACTCGCCCCTAAACGCACGTGCACAAAATTAGCCTGGAAATTACTGCGGGTCCTACTTGTTTATATTCATCTGGTGACCATTTTAGCAGCTTCATCAACAACATCTTTAAGAGGTCCAAGGATTTAACTTGAGAATCATGGCAAAGTCAAGTGCTCCCCTAATCCTCCTCAATTCTTCCCATCAGCCATCAAATGTTCACATTCGATCTCCAGGATATGTTTACAAAAATCAAAGATGCCGAGTCTTAATTTGGAAAGACCATTGTCAACTTCTTAGTCATGAAAAATAGGACCTAGTTTCTTTCCTTTTTTTTTTCTTTTTTGGTGCTACTATTGATGTATTGATTTTCCTGTGATAATTTTACACACACACACACACACACAATTTTTTAATCTAAACACTCTCAGACCATAGTAATTGTCAATTACCAGAAGGTGGGAGTCTCTTTTTACTAAAATTAAGTGGTCATTTTTAGATATTATATTGAAATATCTTAAAATCTTCCTAAAATATGTATGCAGTTGATAAATCTAGAATGCATACTGAAATGATTGCTTTTGTCTCCTAGGATGTAAATGCCTTGATCAAACTTCAAGTTTTAAAAAATATTTTTAAAGTATGAATTCAGATGTTTTCTTTGAGAAATAATATCCTACTTTTTGAATATATTCTAAAATATAATTTTTTAAACTTTTATTTTAGGTTCGGGGTACCAAAAAAAGGGTATGAAGGTTTGTCACATTGATAAACTTGTGTCATGGGGGTTAGTTGTAAAGGTTATTTCAACACCCAGGTATTAAGCCCAGTGCCCAATAGTTCTCTTTTCTGCTTCTCCTTCCTCTCACCCTCCACCCTCAAGTAGACCCCAATGTCTGTTGCTCCCTTCTTTTTGTTAATGAGTACAGGACCCAGTTTCTAACATGCTATTCCTATTACCATTTTAAATAAAACATAGAATGGGTGATTGAGAGAAACTGTAAAACACACATAATTTAGTACTGAAATTATGACATAGTTCTGTGAACTCCATGGGGACACGCCCAGCCCTACCCCAAGAATGGAACTATGGTACCATTTCCTAAGAGCTGCCATTATTCCCCAGTGACTCCTAATTACCAAAACATCATTCATTTGCTCATTTATTCAGCAAACATTTTATACTACTGTGGTCTTTGAAATACGTAAAGGTGAGAGATGCATGATCTTAGCCCTCGAAAGTATACCATTTGATATAAGAGATGACATATACATAAATTGTTATCATGCCAAGCAGAATAGGCTCCTTCATGCCTTAACAGTATCCCATGGACACTTCTATCATAAAAGTTGATACTCACTAGTTCATGTGTAACCAGTGAGCTGGCAAGACTGTAAGCTGCTTAAAGACAAGGACCTTGTCTTATTTCTCTCCATTTTGTCCATATCTAACACAAGGTCTGCCTAGATCACATGAATGAATATGATATATTAAAAGGTATTAAGGATTTCCAGGAGGAGGACTGATTCCTTCTAACTGGAAAAATCAAAGAAGTTATCATGTGTTTTCTGTAGGAAAAAAAAATAGGAGAAAGAAGATTACAGACAAGGGGAATTGCCCAGGCAAAACTATGGGGTGGCAAAGTATGTTTCAAGTACTCCCAATTGATTGGGCCATAGGGTTTATCAATTATCAGCGACTTTCAACCATGGCTGCCTATGAGATTCACCTAGGGGGATTTTAAAATGAACTAATGCCTTGGCTCTGACACAGGACAATAAAATCAGAATATTTTGGTGGGGCACAGGGATGTGAGTAAGAGCCTGAGCTCTGCTCTTTTAAAAAGGGAGCCTCTGATCTTTTCAAAAAAAAGTTTCCCATTTGCTTTTTGCTTTTTTTTTTTTTTTTTTTTTTGACGGAGTT
The DNA here is from genome assembly GCF_000001405.40 of Homo sapiens. Lineage (NCBI taxonomy): Eukaryota > Metazoa > Chordata > Mammalia > Primates > Hominidae > Homo > Homo sapiens. The sequence goes on along the minus strand of NC_000021.9, from coordinate 38,275,510 downwards.
TCGGTCTGTCGCCCAGGCTGGAGTGCAGTGGAGTGATCTTGGCTCACTGCAACCTCTGCCTCCCCGGTTCAAGCAATTCTCATGCCTCAGCCTCCCAAGTAGCTGGGATTACTTTCTTCAGATACACTGGGGTATCTGAAGTTAGTATGAGGCCATATTGGGAACTACACTGGCAATGAATTTTAAAAGGTGATGCGGGTTAAACTGAAAAGTTTGATCTTTCTGCAGGAAAAAAGAAGCCAGGCTCATCTAGCAAGACAGATGGAGAGGGAGGAGAGCAGCTAGAAGGAGATCATTTAGGAGGCTGTTGAATTTGTCTAAGTAATACATGAATTCAAGAGAATCACCACGTTGGTTTGCCACCAGGTAAAATTCACACACCTGTCATATGTGAAGTAGAAAGGTTGAACAGGAGTGGAAAGGACTCTGGAGTTTGCTGCCTGGATGGAAAGGAAGATTTGGATGAAAAGCAGAGTGTATTGAGGTGACATGGTGGTGTTGGCTCCAAGCATGTCCATATCTAGGAATTAAATTTGGGGCTGGAGGTGGAAATTGAAGAATCATTGTACCTAGAGGTAAAAGTTGACCAGATATGAGTCAATGAGAACTGCAAAAAAAAGAAAAATACCAAGGGAAGAAAGCAACTGAAGGGGCAATCTTAGAGGCTGCCTGTATTAAAGAGAAGAGGAGAGGATTTTCCAGCAAAAGAACTGGAGAAAGGCCAGCCAGATGGCTGGACACCTATGTAAATTAATAAAAGCAGACAATTAAGAAGGCAAGATTTCAAGAAGGAGGACGTGATTCAGAGGTCAATATTGGAGGAGGGACAAAGAAGTACTGATGTTATTAGGGAGGTAAGACAGAAAAGAAAGGGACATTTGTTTCCCTAAGATAGGAAGGAAAGATGAAAGGATATATTTATTGCACATGTATTTACCCATCACCTACTATTTTTGACTATACTAGACACAGGGGAGATAACAGTCCAGACAAGGCATTTGCTCTCATGAGGCTTATATTCTAGTTGTGGGGAAGTGGAAGGAAGACAAGTTATAGAAAACGTGTGCAAGAGCTCCACGTGCATTTTCCACAGACAGCATCTTCCTGTTTATTGAGGAGTAGAGGAGGACAGAAATTGGAGAAGTGTGATCTTACTAAAGGGGATGATGGTATGGCACTTTGGTGTAAGAGGAACAAGCTGAAGGATGTGGAACAAACTTGGCTAGCTTTTGAGTCACATGTAGGAGAGGCAACAAGAGATGAAGAAAGGATTCAGCCAGCAGGCAGGTCTCTGTGAGGTTTTCAAGCATGAACACTAGTTCACGTCTTTGCTTACACCTAACATGACTTTGCCCAGGCGGAACAGCCTGCAAGCACTGCTGCATATGGAAGAGGTGGGCTGCCCAGAGTTGGGATTGGCAAAGCCTCAGTGGTAAAGGTTACTGGGGCCCAGGTTTACAAATACCACATTAGAAACATAAACATTTGAAAACCACAGAATGTAAATGCTCAAGGTCACAGCACGCTCATCAACTCGTGGAATCCATACAGTAATTGAGCACATGAAGAAGCCTACTGACGCTGCTGTCTAGTTTTAGAAGAGCTATAATTTAGTATTGCTAGCTATCAATTAGTCCTGTTTTCCTCATCTGTAAAATGAGAGGGTTGGATGAAATGACCTCAAAGTCTTCTTCCAGCATGGTCAATGGTGAATGCTAGAGCACACGTGAAATTCTGAAAGTTAATTTACTTCTTTAACATTTATGTTGATCGTTTAACTATTGATGTTCAAAAATGCAGCTGCAGAGCTACTACAAATCTTTTAGGTCTGTGCACACAAAGCTATTAGTTTTATGGACCATTCTGATTTTAAAATAAATTGCCCTGTGAAAATATGCAACCTAAATTCTGGTGGGAGAAATCTCAAGTGACATGGGTAATTGAATAGGGTAATTGATAGGTCATTGACAGGACATGGAAATAGACCAAGTAGAAAAGTATTAGACATGAATAGGTTTTAATATTTGCAAGTTTGGAAAATGACTTTCTGAACATTGGGAGAAAAGGAGCTTTTCAAATACTAGGATGACAGTAGCTAGGGATACAAAATAAAGTTATTCAAATATGACTTGTCTTCCTGCACTAAGATTAATTTAGAGTAATATGCATAGGACCTCTTTCATCCCTTTCAAACATTGCCAGTAAGAGTTAACCAGGCCTTGGTTGGATCCTGAAAAATTAAGGTATAATGTGACCAACTAGACAATCTGTAAAGGTAACTAGAGTATTAGCTAGCTACTGTTGTTTCATATTGCAAAAATCTTGTCACTTTTCATATACAATAAGACTTTTGAATAATACTATATATAATCTTGAAAGAAACCTCAGTATGTGTACTTTTTCTAACCGCTGCATTTACACATCTTGTCACTGAAATCAAAGTCTTTGAGGCTTAAAACTTAGTGCTAACTCTGAAAGTTACTTATTTGTATATCTAACCTAAATGAATAGTTTATTGCTATTTTCAAAAGCATGTTTGGTGCATTACTATTGAAAGCAGTCTTTGGCATAACCAACTACATTTTACTTTTATACCCAAAGCCTCTGTTTATGCAGATAAATTGAGGTTCCAGTCTTTAGAGTGTAGGGTATAAGTATTAATCAGTTGATTTCCTGCCAAGGTTAATATATTTTTATTTGCAATCTCATAGAGTAGGGCTCAATCATTGTTAAGCGCTGGTAGTTTCAGAAGCAGAAGTCTTCTTCAGATCAGTAAGATTTATACTACTTGAAATTAAAAACAGCAGATAATGGGGAAAAGTCATGCCTGAGGTTAAGGTGAATCACTTTGATTGGATCTTCCAGAAATCTCCTTTAAGGTCTGGGTGGCTTTTTCCCCTCTTCCTTTGCACTACCCTGATTGATCAGCTACAAGCATCCTAAGGGGCCTTACCTTGAGTCCAGGTGCTGGGGCCCAATCTCAGCTGAAGATCCCAGAGATCTGGGGAAGTGATGAAGAGATCTGGGGAACTGACTCAGCAGGGGGAAGCCTGTGTACAACCCACACCTGCAGGCTACGTGCTCCTGTGCTGGCTGAGCCGGTAGGCAGGAACACACTCTCCACCCCAGCTTGCAGAAGCTGAGCATTCAGGCAGAGCCTCGGTCCCACCGCCCAGCTGCCCTCATCCGTGTCCAAGGACAGAGCCCTTGAGCCACGAGGGCTTCTGGCACATGGCTTCAGTTTTTATGGGTGAAAGACAGTCCTCTGGCATCATTAAGGTATTTATATCTGAGATAGCTCCAGATTTCTTAAAAGCTATTTGACAACAAAAACTGCCAAGCAGAATTAACTACCACAGAGGCCTGGAAAGCAGCACAAGTAAGTTTTTTAATTCTTCAGAGGTGGTAGAAGTCACCAGAAATTCTCCCTCTTGAATTCTCTCTAAAGGGCTCTGGATCCTTGGAAAAATGATCTGGTCAAGCCTCATACTTTAGTAATTCTTAAAACTGTCATGGTCCCATGCTTTCTGTCTCAATTGTGGCACCGGATCGCAGGTTTTGGCCGTTTCTTTTTAAAGCAGCCTCTAACGGTGGAGAAATTATTATAAACAAATGGGAGCATGCTAGCAGCTTCCCATGACAGTGGGTGGATCTCACCTGCCTTCGGTTTAGACAAGCACCATGTGAATTTCTATGGGCGTTTTCTTCCCTGTGCCATGTGTTCCTATAGTGACCTTCTGCACAGGATGGGCATGATCTGCATGGAACAATGATGGCGACGTCTGGCAGCCCAGGCTTGGGGGATCGTGTGGCCTAAGCAGTGTAGCACACAAGCTCATTGCCTTCCATTGAGAAGAATACTCAAATACACCCAGCTCAGTCTCCAGGACTTCCCCTTATAGGACCACATTAGCAATGAGAGAGCTCCAGGAAAGACATATAAACACATTTCAACTGCTTAGGAAAAGCAGGAATCGCATGCCTCTTTTAAACTGCAAGTGTTTCACTGATTTTCACTTTCCACTCACTCCTCTGATCTCTGTTGCCAAACGATAAACCAGTTTAATTATGTTGCTTCCGCCTGAGTTTGGCTTCATCTTTTCCTCTTTAGTTTCCACCTGGGATAGGAGGAGGCCTGGTGAAGAGTTCTAGGCCACATTAGGAGAACAAGCTCTTCTGTGTCCTGCAAAACCTCCGGCAAATGACCCAGCCCCTCCGAGCTTCAGTTTTCTCAATGATACTGGGAGATGGGGTCAGACTAGCTTCTCTGAAACCTCTTTAAGTTTTAGCTTTCTATGAAGGGAAATTTAAAGAAAAGCACAGAGAGACGGACTAGACTCTATTCGGGGCTTATTTAAGCAGCTACACCAACTTTACAAGAGCATCTTTTCTTGAAGATGCCCAACCAGGTTTTGTCCCTGAGAGGATTTGGAAAGGTCCACTTAGCAGAAACCCTGCTGGCCTGGGGCTCCCCAATGTCCAGATGGACTCAGCTTCACCAGATCAGTGTTGTTGCCACTCAGAAATGCCTTTGGCTGTTGGAGAAACCAGGCTGTATGCCTATCTGCTGCATATGAAATTCCTGATGATGCATGCAACGTATAGGGAATTCTACATTGACCCAGGTAGAACAGTTACACACTCCCTTAAATATGAATACACTTATGAACCTTTTCAGTCTGTTACTATAATGCAAAGAATGCAGAATCAAGTTTTGCCTTGGTCTTGCCATAAATACACTGCTCTGGTCAAATTTGCTGATTTTTTTTTATGTTCTCTTAGTTTTGACAAAACGGGATGATCACAAGTTCATTTGATATTATGCCATGTTCAACTTCGTGTTGGGCATTTTGGTGATAGGGAGGCAATATGCTATAGTGGGAAAGGTACAGGGTAGGAGCCAGACAGACTTGGGTTCAAATCTCAGATCTTCAGGTTATGACCTTCTAGGAGGAGTTAAAGTGTGAAAGCCTAGCCCCTGGGGTCATCCTGAAGATGGAGTGAGATGCCTTCTGAAAGGCAACTGGGCTAGTGACTTTGGACAAGTCACACTGTCTCCCTGATCTTCAGTTTCCTCATTTGTAAAAAGAGAGATAATAAATTTCACATTGCATTAGGCTAGGATTACAAATGCTGAGCTGCATGCACTCAGCTCAGGGTGCAAAAGGGAGCTGATTCTAGCTCAGCCAAGTCCAACGTGCTGTCAGCCCTCCAGGGGCTCGTAATCTGATTGGAGATATGGGATACACCAACACCGAATGAATCAGGACACAGCATCTGATTAGTCCTTAGTAGCAAAGAGACACACTAGGTTTTGTTCAGCCTGGAGAAGATAACATTTAGAAAGTGTAGAAGAGGTAAGGCCCCATCGGGAAGGGAAAGCTGAGTCTTGACAGGCCTTGAAGGGCTTCGAAGCTACATAATGAGATTCTAATAGAAAAGGGAAAGAATGCTTTCCAGGAATTGGAGCTGCAAAGGCAATGGCAGTGAAGTGGGGAAGCATACAGGAGCAATTGAACAGGGCGGGGGGCCTTGCTGGGGAGCGGTGGGAAGAAGTGTGGGTGAAGCAGAGTCAGGCCATAGGGTTCCTGCATGATACAAGTAGGGGCATCCCACAGAGAACCCCAGGGTGCAACAGTGGTGTTTTACAGTGGTCACTTTCAATAGATCCAGTTAAGCCTGCTAAGAATTACCAGCAGCTCTGTCTCCCAGGGACACTTTGTGCTCTCCTCGTGCAAAACTTGCTCTCTGTCCCCTCCTCTCTGGTTTCAGAGAGTATTGTGGTTTCTCTCCACACCAGCTTAAGCACTGTGTAGTCAATTTATAGTTTACAGGGATTTCCCACACACCCATATATGTTTTCCACTGAGGTCGGTGCTTTTTCCTAGACCCACCCAAATTCCAGAGCAAGGCTCACTTGCATGCCAAGTTGATTTTCTTTTTCTTTATCCCTTCTTCTCCTTATAAAACAGAGGAGATAGTTACTTTTTTAATGTTTCTGTGTATTTTTAACAGAAATGAAAGAAGCAACCCCAGAAAAAAACAATGACAAGGGTAATTTCGGATTCAATTTGCATTGACAACAATAGTTGTTCATAGAGGCAAACCCAGCAAGTGAGTTTTTTCACATTGCAACTCTTGTTTATACAAGTTTGAGTGGCTATAGGGTATAACGCCTTTTATAAGTTTAAAAAAAAAGCTTGAAAGTTTTTAACGGACAGACTCTGGCTCTGGAATTCAGGCTTTCTTTACAAAGTAAGTTTTGTTTTGTTTTGTTTTTAGAACAAAAAGAACGTATGAAAAGGGAATCAGGTCCTTAGAAAGGAAATTAGGAATCATTCTGGTCATTTTGAGAATGCTCATTCCCTACTGATTCATAAGATAGAAGACAGAAGTGCTTTCCACAACACTTTCACAAAAAATCATGTCATTTAACTTCCTTGTTGTCCTGTGGCAGGAATTTCCCTGCCTTTTGTAGGTGAGAAACTAAGAAGTTGAATCACTTGTGGAGGATCCCTCAGCCCATAGGTGGGGACTCCAGTCCAGGGCTTCTACCACCAAGTCGAACCTTTCCTTCACCAGCTGCCTTAGGGACAAGCCTTGAGCTCAGCCTGGTCCTGGGGAAGAAGGAAGGTGGGGAACAGTGGGAGGGTGGCATCCTGGAGTGGAGAGAGAAGTAGCCCACCTCTGTCTCTTTCCCATATGCCCCATAATGTACTAAGAAATTGAAGCTCAGAACATTAGTGCACCTTTCCCAAGAGTATTGCTGCCAGGAGTCTGCACACCTGGAATTCACATCCAGGAAGGTCAGATTCCAAAGGCCAAAGTCTCTTTCCATGAGACCAGGCCGCCTCTCTCATTAGAATGACCTTCCATTTGTCAGGTTTCCACCATTACCTGTCAGGGGCTTTTTCTCACTCTCCTCCCACTTTCTTTTTTTTTTTTTTTTTTTTTTTTTTTCAGATTTTAAGTACTCTTGTCAGATATTTGTTTTCTCCTCTCCAAATGTTTCCAAACTGTGTGTTGTTACTCATTTGACTTTTGCTAAGAAAATTTAGGCTGTAATATTTTTTTTAAAAAATCCACCTACATAACTTTCAATACTGCTACAATGCAGCACTTCCTTTTTTGCTGAAGTTTGGCTTAATCACAGTACAGCACTGAAAAACCAGAATATAGTCCCAGCCAAAGAAACTTGAAACTGTAGGTAGGTTAGAAGTCAGTGGCAACCGATTGTTCTGAAGAAAACTGGCATTGTTTCCTTGTTCTCCCGCTTTCATTATTACTATCTTTGTCAGATCCTGTTTGTGTTCAAAAGGCTGCTGGTCTTATGAAAGGATAAACTTGAAACATCTTGCTTTAATCATTGCAGCAATTAGCAAATAACTGCATTATCTTTCCTTTTTTATTATAAACATATTCAAGAATAGACTTGTTTAGTTGTAGTTACTCAGAGCTTCTCAGAAAACTGAAGCGGGTTGCTCATAAAAACCAGGTATTCAACCTGTTCAGAAGGCGCCTGAGTTGCTGGAATCTTCCTTCATGTCTCCAGTAATTATGTGACTACAAGAACAGATGTAACCCCCTCTCCAAGCTAAGCATATACTTTTTAAGTCATGATAGATTTAACTGAGTGAATAACTCAGTTGACTTTGAGGAGGAAGGGGAATAGGTTTGTCAAATTTAGCAAAAAAGAGCATGAGAAACATTAACCATTAATAGGCTTGAAGACAGCCAGCTTCCAGGACCCTGAGAACTCTGCTCTGCCAGCCAAATGATAATCTCTCAGTTTCTCTCAGGCTTTTCATCTGAACTGAGTTGGCAAGGTGCTACCAAGCCTTCCTATTCCACTGTTTCTTCCCTTCAACTCCCTCCATCTCCTCTTCTCTGATATATGAGTCAAGGGTGGCGCCATTAACTGTGTCTTCCTCAGAAAGTTCCTACTGTTGGTTACCAGTGGGTCAGCAGACTCATTGCTCATCTATCTGCCTCTCTGAGAGTTCACTCTCCTGCAGCGTGGTGGGTTTTTCTTCTTCCCCATCCTTTGTAATTATATTCCCCAAGGTCTTGTGCTCATCCTCCTTTATTATATCTTTCTATTCTCTCTTGGCATCCTCTGAGTTACCCTACTGCCTATTCAGAGTCCCATGGTGTTAATCAATGCTCACTAACAGCATCTCCTCAGGGATCCAGTCTCTGTTTCCAACATCTCCTGGAATGAGAGCAGTCCAGAACTGACTCATCCAAAACTGAAGGCATATTATTCTCCCTAAATCCAGCTACATCTCCTGATTTTTGTTTCCTAACAATGGCGTCCTCATTCTCTCACCTCTCCCTCTTTAAGCAACTGTACTCCTGTATCCAATCAGTGCAAGCCCCAGATTCCACCTGCTGAATCTCCCTTGCACCGGTGTCTCTCCTGCCCCTTCCCACAGCCACCATGCTGGTCCAGGTCTTCATTCCTTTCACTCAGTCTCTCAAAATACCCTTTGAATTAGTCACTTGATCATCACTGCCAGACTGGTATTTCTAAAGTGCAGCTCAGGACCCAGAAAACCAAAATATTCAATGACTTCTCATTGCCTATGTTTAACTCCCACCTCCTGCAGCAGAGGCTTAAGGGTGTGGCTTCTAGAGATGGACAACCTAGCTTCAAAGGCCAGCTTCACCCCTCTCTGAAGCCTGTGTCCTCAGCGTGTTACTTAACCTCTGCACCCTGCTTTCCTCATCTCTAAAGAGGTTAGCAAGAAAGCCTGCCTGTGTGAGGATTAAGAAATACTTAGAGCCATGGAAGGATCTAGAACCAGAAATACCATTTGACCCAGCAATCCCATTACTGGGTATATACCCAAAGGATTATAAATCACTCTACTATAAAGACACATGCACACATATGCTTATTGCAGCACTGTTCACAATAGCAACGACTTGGAACCAACACAAATGCCCTGGAATCAACCCTAATGCCCATCAATGATAGACTGGATAAACAAAATGTGGCACATATACACCATGGAATACTATGCAGCCATAAAAAAAATAAGTTCATGTCCTTTGCAGGGACATGGATGAAGCTGGAAACCATCATTCTCAGCAAACTAACACAAGAACAGAAAACCAAACACCGCATATTCTCATTCATAAGTGGGAATTGAACAATGAGAATACATGGGCATAGGGAGGGGAACATCACACACTGGGTACTGTCAGCAGGGTGGGAAGCTAGAGGAGGGAGAGCATTAGGAGAAATACCTAATGTAGATGACGGGTTGATGGGTGCAGCAAATCACCATGGCGCGTGTATACCTATGTGACAAACCTCCACATTCTGCACATGTATCCCAGAACTTAAAGTATAATAAACAAACAAACAAACAAAAAGAAATACTTAGAGCCCTGCCTGGCCTTTCAGGAGTGCTCAGCACTGTTGGCTGCCAGCTTTGTCCTGACTGTGGCCCTCACTCTCCCATTCTTTCCCTGCAGTAAGCTCAGCCCCTGTGCACACTGCCGACCTCCCGCACCCTCCTGCTGGTGCATGGTAACTCCTCCTGCTCTGAAGGCTTCTCCCCGTCCTGACCCTGGAAGTCGTCTTGTTCTGCAAGGCACATCTCAAATGTCCCAGTGCCTCTTACAGTCATCCCAAAGGGATCTGGTCTTTCCCTCTCTGACTTTCCCTGGAACTTTGTCAGGGCCTCTCATGTCAATGTCATCACATTCTGCTGGACACTGCAGCCTTTCTTGTGCTTTGGGTGTTTTTCTTTACTGTTTCTCTACCTCCATGTCTTCCTATCCACACCTCTGTCCAGCAGCAGCCTGGAGGCTCCTTGAGTCCTTGATGTCACTTATATCTTCTAAATCGACATAAGACGGACCACCCAGCCTCCTGCAGAGTAAGCCCTTGGCAAGAATATACTTGGTGAAGATCACTGAGGGTTAAAGCCTGACTATTCAAAATCTGAGTGAGAGTTGATTTAAAAACCCATCAAATATACATTTCTACCAACCACAGGGCTAGCAAGTCAGACCATTTCTTCAGATACTGAAAACTAAGCAAAGTGCTGTGCAGAAAGTATCATTTAGGGAACATTCCCAGGATATTGGACTAGACATGTTAATATCCATAATTATACAATTCATGTTTAAATGTACATATCCTTATGCAGCCCTAGACTCTGAAATGCCATATACTGGCATAGGCTGCTCCCAGCTGCAATGAAATTCGCTTGATTGTAATCACAGAAAAGTGGCCCTTACAAGTTTTAGTCCTATAATATTTCATCTTTAAAATGGGTAAATGTTAGAAAATTCTCTTCAATTTAAAATTTAAAACACATTCAGAGCCAAATACCTTTATTGCCACAGGTATGCTAACACAAGCCAGATCTAGACATAGCGTTTGAAGGAGACTGAAATGATGCTAATTTTGTTGTTTTCTGCATTTGCTGCTCCATGGATCAAATCACCCCTTTCTAGCCTGGGATTGCAGTATATTCTTTCTTTTATTTTTTCCCCTTGTTTTCTTCCTCAGAATCAGACTTCCAGCCCACACTCCCATGCTGAACCCTGCTGGCTCCGTATTTACTTTTCTGTTTTATTTCAAGTGTCTTCATTTTCTTCTTTCCAAAATAACCTGCATGTTTTCTATTTCTCCTCTGTTGGGTTTACACAACTTCTATATCTTAAGCACATGGTTCCCTGTTTCTTGTCACTCCTTAATAAGATGTCTCCCTCCTTAATAACCCCACTTACGCAATTCTAGCAGCCAATCTATCACTTTGTAATATTCACCAAGGGAGAGAACACACCAGTTAGCCATTTTCACATACACATATTTTCAAAAGACTTCAGATAAAAAGGTCTCTGCTGTGCGTTTGCAGGATGAGGTAGATGTAAGTTCATGGTGAAAGTAAAGATGTAATTATAGCAAAAATTATGCCTTTCATGTCAGTGCCTGTGGATTCAATACATATTGCTTGAAGAATACCTTGGGCCATGCCCTGAAAGCACAAAGAAATAACTACATAAAATCTCCATTGTCAAAGAGTTTGCAGCCCTGTAGGGAAAAGGGACAAGTAAGCAGGCCATTGTAAAGTGGGGCCAAGCAGGGCGAACCAGCTATCTCCGGGAATGGGGAGGGAATCCCACAGAGGGTTCCCAGCCCAGGCCTGATGGACCAGAGATTAGTCCCTTAGGCTAGTGCCAGACCTGAGTCTAAGCCAATGAAGAAAGTTTACAATCTCAGTATAAACAAATTATACATAAAGGGGTGTAAAAGGTGAAATAAAATTTAAAAGATCCACAGAGGAAAATGGACATTGTCTTTCAAAAGAATTGTAAAATACAGTGCGTGTAAAACTACATTCAGTGAGTGCCCAGTTGATTCCCAGGTTCAAATAGGAAGCTAAGTTAAGTTCAGATGTAGTTAAGATCTATATTTAATGTTGAGCTCAAAAGTAAGATTCTGGCACTGTGGATCTGTGTGCACTCAACTGTGATTTTTAAAAATAGTTCAAATTTATGTAAGTAAATGATTTAATCAAATGGCCTTTTTGACATTTACTCTTATTTTCCTCCTCTTTTATTTCATGGTGTGTGTGTGTGTGTGTATGTATCTTTGTAAATTCACTTAAATTCTTTTAGGAATAAGGTGGACATAAAGAAACAGAAAGAAAGTAAAAAAAAATTCTTTGGGGCTGACTGTAAGCAGCCACTTCGCAATCCCGAAGGCTGGCCAGTCACATGCAGAGGTAGTCAGGCCCCAGTAGTACAACTTACACCTAAATGGAGCCTGGACATCACACATGTTCTTTGGATCGCACGATGCCTTGCCACTCCACACCCATCACAGTTGGCCAAAGCATCCCCCGTGGGGTTGTGTGAAACGTTAGTCAGAGGAGGGAATCATAGTTGTGGTCAGGGAGGAGGTGGTGGACAGTTCTGCGGTCCAAAATGGATGTACAACTTGGATTCAAAGTTAAAGAACGTCTTTGCTGCAGAACTTCTTGGGGTTTTTAAAATGTTAATGATTGCTGTGAAGATTCAAGAGGGGCCTAAACTAGGAAAGGTTTTCTGAACCTATTTGAGTGCAGACCTTCTTATTTCTTGCAGGGATAGGGTTACCAGGACCCTCACAGGACTCCGCTCACCAGCAGAACTTCCCAGGATAGACAGTGCTTTGCTGTCAAATTCAATTGTGTTTCAGGACACTCCCTCCTGCCTTCTGACCAGCAGAATCACCCCTGTCCCCTGACTCCAGAGACAGGAAGTATAGGGTCAGCCTCTGAGAGTTCTCCCCCAGTTCCTAGGCAGGTGTGTCCTGCTGGCAATGGAGTGGAGACTTCACCTCCCCTTCCCTCCTCAAAGCAGCTTTGGCCTGTCTGGGAGAAGCTAGCCTTCTTCTGTCCCTAGGGCCTAGGAACCAAGACCCTGAGTCTTCCGTAATCAGATTATCACAGCATTCCTGTTGACAAGAATCAAGTCGTTTGACATTATATCCAACTCGTTTTAAGGAGTGACGTTAAGATATCAATGTCGGCCAGGCACGGTAGCTCAGGCCTGTAATCCCAGCACTTTGGGAGGTTGAGGTGGGAGGATCACCTGAGGTCACGAGTTCAAGACCAGCCTGGCCAACATGGTGAAACCCCATCTCTACTGAAAATACAAAAATTAGGCAGGTGTGGTGGCAGGTGCCTGTAATTCCAGCTATTTGGGAGACTAAGGCAGGAGAATCTTTGAACCCGGGAGGTGGAGGTTGCAGTGAACCAAGATCACATCACTGCACCCCAGCCTGGGTGACAGACCAAGACTCCATCTCAAAAAAAAAAAAAGATGTCAGATGTCAATGTCACTATGACATCACTTTTTAAAAATACTGTTTAAAGGGTAATTGTTTTGTGTGCACTTAATGTTTAATTTTGACTGTAAGTCAAAATTATAGATTTGAAATATATTAAACAAGACGTTCAAAATACAGTACCATTGTATTCTGATGTTGTTGACATTGGGATAGCCTCTCTATACCTACACAGTCAGTTTTGTTATTAATGTCCTAGCTAAATACACACCCACACTGCTTTTGTCACTTGTATGTTTGTGTCTGTATGTAATACAGCTCACTGTCCATATATAAATTCTTTCCACAAACTTCTGACAATATAAAAAAGACAGGGCAGGTTTCTTATTTCTTAGTATTTAGAGCATGCTAGTCACAGCAGCCAGGTGCTCCAGGATTCATTATATTTTCTTTACCTCCTAGCAGATATGTGAGAATGGCGTTGGTAGGAAGAGTACAAATGATGACAAATTTCATAAACTTTCAAAGCAGAGGATAAACTTTTCAAATTTGTCCTTTAAAGGTTGGAATAGACATGAAGGATAACTCAGGAAATAAGAAAGCAAGATTCAGGGAGCTGACCTTGTATTTTTTGGCAAAGAGGTCTAAGATGAAGCAAGATATCAATCTGCAAATATTTGAAAATGTAAACATCATTGAGTGAGAACATTATTTGGCTTGGTAGGCATGGGTTTAGCCAGCATTTCTACCAAGAAATGACACAATTAACTGCTATTGAAAATTGGAAACAGCGTTAATAGAAACTAAGGAAAAAAGAGGAAGGCTTCTCACCAAAGACACAGATATTCCACTGGGGCAAGCCCTCAAGTCTGCTCAGGAAGATGCTTATTATTCATGCATTCAATACCATTCTAGGGTCTAGTGGCACAACTAGCATAACGTTCTTTAGGTTTTAAGTTGGGGGCTTTTCAGGTGGAAAAAGCGCACAGTTAATTTCAGTACTCACATATTCTACCATAGGAAAAGCAGCTTTGATAGCATCTTACCCTTGAGCTGAGATATGACCTAAAGGTTCAACTACAGTACAAGGACCTACCTTTCATGGCAAGGTGCCAATGAAACAAGAAACATTCTAGATAGCATTAAGATTGGTTTTCCATATATCACTGATCACTAGATATGGATAAACATGATAGGTATTTTTTGCTTATCATTTTTCAGAGTTATTGAGAGAGCAGCCAGCAGCTAAAATTTACATAAGTTAATTCAACCATTCATTCAAGAGACAAGTATCAGGGCTTTACTATGTATGACACAGAGTGGATTTATCAAGAAGTTAATGAAACTTCAGCTTCAGGGTTCCTCACTTGCCCAGGTCCTATCCAAATCCTTGTACTTAATAGTACAGTCCTAATTTTGCATTTGTTTTCTCTAAAGAAAGCCCCCAAATTGTGCAATCTTAAGGGTCCATAAAATCTTCATCAGCCTCCAGTGTAGACACTAAAGAAAATGCACATGAGTTCCATAGCCATCCGCCCAACACCAGGGCAGCTCCGACTGAAGCAGGATGTGAATGAAACCCAAACCCAGGCACCTGGGTCCTCAGAGCACCCTAAGAATTGCATTCCTCCCCTGCAGTGTTCCCTCTCTGCGTCACCCTCTTTTTTCTTTGATGGCCCAGCGGTGACTCTGAGGATTCGTGTTATCTGTAATCTCAGGGACATGGGCAGGCTCAGGATGTCTGAACTCTGAATGAGGGAATGAGTGGCCTACACAGCCTCTGTGACTTCTGGTCAGGCTACTACGAGAGGCCCTGCTTGGCTGGTTCTATGCGGATCCCTGCACATTAAGACTGCTCTGAATTGGAGCTGCAGGGTGGGAGAGACAGAATCAAACAGAACCTGGCTTATTCTGTTGCTAATTCTTTCCAGTGTTCCCTCTGTAGGTCCTCAGTCCTAAGGTAGTGCAGACATGACCTTCCACTCAACTGCTCCCTACTGGAAACGAATCGGGTGGCTGGCACATGCGTGTTTTGTACCAAAATGCAAAACTTTGTCCTTCTCCTGCATCTTCTGACGTGAGCATGATCACGTGACCCTGATTCATCTTTGTATAGTGGCTAAAATATCTGGAATTGTGTGCTTGTGCTTTAGAATTTTTCATCTAGAAGCACAAACTGTATTCTGGAATTAGGTTGTGTGAACTTCTGGATTCAAATTGGATAGTGGCGGCTATTGGCTTATTGATCTCTTCTCTAGTTGAGGCACAATGCCCATCAAAAGAAATGCAGACACATGAACTACTCATGGAGTTCTGACCTTTCCCTTGTGAAAACAGCACAGATGTTTCTGACTGAAATTCTCCCTGGGCATGTGACAGAATTCACTATGTGTATTCCAGCTGCATTACGATGAGTGGAGATCCCCCTACTATCATCTGAATTCATCCAGAGACGTGTTCCAGAGGCTACACCTGTCAAGTTCAACTTTCTCGCCTGGCCTTTTTATCAGAAATATCTACCCCCTCATTTTTTTCTTTCATTTCAACAGAGTAATATTTAGCAAATAAAACTTCTTAAATGGAGAATCACGGGCATAGAGGGAGAGAAACTAAGTCAGAACTTATAAATAAAGGATCCAAGAAAGAAGTTGCATTTCCTAAATGTTTATAAACCTTTATTTATAAATTATAACTTAGTTTCTCTCCCTCTCTGCCCTTAGTTCTCCTTTTAAAGGTAGGAGCAGGCTCCTTGTGTTCTTTTAGGGAAGATTTAGCACTTCTTAGATTGCTTGTCTCTGGAGCTACTACCGGGTCACACTGCTCCTTCACCTGTCTGCAAAACTGGCACCAGGAAGTTACCTGAGCCAGGTGTGTTCAGTCAGACCTGTCTCCTTCCAGGGCACTGCATCCTTGAGGGGCATAGAATAAGGCTCACCCTTGGTTCACTTTGTTCTAGATCCAGACTTCCCCGGCCTTATCCCACCATCAGCTGCACCAAAAGCCCCACTCCTGAGGTGGCTTTTATGAGATAAAGGTAAAGGACAGAAGAGAGAGAAGGTAGACAATAACCTCTGTCTGACTTGCCTCTTGTATTTGCCCATGAATAAGCAACAAACTCATCTTTGCAGACATAAAAGTTAATATTAACTCATGTAATGGCTTTCTGACAATTTTCGGTGTGGAATTATTTTTACTTGAAAGAATTAAAACAACATATTTAGAGATACATGATTTAATCCGGGGTGCAATGCTTGAATTGCTGCAGGGAAAAAAATAACGGTAGCTGTATCACTTACATATTAAAGACTGAAGAAAATGATTAGGGAGGTGTATATGCCTTCAACAAGCATTCCCACGGGCCAGTCATTGACAGCTTTATCATGCTTACAGCTCAGTCTCTGGACTCTTATGTTGGCTCTAAGACTCTGACGCATCCACCACACAAATACATTTCATAAGCAATCCTGGACTCTGAGGCAAAGTATGCAAAAAACTTCGTGGGCTGCTTTGAGTCTCTAAACAGATGAGAGGGGATTGCACAGGAAAGGATATTCCAAAGATTTGACATGTACTGATTAAATCCGAATAACTTTGCCTCTCTATTCCGTGCCTAAAGCCACATATTGGTGAGTTTTCTTATAACGAGTATGTCATTGTTATTCAGGTATATAATTGCACACACCACACACACGCGCACACACACACACACACACGCCCCAAGAAAGCACAGCCCTTTCGAGATTTCCTCGATGCAGAAGCAGAGTGAGGTTGTGCTGAGCCTTATGGGAAAGAGCCCAGAGACCTGCTTTTGTTGGCTTCTCAGGTTTGCTGGCATGTGCAGCCTGGGGTCTCGCTCTCTTTCCCCCCAAAACACTGGCTGTCTGCACTGGTGAGAAGTGTGAGGAGAGGAAATTGGGGAAATAAGACTTTCTGTAAAATGACCACAACTGTTGGTGGGAGGAAGGAGTGGAAACATGGAGAGAGGACGTTTTAGAAAAATGTGTTTTCCTTAAGCAACCAGAATCACAAAGTTCAACTAAGGCAATTTCTGTAAAACCCCCAGACTATTTATACATTTATTTAATTCAGTGAAGAAAGGTCTGTTCCGTTATTTGATGAGCGTTTCTGACATGCTGCTACCAGGAATTTGGTTAAACTCTTCTAATCTTCAGTATTTTGGGAAGACTTGCCTTGTGGCCTCTGGGCCATTCCCTGGATGGTCACTTATTATATTAACAGAGAAGGAGAAAAACTGCTAAAAAGTAAAACCCTAGAAGGTATGGGAAGAAAGAACAGCGCCCGGGGAAGCTGTGTGTGAGGTAAGTGCTTACTTACCTAATTAATCGGCTGGAAGTGTCTCTGATACTGTATTTAGTTTTCACAAAATGATGATATTTAAAAATGTATTATAGCTTTATGGGACACTTTTCTTTTGATTTTTAGGACAATTTTAAATAGGAGAGAATTTGTCACCTAAGGCTATTACTACCGATTGTTTCATATTTGTTTAAACATTCACAAGAGGACAAAAGAAGATAGGATTGGGGATAACAGTTGATTGTGCATGAGTGTGAGTGTGTGCTTGTGATCTTGAGGTTGCAAAAAATGAATTTTAAGAATCACTTGGATTTTTTTTTTTTCAAAATCCCTCTTACAGGTAAAGGGGAAAAAGATAAATCTAAACATTTGAATTAATGGTACACATTTTTGGTCTTTAGTTTTCCACAGTCAAATACTACATTCGTTGTAAGTTTTCTAACCTGTGGGTTAAAAGAAATTATGAGGTCAAGAAATGTCTATTGAACAATAAATTCTTATTTCCTTCAAGTGACTAAATGCGGAAGTACAGAGGAGACAAACGTTGGCGTTACAGGAGCAATGTGGAAATTTCACCCAGTATAACATTTATTAGCTGAGGATAGTCTAAACTCTCATGAAATTATACACAGATTAAAAAACATATTAATCATGGGTCATGAACAAAGTTCATAATATTTCCAAACTCAGGATCGTTTACATTCCTTACACCTACCACAGAAAACTTACATAACTTTTCTCAAAAGGATAGGTAACAGATTTTAAAATATTCCGGCGAGGTTTCGCCTTACGGCAATCTAAACTGATTTCCCCATTGACAAAGGAAAGTAACTGCTTCAGAATTAGCCAAAGAACTATGTAATCGCTGAAAATCAACAAACTTGCTCTGACAGACCCTTGCAAAGAGAAGTCGGAGTAATTCTTGTCCCGCAAGCTAGACCCCCGTACACCCACCGCAAACAAGACGACATCTGGATATTGTTTCACGAGCAAGAATAAAACACTTTTTTTTGTCCCATCATTAAGTAAAATCCCGTTTTCCACATGCAAACAGCACTTGTAAATTCCCCCAGATAAGCACGGGCGTCTTAAATGATTTAAATAAGCTTTAAAAGAATCACAACGCTTTCATTACCTTTAGAAGTAAAGTTTTTCAAAAATACCTCCAGCGTGCCACATGCCCCAGAGTTAACATAAGCGCCGTGTACCTCTTACCTGCAAAGACTGAAGAGTGCAGACTCCTGGCTGGATGGGAAGTTATGTCAAGTCAGAGAAATGCTCAGTCCAGACAGGTTGCCTTGGGAAAGATAGGTGTTTAGGGTTCCTCAAAATGAAGAAAACTCTCTCACTGTTCACTGTCAGTCAAAAACAAGTTGGTACAAGTTTGAGTAAGAATTACCTGGAGGAACTGAAGAGAGAAAGGAAAGAGATTGGGAGACATTGGGCAGAGGAGGGAGGGATAGGGAAGGAGGGAGGGAGGGAGGGAGGGAGGAAAGGAGAGAAAGTGAGAGACAGAGAGAGAGAGTGGGGGAGAAAGAGAAAAAGAGAGAAGGAATCTGAGAAAGGAGACCATGATGTCAGCATGTCTTAAGGTCTTAAGGAAATCTACAAACCAGCACAGGATTCTAGTGGGCATCCAGTCCGGGCTCTCCAAACACCTGTGCAAAAGAAAACTGATGCCTTTTTAAAGAATGCCAGTTAATCTTTGAAGAAACTTTGGCCATTCTTATCAAAGCATTTTAAGGTCCCTTTGGCTAAGTAAACTATAAATAAATAACCAGATTACCTTTTCTAACAATCTCTCCTTTATCCCATGTTTTCTTTTTCTCTTTCCTCTCTCCTCCCCAAATGAATATTAACAAAATCTCTTGCCTCCTGGTGGAATCAGAATGAATCCATACAGACTATACCTATGTCAAACATACCTAAGCAAAATGCCACAGAGGAAAACTCATGTTTTTAGCTCAACCCCTTTATTGAGCTGATTTTTTTCTATTGCCCTGCTTTCCCTGATAAATATTATATATATATATATATATAAGCTGAATAGACATGGGCAAAATTTGGTTCTTCTGGATCATGGAAATTGGGCTTCGGGATACATGTTGGAATCTGAGTTCCAGCATTCTTGCATAGTCTGGCATCTTTATGAGAAATGGTCAGAATTCCATCCTTGAAGAAGGCTTCTAATGGAAGATCTCTGGAAGCAGAGGCAGTAAGCTTCTTTCGGGAATGGGGTTATATGTCCATCCTATGCAAAGTGACTCTTGCAGCCACCACATCAAGGGAGGCCCGTCCAAGGCTCATGTGCTCTCCTGGCCTTCTCACGGCCAGACTGCATGGGGATCGTGGTCAATCCTAAGAGATGGAATGGGTTTTTCAAAAGCACTTCCCCTAGAGAGAGCCCTCTACACTGGTCCAAAGGCAATGCCAAGAGACGCAAACGGTCTGTTTCCCATGGGAGACGATGATATACCCACACGTCCCCTGCCCAGGCATGTCGGTGGGGCCAGACCACGGCATCTGGTTTGACATAGAGCAGACAGGGTGAGGAACACTTTGCTTCTGTTGGAAATGAATGATACTTCCTCTCCCCAGAGTACTGGGCTCTGCAATTCACCCCAAGTGCAGCTGCTGCTGTTCTGGGTGCTTGAACTAAGTGGGAGCTGGAAGGGATGGGGTGTCATTCTGTCTTTAGGAAGGAAGGGCTGAGACTTCCTTATTTTCTCCCCCCTCTCCCTGCTGACTCAAAGCTCAGGGCATAAATCATTCCATTTCTGTTTTCCCAGTGGAGATGGTATGCCTCAGTCTCCTTCTCTTTTGCTCTTTCTTTCCCTGGAAGCAAGGGACTCCTTTTCAGCCTGGGAGTATAAATGGTGGCCCTGGAAAGAAGACACTGGGCTCCCAGGGGTTCAGGGCAGGAGGATGAAGAAGCTACACGAGATTTGGACTTCTTAGAGCTGGTACTCCCGGAGTCTAGAATCAGATAGACCTCCCGCGAGGATATGCTAAAAGTCCCATAGAAAACAGGTAAGCACAGAGGTGCAGAACGATGAAAGAGGGAAAACTGAGAATTAAAGGATCTGAGTATATACCAGCTGCTCAGGTGGGATGATTTGCAGGGGCTGTTTCCTCGGCCTGGAATGGTCCCCTCTGGCCTTCATTCACTGAGCTGACTCATTGTTCAGGTCCTAGCCTGAATGGCACCTCCTCTGGGAGGTCCTTATCTGATCTGGTCCTGATCCAAGTCCGTGCCCCAAGACTCCTTTTGTTGTGTATCTCACTTATCACTGTCTGAAGTTGCCCTCAAGCTTTTCCATTTACCATCTGTGTTCCAGTCTAGAGCTCAATGGTACCTGTCTTATTCACCAAACATCTTTCCAGCAATATCTGGCACATCATAGTCCCTCAAAAAATATGCATATTTGTCAAGTGGGTTGACAAAAGATTACATATGGAAGACATGATTTGTTACCGTGGAACTTTAATTATCTCCTTATATTTAATCTGTATTTCCAGCCTAAGCTTTACTTAATAAACTAACATTTGAACACCTTTTTTTCAATTTGTAAAACACTGCCAGAAATGTTGTTAAGTCCATGCTCAGATCAAAATGTAGGCATGATTAGTTGTATTTTAAGGGCAAGGAGATGGAAGCCAAAGAAGATAAGTGATTTGTGCAAAGTCACACAGCTACAGAGCGATGAATTGAAGCTCAAAACAGCTCTTTTCACTTTCAATCCATGCATTTTTCATTATCGTACATTTTTCTTAAATTCTTATATTTTGAGCATACATATGCATATGTAGCTTCTTCTCAGCATCGAGTTACATACTGCATGAATTTTAACCACAGTTTAATACTCTGGGAAGTTTTAGTTCTTGCAGGACCATACACAGTGGAGCAGATACTCATTTATAACAATTTTAAAGATGATGGAAGGAAAAAATGAGTCCAGAGTAGTAGAAATACATTTTAAAGTTTAAATGCTAAGACAATGTTCTTCATTTTGGTGATGTTTACCTGTTTTTGTTACTTTTCATTTGGTGATATGTCAACAATTAGATTTTGAGGCTGCAGATCTGACAGTTTACCAAAGGAGATGAGACATTATAAATGTATGACTGCAGGGTTGAGAGGTGAGTGGGGAAATTCTAAAATGCGCGTCTATGTGACTTCTGTCATAGAGGCCAGGCTTTGTTAAGCATGCTTTAACAACTGAATGATCTAAGTATTTCTGGAAATTTCTGAAACTAACTAAGGGAAATAGGACAAACTGTTAATCCTGACAAAATAATATTTTCTGCCATGCAATCTCTCTCTCATCCAATGAGTAAAATTTGTTTCACAATTCTGGTTCTAAGGAGTAAAGTGGGAAATCTAGTGTATAAGATTACATGAAATAACATAGCTAATCATTTCATAATTGAACATGGTTAATTTTACTGACCTTTTAGCCGAAGATAAAAACAAATATAAATGACTATTCAGTAAGTTGTGTTTACTTCTTTCTGCTCCCCAACCCCCACCTCCACAGTTAACGGAAAGACTCTTAGTTGTGTCAAATTTGCATAGAAAATACATAGAAGTCTGGATTTTTCTATGAAGATCTGAAATGACATCTGAATACTGGGCAGAAGAGTTCACAAGAACCAAATTTTTCAAGAGAACTGTTTCCCAAGAATAATTTCCAAAAAAGAAAAAAAAATGCTATAATGTTTCCAATCCTCATCTTGGCTTGAATCAAGACATAAAAAACCTTAAAGTGTGATGAGAGGGAAAAAATATTTTTACCTTGGAATAAATTCTATTTAAGTTGGGTTAGATATGGAGCTATTTATGGAAGCTTACAACAGTTCTTAAAACTTCCTCAGAATCTTCCATGAATCTAGCAGCTTAAAGAGCCCTCCACAGGTGCATCATGATATGGCCAGCTGTCTCCAGTTTGTTCTCACCATCCTTATCCTAGAGGCATTGAAAATGATTCCTTGGAATATAGGTGAGTCTTGGAGCATAATGTGTACCCATTTCCAGACCTCACAGGCCAGAGGTGAGGACCTACTTGCCTTTGGGTCTTTCTAGCAAGAAGCTTGTCCTGGGAAGCCACAAAATTAAAATCTTGTCTGGAGGTAGATTATATGGAAATAGACGTTGAGACAAAAATGCGCAGGCAATTTATTAAAGTAGTACTCCCAGGAGGAACCCAAAGTGGTGTGGGGAAAGCAAGTCAGGAAGGGAAGAAGCCAGGGTACAATTTTAGGACAAGGACAAGACCCAGTCCCTGCCTAATCCTGGGGAGGGAGTTCTGGAGTGAAAATAGCATCCTAGGTAAGAGAGCTGGGCTTTCATGATGCTGCCCATCAGTCTTTGACTGAGAGTAGAAAGGGTGATGGGAGCATGCAATTTCCCAAGGGCTCTGGCTTCCTGCATCTGCAATGGAAATGGAAGTGGCTCCCATAGCCCAAGGGCAATCTTATGAAGATGGTGGTAGGGGCAGCAGGCTGTTAAAATTAATACACACAGAGAAGCACAGGAATGGGCTCTCAGAAGCAGTGCAGAACATTCACAGGGCTTGGGGAAGACTCCCAGCAGCACTGGCTATGATGGTTAATCCTGTGAGTGATAGAATGCTTTGCAATCCATGGTGCAGGTGCTATTACTACCCCTAATCATTGCTCCTCAATCCCTCAATATTCCCATCCTCCTCCACTTTGTCAGTTTCCCAATTAAAATAAAATCGTGAATTTCAGCACTAAAATGTGGAATTCCATTTAAGATGCACGAGATTTTATTATGCATATAGTCTTTTCCTCAAAATGCCAGGAGAATCCTAGCAGGGCTTTCTTGTTACTAATAGAAACCTTTGTTATTGGTATCATGTCAATTTAGTTTGATTAGTAACTAAATCAGATGTCTTCTTTTTGCTGAGTTCCAAAGACCCTCCAGTTCCTAAACTGGAGTAAATTATAGTTCAGCAGAAAGATGGACAAATAGCTAACCATGATATTGTGTGATAAGTGTTATAGGACCATAATATTCTAGAAGCCCACAGGAAGGGGAATTTACTCTACCTGGGAGTTTGAAGGTAGCCTTCCAGAGGTGGGAACAATTGAGTGCAGCCCACAAGATTTCCATAGGTGGAGACAAAGTAGGGTTGTTGACATTCCAGGAAAAATGAAGAGCAAATAATTAAAGATTATTTAAGTAAAGATTAAAAGAGCCAAGTGATCTGATCTCTGGGACAGTTTAGCAATGTAACTCTAGCCTTAGCCTCATGGAGTTTAGACAGCAAGAAATCACAAGAAAAATGGCTTTGGTTATAGAATCGCCTGTCTCCCCTTGTCCTTTAGCTTTCCCTTGGGAGAAGTAAATGGAGCTGAAAGCAACCTCTAGCCTCCCACTGGAGGCTTCCCCATCTTCCCACCACCCACCATCCTCAACACAAAGCGTTCCTCCTCAGGAAGACATGGAAGCTATTTTATCCACATTCTTCTTAAATGAGATGGTTCAAAAATTATCCAAAAATGCAAAACTTACTTAATAAAAATGTTACCTCCAAGTCATTCCTTTGTAAGGTGACCAATAATCCTGATTTTCCACTGACTGCCCTGGTTTTTAACACTTAAAGTCCCACATCCTAAGAAATCCCCTACTCGCTGGCAAATTGCGATGATGGGTCACGCTATTCCTCTGTGTGTCCTCAGCTCTTTTGAAGTCAGCTGTTAAATGCAATAAAAAATAATTGGAAAATGAAAGCATTAATACAGGCCTGATATCCTAATTTGTTAGCACTGAGTGCACATTTGCCACGGCATCTGTAAAATCTAACTTTGTCAGGTGGGAATGTATATACTTAAAAGTTGGGTGCATGAAGTGCCCGCCTCTCTCTATAGGGGCTCCGTATGGAAGTGTCCTTTAAACTTCTACTGGAGTTAGTTGGTGATTCTAGGTCCCTATCAGCAGCATGGCTTCAGAATTGAGAAACTGTGAAACAACCACTGACATGAACCCAACGGTGATCCGGTTTCCTCTTGCCTTATTCAAATTGAACTTTATTCCTTTATTGTTGGTGCAACCTTACACCACATGTTAAATACACACCGTTTGTTCCTGGTTCACCTCAGACAGGCTTTTACCAAGTGAACTATTTTGTGGCAATTCCCGTCAAAGAAGGGATATGATAATGACTGTTTTCCACTGTTGACAGTGTGGGCTGGCAAATAGAAAAGCAATATCTGCTAAGTACAGTTACCTTCTCCAGCCCACTGCAACCAGAGTAATCCCGCCTTGCTTTGAAAGCCTCGCCGGATCATTCATCAATGTGTGGCATGCTGGCTTGTATTACCCCCCACCTCTTCTATTGTTGTCTTATTGTGGTTTAACTCTGAATCAACTGTACAGGGAGGCTCCTAGGCCAGACTGTGAGGTATGTGTGCCGTGGACCCTATCTCTACCAGATGGCCAGACACGTCTTACCTACAACAGACTGACTTTGAACCCAACACTCCAAGACCCACTTTACAATATTTGAAATAGAATATTACAGAAAATGCGATTATCACCCTGAATAATTTCAAAGATCAACTGGAGAAGACAAAAGTAGTGATTCATTCTACATTTCCTTCCATTTTCATATTTTAGCAATTGGTCAATTGGTGCTTGACTGATGATCAATCACACATTTCAGCTTTAAAAACAAATCACCAAGCCAATGGGATATCTGTCTTTCAAGTTGGCAATATCAATGGACAGGCCAGGTGTTTGATTCTACCTGCTGTATTCCGGCACGTCCTTCATCACCAAGTTCCATCAAACTGTCTGAAGCATGTGAACCTCCAGATCTCTTCTGTACTGATATTTCTTGCTATGACATTTCAATTCCTGAGCATAGATCAGGCCCCTTTCACCCTTTTCCAAGTTTAGTTCTTGGCCTCTGGAAGAGCTAGCTGGGTACACACTGCATGTTTTATGGCCCTTTATTTGCTCCAGCATGTAGTGATATTATTAGGCTATAACGTCCTCATTTGTAACATACTGAACCACCTCCCTATCAATCCATACAGTTTATCCCTCTAATATCCACAGAGAAGAATGTCATTCAAACCCTGATTCTGCACTAATACCCCTCCTTCTACCTGGCATCAATGCAAGAGGGCCTAGGAGAAGTCCCAGGTCTCATCTTGGGTATTTATTATTAGCAGAACTGGGTAAACAACTAGGTTTTTCACTTTGGGAGCTTTCCCATTGCAAAATTGTGCCCTTTTGCCAAATATTCTAGTTATTGTGGAAAAACTGAGCAATGCGAATTGGCTAAGTTACGTAAAGTGAAAGATCTCAGCCCAGTTGTCATAAAAATCTAAGGGACTTCACACTGAAGGACTAGCAGGAGTATAGAAAGAGGGTGTTGTGAACTCAAACTCTTGACTATTCCTTATCAGCCCTAGCAATGCACAGGGGCTAATTCAGCAAACATTTCCTAGAGAAGCCACAACAAATACATTAAGCTAAAAATGAATTCAAAGAGAAAGCTGTCCAAGATCATCTTATTCTATCATTGCACTTCAGCTTATCAAATGTGCACGTAGAGATGATGGAGACTCCAGCTGAAAAAGAGATGATAAAGAATGCCTAATAATAGGGTACTGGTTTTTCTTATTTTTCTTCTCCTTGACTGTCTGACCTGAAGAATAAAAGCTAGAGAATTATGACTGAGCCAAAGTCAGGCTTCTGAAATTAAAGTCAAACATACAGTCTTTAGTTTCCTTGGTGTTTGACCACACCTATACAGACTAGACATGCAGTGACTGTGTTTTCTTTACTTCTTCATTAAGAAAAATTCCTGGAGTTGTTTCACCTCCATGCATTTATTCCTGATCACATGCTGGAGAATATTTCCTATCTGTCATCCATTCTGTTCCACTGGCTTTGGTTTGCCATTGTGGTCACCCTAACTCAGAGTGATAGTTGAGTTATGACTGAAAACTCACCTCTGCTTACTTCCCTTCTGAAATCTGTGTGTACTTAGTAGGCAGCAGTAATTCTAAAGGTGCAGCCTTACCATTTATCAATCAGTAAATAACATATATCACCTAGTACGCACATCAGAAAAAGTACTTGGGTTATCAATTTAAACAATCATTGCAATCTCTTGGGCAAAAGTCATTATGTTTTGTTTTTCAAATTGCTCAGTGGTATGTCTTATCTTGCCAGTCAAATCTCATTTTACAGTGTGGACACCAACAGCAAAATTGAACCGAAGCTGTAATTCTTGCCTTGGGACACTAAATGGTTATATTCTTTCTTTCTGGCAAGGAGTAAAGTCCATTGGGGGTGCAAGGGAGAAATGTAGGTTTGGTCTTAGCTATAGATTCAAATTCTAGAGCTGCTACTTACTAACTCAATGATCTGAGGCAAGCGGATTGACTTATCTGAGATGGTTTTGCACTAGTGAACTGAGAAAAACAGTTTACCTCCCAGGGTCCTTATGCAGTTTGGAGAAGGGAAGGCATGGGAATTGTCCTGCACCACGTGTGTTCTGTCAGAAGACATCAGGGAATGCAGCTCCATGGTGAGGGGCAAAGGTGGCCAGCATCAAGGTCCTCTTCCTGCTGGTTGCACTCAGACAGGGAGCTCCCTCTGTTTTGCCTGAAAACTCACCTCTAGGAACAATCATGTGCAAAGCCATCTTATAATACAGGAGTTCTCATCTCCTCTCATGTTTGAATTGTGGGACACAGAAGCCGTGCACTCCAGTTCCTTCAAGATCTGCTGTTTTCACTAGAATGTATGCAGAGATCCTGAGCTGCCTTAAAATATCTTAAACAATTTGCATGCCCTCAAAGTGCTGCTGCACCTCCCAGGGAGAGCAATGTAGGTACTAGGCTTTTCTGAGTCTTATTCTAGTTCTTTTATTGTCCAACCACTTGAATAGTTAAATAGTTTAGATTACTTGAATAAATATAATTTAATTAGCTTGTTCCTAGGAAACCAAGCTTTATCATGCCAGTTTTCCTGAAGTGCCTTGCATTGTACTGATAAGCTATAAAGTTTGTGCCACTTAGTTAACTTTCTAACTTTCTTGGCTTTTATAGGATGTGTGTATTCCCAGCAATCAAGTGTGAGAATCTATCTCTTATCTTGGTTACAGAACTTAACGAAATATTTGTCGCTGCTCAGTTACCCCTTCTGTTCTTCATTTGTTGATGAAGTGCTTATACCACCTGACACTGAATCAAGTACCAGATATAATTTCTGTGCTGCTGTGTGAAGGCGCAAAGATATGTCTGCTATTTGCTGTTCCTTGTGATGTGGTGTGCTCTTACTAGCAATAAGTTTACAGTGAAAATGTTTACTTGAATTGTAGAAATGCACCTGGATGGAGTGAACATAGCCCAAGTTTGGAAGCAATAACACTTGTCAGTTCACTGAGTCCTAGAGATGGAATTTTAGTTTAGTTAACAGGAAGCCCACGCCAGCAAGGTGCTTTCTAGTGTTTGTTTGGTGTTGGATTTCTTCCTCAGATTGCAGTGAGTGGGGTGAGATTGGGAGGCACAGGTGATGGGAAGCTTCTTTCATAGTTGCACACTGGACCATGTGAATGTTTATGGGGAACATATGAGAACATGTAACCTAGGCACAAGCTGAAATAAAAATGACAATACTGATGCCAATCTTTCATCATAAGGCTAACCTTACATGTGGCCATGAAGAACATATGGGCATACAGAGTAACAGAGGATTCTATTAACTTCAGCATTTTATTCAATCAATCCATCCATCTACCTACATATCCATTCATCCATTTATCTACCTATGCATGCATGCATCTTTCCATCCATCCATCCATCCATCCATCCATCCATCCATCCATCCATCCACCTATGCATCTATCCAACCATCCATTTATCCATCTATCCATCCGTTTATCCATACATCCATTCATCCATACATCCATCCACCTATGCATCTATCCAACCATCCATTTATCCATCTATCCATCCGTTTATCCATACATCCATTCATCCATCCATCCATCCATCCATCCATCCACCTATGCATCTATCCATCCATCCATTTACCCATCGATCCATCCATCCACCTATGCATCTATCCATCTATCCATTTAGCCATACATCCATTTATCCATCCATCCATCCATCCATCCATCAATCCATTTATCCATCCATCCATCTACCTATGCATCCATCCATCCATCTGTCCATCCATCCATATACCTATACATCCATGCATCCATCCATCCATCCATCCATGCATCCATCCATCCATCCATCCATCCATGCATCCATCCATCCATCCATCCATCCATCCATCCATCCATCCATTCACCCATCCATCCATCCATCCACTTATGCATCCATCCATCTACCTATGCATCCATCCATCCATCCATCCTTCATTTTTTAGTTTTATTAAATGACTTTTCCTCTCTCTTAAAATTCAAGCTCAGTGTAACTTCTAACTTTGAAAGTTTCCTGTCAGAAGGGCTAAGTTCAAGTGTGGTTCTCAATATGCATTTATTCTATTATGAACAGTAAATCCCTGATGTTAAATTTGCAGAGTGAGATTGGTATTACCAGTCTGATAGATAAGCAGGTAAATAACAGCTCCCTTTAACCCACACACACACTCCTCATACCAGCCAGGTGCAAGTATTGTGGTAATAATGCAGACTAATGTAAAACATAATTTACCATCTAAAGATTATGTTGAAATTCTGCTTCCTTTGTAATATGTTCCTCTTTTTTAAAAATTAAAATCAAGCATTGGAGAGATTCAGACTTTGTCTGTGTTTTTAACACTAATCTTAACTAGCATTTTTAAAATGTTACCTCCAGGTCACTGTAACTCATCTCTTGAAGACCCCAAGCAGATAGTAGGGAATATAGAAATATTTGCATCCTTCACATTAGCTGCAACGAACTCAAAGCAAATCAAAAGCAGCCTCAGAATTCTTTTGGCCTGCATTCCACAGAAAGATTCTTCCAAAAGTTAATCTTCATCATATAGGCCAACAGTAACCAATACTCCTGGATCTGATTGAAATTGGCAACACGCAAAAAACTCTAGTGAGCTTAGAGCTTTAAGAAAAATCAAGACTTCTTCAGTGGGCATTATTCTTATTCCTAAGCCATTATCCAAAACAGCAAAGAAACCAGACCCTAGCCTAGATACATGATTCGTTTTAGCTCTGATGATAACAGCTGCTATTTGTTGAAGGTTTGCTGTGGATCAGGAATTAGATTTAAATGCCTTATGTCTACCGTGTCATTTAATTATTAATTTATTCTTATAGCATATTGACTATCATATCAACAAATCAGAGTATGTAAGACAGGTATTATTCTTCTTACTTTATAAATGATAAAACTAAGTCTTGAATTAAGTCACTTGCCCAAGGTCAAATAGTTGGTGAACTGAGAAGCAGAAATTCAAATCTTGATCTCACTTCACAGGCCTCACCTTGAATCACTGTACTGGACAGCCACCTCTGAATTCAGTCTTTGTGGGTGGTCTCAGGGTTAACTGGGCTGAACTAATGGTTCACACCACAAAAAAGGCAAAAATGGCCAAAAATGAACATGTGTCAGGCAAAGTTCTGTTTGATTTCCAGCTGTAAACACCTTTCATTCTCTTTCTCCTTCCTTCCTTTCTCTTTCTCTCTCTTTCTTTCTTTCCTTTCCTTCTTTCTTTCTTCCCTTTCCTTCTTTCTTTCTTCTTTCCTTTCTCTGTCTCTCTTTCCCTTCCCTTCCTTCCTCTCTCCTTCCTTCCCTCCTTTCTTTCTTTCTCTCTCTCTCTTTCTTTCTTTCTTTTCTTTCTTTGTTATTATAAATGGAATTACTTATAAGGATCTCGTATCCTGGTTTCAGATACAGTCTTATGAAGAGGTTCCCAGCTGAAGAGATTGGAAGGCAGATGGTAGCCCTCCTTTTTTCTTTCCAGTAGTATTTTTAGTGTCATGATGTAATGAAGTAAAGCAGTGGCCTCAACCCTGACCACATATTAGAATCACCCAGAAAGAATCACTCATTTTTTTTTTTAATGTCCAAGAGATTCTGATTTCATTGGTCTGGGGTGGGGCCTGGACATCAATGTTGTTTGTAAGATCCTGAGATGACTGGAATGAAGCCAGGCTGAGAATCAGGCATATGGCCACACAGAGAGGACTTTGGGAATAGAACCAGGATGCGGTAAACTCCGACGTAGAATCCAGGTCTCCAGCCCCGCCTTGCCTTCCCCTGAGCCTCTCTCTCTGACTTCCTTCTGTTTGTAGACCCTGTGATGACGGCGCCTGTAGAAACCTTCTGTGGTCATGGAGGTGTCTGTGCCATTTCCTGCACATCATGAATGAGTCACTAGCCCCTAAAGAGCATCTTAGACCGACAATACCCATGTGTTAACTAGCTCAGGATGTGTCCAATTCCTTTAGCTGATCCTTTGGTCAGCTCCAAGGCCACAATCTGGTTCGTTGATTACATCTTATTAGAAAGAAAAGAGATTCAGAGTACCTGCTGGTAGTCATTCATTCTGCAGATAATACTGTAAAAATTACAAGACTAACTACCAGCATCTCATTAGCAGCAGTTCTCCCCTCCCAGGGCTTGGGAGGAGACAAGGTTTTCCAGGGGTGAAAAGATGTTCCCCTCCCCAACTTACTTGAGTCCTTGAATCCTAGGGTGTGCAGGGACTAAGATGGAACCAGAGATAATGATGTTTTTGGCATGGTTAGGACTTGCTCAGTTCTGCCGGAGGAGGCAGTTGGAGACTGGAGGTACTCTTAGTGTCCTCTCCTGTCAGGCACTTCAATAGCTCTCCCAGAGATAAACCCACTCCAGATCAGATAAGGGCACTGCCTGGATGAAATAGAAAGCACTCCCAGGAGATGCGGAAGTTAGTTTGGTAACAGCCAGGTGAGGAAAGACAATAGATCTATATTCTGATCTTAAGGTCCAATTCAGGTCAGGTTTCTGCACCAAGCCTGGGATGTGTCGTGGTCCCTGCTTCCCTGGTATTTTTAGAGCTTGAACTAAGACACCAAAGTCCACCTCTTGGTCCTAAGTTGTATACAGACCTGGGAGAGAGAGAAGGAGGTACAATCTGGCTTACGTTACACAAAACACATCAAATCTGGTACAATTCTTTCTTTCCCTCTTCTAGACTTTGGTGGGTTCGAAACCAGTTTAACCACAAAAAGCAGTCACTAGCGGCTTTGTCTCAGGTTCAGTTTGTATAAACAAGATAGTCACAAAGACAAAAAAAAAATTAATAGGAGAAATAAAAAGACGGTTACATTTCTTAAGTGGGTCAAGCCTTATATAATCTAAAAATGAAATAAAGACCCAAGCTTGAGGGTCACTTAGCAAATCTTTATTCATATAACAAATGGCCAACAATAGAAATGAAACTTAAATGATCTCATGTAACTTACTCAGAAACACAGTGGAAACAAAGAGTTCGTTTTTAGAAAATGGTTATTTTATGACAATAACCGTCTAGTGCTGGGCCAGCAAACTATAGCTCCCAGGTCAAATGCAGCCTGTCATTTGTTTTTTGCAAATAAAGTTTCATTTCAAGACAGCCATGCCCATTTGTTCACAAATTGTTTATGGCTGTTTTCAGGCTAAAATGGCAGAGTTGCAGAGTTGTGATAAAGAAATATAGGCTGGGCATGGTGGCTCACGCCTATAATCCCAGCACTTTGGAAGGCCGAGGCGGGCAGATCACCTGAGGTCAGGAGCTCGAGACCAGCCTGGCCAACATGACAAAACCCCGTCTTTACTAAAAATACAAAAATTAGCAGGGCATGGTGGCAGGCTCCTGTAATCCCAGCTACTTGGGAGGCTGAGGCAGGAGAATAGCTTGAACCTGGGAGGTGGGGGTTGCAGTGAGCCGAGATCACGCCACTGCATTCCAGCCTGGGTGATACTCCATCTCAAAAAGTATGGCCGCGAAACTCAAAATATTTACTGCCTGGACTTCTTTCAGAAAAAGTTTGCCAACCCTCGATCTAGCAGATCAAATACTATAAAATACACCTTTTGAAACAGGCTTTCTGGGGAAAAAACAAAACAGGTTATTTCCAACAAATGATTATTGAGCACCTGAGTGTAAGTGTTGTCCTGTGAATTTCAGGAAATAAACAGATGCATCTTTAATAATCCTGCCCTTAAGAAAATTACAGCCCAGCAGGAAAAAAAAAATCAGAAAAGAAGATAAACAATTTTAAAGTGTCAAAGCTCAAAAAGCCACACAAAATCTTAACTTTCTAAAAACGTGGCCCAAATCTCAGTAATTATAATGATAAGAAGATTAAAAGCAAGAGAAGTTCAATAACTGAGCTGAAGTCACACAGCCAGGTAGAGAGGCAGGGCTTGAATCCCTATCTTTGTTTCTTCCTTGCATACTACACCATTTGATTTAATCATTTTATTTGTTCAACATTTACCAGGTTTTAATTTAGCATCTACAGTGGGCCCGGCACCCTTCCATAGGATATGGAGACTGCAGTAAACAAAACAGACTTCCTACCCAGACGAGCTTACTGTCTCTTTCCCTTAAGCTTATAAGTGAGCATACAAATAGTTTGTGTAATGAAGATGTGGGCTGGGGGAACACAGAGCAGGTGGCAGGAGGGGAAGGTGTCCCTGATGAGGCTGCTGTTAGATAGAGCCTCCTGGGGATGGAGGAGTCAGCCAAGAAGTTGCACAGAAAGAGCTTTAGCAGGGAAGGCCTCCAGAAGAGAGATGCTGGGCGTGTGTCAGGAGAGGCACGAGGGCAAGGGCTTAGGGAAAGACGTCCTATCGATCTTCATAGGCCATCTGAAGAACTTGAAATGGAGCTACTTGGGGAATTTAAAATGGTTCCAATGTTGGATAAAGCCCCACCTCTTTAAACTCTTTGCCTCTGAGTGCTGGTTTGGTTGGGTCTCAAAGAGTATGTGTGTGAGTGTGTGGCAGGCACCATGGGGTCGGAGTTTCCACATATAGCCCCGTGTGCAATCTTGGTTCACAGTAACCCCAGCTCACTATCACTGGGGCAGAACCTGCATCAGAGAAGCAGCAGTGGAAACAGCGTGCATTTAGGATCAACTTCAAGTTGATTTGGGAAGTGCATAACTACCATATTGCTGGTTCCCTGGTTACATTTTCTGTTTGGGTAAACAATCAAGAGATGGTATGAAAATTGCACATCCAAGTCTTGCCTGCACAAAACAAAATGACCAATTATCACAACGTGGATTAGAGGTGACTAGAGCCCAGAAGTGTGGCCGTGGGCTCCAGGATCATCAGCCTGTTAAGAATAATCCTCTCTGGACAGTGGAAAGCCGCTTTTCAAACACCGACTCTGGGACCATGTGGACAGAGGGCAAAAAGGGAGCAAGGGAGAAAGCCATTTTTTTTTTTTTTTTTTTTTTAGATGGAGTCTTGCTCTGTCACCCAGGCTGAAGGGCAGTGGCATAATCTTGGCTCACTGCAACTTCCACCTCCCTGGTTCAAGCGATTCTCCTGCCTCAGTCTTCCAAGTAGCTGGGATTACAGGTGCCCATCACAATGTCCAGCTAATTTTTTTTGTATTTTAGTAGAGACGGGGTTTCACCATGTTGCCCAGACTGGTCTCAAACTCCTGAGCTCAAGCAATCCGCCCTCCTTGGCCTCCCAAAGTGCTATGATTACAGGCATGAGCCTCCATGCCCAGCCGTGAGCAAGTCATTCTTAAACAATTTAGACTAAAATGTGAGATAATTCATGAAGGGTGGAAATCCCAGATTGCTTCGATAGTATATTTTGCCCAGATTTATTTAGGTAGTTGCCTCAGCATTTCACACTGTAACAAATTCACTGTTGGTAGCAGAGGACCTGGATCTAAGAGGCCAAGTTCATTTGCACGAGATGAAAATTCCACCGTGCTGTCCCAGGCCTCTGCCATTCGCCGGCAGACTGGGAGTGTCCAGCAGGCCCCGTCACAGAGACTGTGGGCTCACCCTGCCCACTTGTGTTTTGAACTCTAATATCCCAACCTTTGCTGAGAAATCTAGAACAAAATCAATACTCCACTGCAGAGGGAGGGTGGCTTGGATGTTTTGCACTTGGAGAAACTGCAAACCTGAAAATTATCAGGAAGAAAAAGAAAAATCTTACCAAAGCGCAAACCAGACACTTGGCACCCACCCTGTGTGACACAGGGCTCCCCGCCTGGCAGGAAAACCACAGTAAAGAACTGATTATGCTGTTAGAACGCATTCCATGGGCTGTCCAGGGCTATTTTTATTTTACAATAAAGTACAATATGTTCCATGATGTTCTCTATCCTGGGCATTCTTCCTTGTATTTGCATACTCATTAATCCTGGTAAATCACAGAGAATCTGTCAATAATTTGAACAAATTAACCAGATTTGGGTGTGTTTATTAACTTCAAGAGCAATATTAATACACATGTATCATTTTTATTATAAGCAGAACACCAGTGGCTGGTACCACCTGTTGAGTATGAA
The DNA here is from genome assembly GCF_000001405.40 of Homo sapiens. NCBI lineage: Eukaryota > Metazoa > Chordata > Mammalia > Primates > Hominidae > Homo > Homo sapiens. The sequence goes on along the minus strand of NC_000021.9, from coordinate 38,240,888 downwards.
AGCCCTGAATGCGAGATGTGCATTTCAAGAAACTGAGCTCCAGGAAGACAGACTAAATGCCAAGGTTTTACAGACTAAATGCCAAAGTATGATGCTCATCAGCAAAAGGAACCATATTTTTAAATCTTTTTGTTTTTTAAAGAGAGATCAATTTTGAAAATAATGTTTGGTCAAGTGTTATTTGGTCAAAAAATGTACTAAATCCATGTAATAGAGCATTCCAGGAACTTTACCCATAAGAAAATAAATGTTCCTGTTTTAACTTAGACTCCATAAAAATTAAAACTGTTTTGGAAGAAGGAATGGCTTCCCTGTAACATAATGGATATTCAACAACTCAGATGCATTTTGAGAACAACTTTCCATCCACCTCTGAAAGGAAAACAGACAACTGGTGTAAAATTACTCCTAAAGCCCAGACCATGTATTAATACTTGAACTGAAGAAAAACTTCCTTGCTAATGCTTAACTTGTTATCTTAACCACTTTTGCTTTTTCAGAACTTCCTAGCTACTTTTTAACCATTTCCAATCAGGAAAACTGGCCAGAGTGGCTTCAAATATAATCATTAGGCCTCTAAGGAAGGTCTAGACTTGATGAACTTTGCAAATTCCTCCTTGTTTTTATTCTTTGCAGACTTAGAAAAGTCTAGAGGTCAAGATGGGGTTAGCCACCTGCAATGCTACGATGGGAGTCTATATTTCTTGATGGCCATTAAAAAAATAACAGGAAAGCAGCAATCACTGTAATAAAATGTGCTGGTACTTGGAGAAATAAAGGTAGAAAGAGGTAGAAAGAACCCATAAATTTAAGTACAACTATCAAACTATTCATGGAGAAAAAATAGGGCATACACTCCAAAACTAGAGGCTAAGAGGCTGCAATAAAAACAAAGCTCATATATGCAAATTTACACCTTGTAAGAAAACGTAAATAAACCACAATTCTTGTTCTAATGTTTTAACGTCAACTTTGCTGACAAGATCAGGAAACTTGAGCCAAACATCTGCATCAAATGATAAATTCATGGCAAAAATGTCCTGTTTCCACTGTAGGGCAGTCACGGCAAAGCAGACATAAAATAAATGTTTTCTACTTTACTTAAAGTTGGGATATGGGCCCAAGCTGACTTCTCCACACTAGGAGTGGTGGCACTTGTATTTTGTTTGTAACTCAATTTTTTACTTTAAGATAAGGTTGGCAGACCTACGATTTCTCGTATCTTTGGTTTGCTCACTGGCCTGCAAAGATCTTGTGCATCTATGCCATACCTTGTTCTCTGTATATTATTTCTAATTAGTTTTCCTAGGGTACCAAAAATGTGGTTGAAATTAAGTACCTTTTCGGCCTTGCCAGCTGCAATGGAATTTTTTTTTGAAGCTCATCAAGAGAATAAAGGGGAGAAAGTGAAAAAATAAAAATAAATCAGGACCCCAGAAGAGGCTTCGCAGAACGCATGTGCTCAGATTCTCTGCCAAGGGAGTCCTCTAGACTGCTAGTTTTTGGGGAGGTGGGGTCCCTGAGCCGAGAGCCATAACTAGCTATTGAATTGAACATATTTTATGGCTTCGTGGCTTTGTGACCTTGTCGTGGTCAAACAGCAACCTGTGGGAACTGAGCAGTGGTCACAAACATCAAAGTTGTAAAATAAATGTCAAATCAAAGAGATTTCTGGTTGAATCCTTAGAGGTAAGTGTCAACATGCCTTTAGGGACACCTGCCTCACTGAAATATTAAACACAAAAGCAGCTAGTTCTGAATGCTTCTCCATCAGCACCATAAACATAGATCTTTTCTTCCTCCTCTAATAGCAAGCCAATAACCACCTTCTCAATGGAAAATGGTGCTTCTGCAAGTCACCCTTCATCACCACCCAGACATTTATTGTCATATTTGAAAACTATTGGTAGGGCTTTAACTTGCAGATCTTCCCAAGTGACTTGCTTTTCAACTGCAGAATTATTTTTAAGCAGGGAGCAACATCTGAGTACAAAAATGTGAGAGAGAGAGAAAGGTTAAAGAGAGAACTGAAAGGGAGAATCATTTTTTACTATACTTTTGTTTTTCTACACCACGCTCTGGACAATAACATATTGGAAAGCACTTTTATCTAATCATTCTGACTCTTCTCCCCTCTTTTCCTTCCAGTGGGGAAAACAACTTCCTCTTCTGAACAATCTTTCAGAGGACATTCCTCCTAGAGTTTAAAACATTACAGTCTCCAGAGCCCAGCGCCAATTCCGTGTCAGCCCACAACCCGCTCTGGTTGCACAGCTTCACGAGTCACAAGGACTGGATGGACAAGTGTGTGTGCCTAGTGACTGCCTTCTCCCAGCACATGCACCATGTCCCGGTGGCATTGCCGGAGATGGTCCGTGCCCTCTCAGCCCAGCAGCAGACCCTCAGGCAGATCACCATCTGTGGAGACCGCCAGGCCAAGGACACCAAAGTTCTGGTGCAGTGCGTCCACCCTGTCTACATTCCTAACATGGTGCTGATTCTGGCTGATGGGGACCCCTCGAGTTTCCTGTCCCACTGGCTGCCTTTCCTGAGTACCCTCCGAAGGCAGGAAGACCAGGCCACTGCGTATGTGTGTGAGAATCAAGCCTGCTCAATGCTCATCATGGATCCCTGTGAATTACGAAAACTGCTACATCCGTGACTGCCCCAACCCTCTTGGGCTGGGGCAGAAGGTAGAGCTTCCCAACTGACTAAAGACTCAGGTCCTGCAGGGCCGTGTAGAACTTGTGGCCATCCCTGAGCACCCTGCCACCAGGTGACTTCAGCCATACTCACTGCCTCCCTTGGGCACCCACTCACCCTAGAATAAACTTAACAGTATCCTACGGTGGGGAAAAAATTACAGTCTCCAGCCTAGAGGACAGAATTAGGCTGTTTTGCTTTCTATCGTTATTGTTACTGTTGTTCTTGTTGTTGTTTTTAGCTTGTGTGTTCCCTTTGTCTTTGCAATTAACAGAAGGACATACCATTGCGATGGATCTTTAGGATGCCCATATTTATAGCTGAACACACTCACTGGGCCCTGCTGTGTCCCAAAGGGTAGCTCTCTTCTTCCTTCTCATGGTTTTCCTCTTGCTCCTTCAAGCTTTGGAAAAGGCTACATTACTGTAGTTCACTGGACTTGGTTATGTAACAAAAGTGAGCCAGGTACCTCAACACCATTGATCCTTGTGGACAGCCAAGGTCACTTTTCATCTTTGAATGGAGGTCAGCAGGAAAGACGAGATGGCTGGGCTGGCAGAGTCTGCTGCCTGCCCCCCCGCTCACCTCCATCCTGCACTCCTGTGCTAACAGCCCTCCATTGTGGCCACTAAAACACCACATTTCTCAGCCTGCTGTAAGATGCCAGGAGAAGGGTATTGAGACAGTGCAATAAAGAGTCTGACTACATTTCTGATGTCTGGCTGCATTCAAATCTCATTACTCCCTCTTCTCCTTTTGTTCCATATCCAGGAAGCTGAAAAGAAGGCCCAGGTGCTCCCTCCTTTGGAATTGGTGGGAAATTTAAACCCCACAAGCCTCTACCCCTGTGCAAAAGCCTTCACCCCAGCCTCATCTCTACCCACAATAAACGCCAAGCCAGTCTCTCTTCTCTGGATTCTAAAGCTATTTTTGGATCATTATGTAAGCAATAAACCTTTCCATACTTTCTTAGTGGATTCATATATGGTATCATCAGTCTCAACATCTGAACCAAATTTTGGGTGAGAAGTTCGTCCTGCCTCTGGGAAATCTCTTTAGAAGAGTTTGCCAATAGACATGTCATCTTTGCCCATTGCCCCTTTCCCTTCCTCTTGCTGCTGGTGGACCAAACAGCCCTCTTGTAACACAGAGTACCACGCCTGTGCCAAGGATGACTGAGTAGAAATGAAAAGGAACTGGGTCCCTGGTGACATTGTGAGTTACCCTCCCACCCATAGACTGTCTGCTTCTGGACCCTTCAGTCAGGAAGAACAAGCTGAATGTGTGCAGCCGCTTATAGTTGAAGATAATCCCAAACATAAGGCTTATGATTGAATAATCTTTTATGACTTCAGGAGCAGAAATCAGTATTTTTCCTGGGATGTGAACAGGCAACAAACATAATACTTGTACCACACATAGGAGTAAGCCATTCTCAGTGGAGGGCCCCTGTAGCTAAGGGACACTGGAATTTCCAGGGCTAACCTCATTTTGGGTGAAACGTTAGGGGAAACAAGGCTGCATAAATTCACAGGGAGAGCCTGTTTCCATCACTGGAAAATGGTCTGAAAATCAGTCTACAGTAGATTTTAAAGATAGTTTCAGAACAAAGCATCTGACTTGGGAATCCACCCATATGTGTCTATCTCATGCTGTTAATGGGCTTAAGAAAATGAAAGTGTCAGGAAGAAACGGCATGTTTATGGAGCACCAAGTCAGCCACTAGCAAAGTACTAGATATGCAGACAGAGGAGAATACAGGCTTCCTCCCCTACCCCCTGGTGGAGGGTATTTGTGCAGTAATACTCTAAAAAGTCATTAAGAGAATGACATCAGGTGCCTTCTAATAGAATTAGAATTTGATTTCATTTGTCCAAAGCTTTTGTTATGTTTATATTTTTCTATATGGATACAAATACCAGCCAGAGCAAGTGACGGTGAAGAAAATCATGTCAGCCAGGTACAGGAAACTGAAAGCTAGACTCACCATCCCTGCCTCAATAAGCCCAATGGCATTTCTCATCCTGACCTGGCAGGTAAGACAGAAAACAGAGGGGTTGGGATGCAGAGCCTCCTGGGCCTCCATATAAGCATTGGGATGAAACAATATAATATTTATTTTTTGAAGAAATGCATGAATAAAAAGTCTATGGGCAAAAGGAAATAATACAATTGTGGAACAGAAATATTAACACAATCTAAACCATTTATCATTAGAAAAATGATATATTCTGGAAAAAAACATTTCTAATTGAAGCTCATCAAAGATCCAAATGTTTTATCTTTATATTTCACTTAGTTGTCAGTAAAAATTGCAAACAACTTCTAGAGTGCTTTACAGATGAACAGATGTTGATATCTTTAAGCGGTATTTTATAAGTAACTTTAAGTACTCAGTATCTTAGTAATTTTGCTAGTCCACATTTCAAAGACAAAATTTGAAACATTCATATTATTGATAGAGTAAATGTGCAATCAAAACAAAGAAAAAAACAGGAGGACAAATTATACTCACTGAGCTCTTGCTGTGGCACTCCCTATGGTAGCAATCGAGGGTATCTACACTTGATTTTCAAGGAATAATAAATAAGCTCAAATTCCAGCTCAACTTTTTTTGTTTGTTTTTTTGCTTGAGATGAAGTCTTGCTCTGTTGCCTGGGCTGGAGTGCAGTGGCACGACTTTGGCTCACTGCAACCTCCACCTCCCAGGTTCAAGCCATTCTCCTGACTCAGCCTCCTGAGTAGCTGGGATTACAGGCGCGTGCCACGACGCCCAGCTAATTTTCGTATGTTTAGTAGAGACGAGGATTCACCATGTTGGCCAGGCTGGTCTGAAACTCCTGACCTCATTTGATCCACCAACCTCGGCCTCCCAAAGTGCTGGGATCACAGGAGTGAGCCACCATGCCCAGTCCCAGCTCAACTTTAAAAAAAAAAAAATAAGAAATTTAGTTAAATCTCAAAGCAGTTTGTGAAATGATTTTCTGACAAAAAAAGAAATGGAAAGAAACGTCTGCTTCAAGAAAGAACCTTCAAAAAAGAGTGCAACGTTTCTGTGTCCAAAGAGTGATTATAGCTACTCTTCAATGAGTACACTGATTTTATTTTTCCTGAAAGTTAAGGTCTCAGTGGAACTCCCAGTATTTCTTGATTTTAGCATGAAATACCTTATGTGGGTGTCGAGACATCATATCTGTGTTTGAGCATGGAGAAAGTGATCTAGCAACACACCCAACCTGCCTGACAGGTATTGTCTGTACCTGAATGGCTTACTCATGAGTCACAAAACATCTCTGTTGCCAGATTTGCGTTTGATTTCATTCTTACTTGTCTGACTCGGGATGCTGAACAAATTTTAAAATTCAAAAATATAAAACATTGTAAAAAAGGATTTGCTCATTATTCAGCTTCTGAAAAAAGATGTCTTTATGCATAAACTCATATTTGTTGAAGTGTTTATATAAGAAAAAGAGCTCTCTAGTAATTCTAACTGCAATATTCATGTTGGTTCTCTATAACCATAGGAATATCAGACATTGAAGCAGTTGTGATAGTTTCAGTGCATTGCTGTCCTGTTCATAAAAGGCTCCAGAGTTGTGAAACTCTCGTTAATAACTTGGAAAGTTCCTTTAGGCTTAGCCTTGGGCAGTCTTTTGAACAGATCACAAAGTTACAAAGTCTCTTAATTACCATTGTTAATTCTTGCTAGAAGGAAGTTGTTTCTATTGGGTGTTTCTCTTTAGTCGGCCAGGAACCCAGGGCTGCAGTAAGTAATCATTTTTCTATATTGTGTAGAATAATTGGACACAAGGGTGTCCAATCTTTTGGCTTCCCTAGGCCACATTGGAAGAAGAAGAATTGTCTTGGGCCACATAAAATACACTAACACTAAAAATAGCTCATGAGAAAAAAAGAAACCCTCAATGTCTTAAGAAAGTTTATGAATTTGTGTTGGGCCACATTCAAAGCCATCCTGGGCTACATGTGGTCCCCAGGCCGCAGGTTGGACAAGCTTGGTGTAGACCTTTCACTCAAAATATAATCTAGGGCTTATAACAAAGATAAAATCTAACATATTTATCAAAAAGAGCCCAAAGGAGGTGAAAGGGAGTGGAGCTGTGTTGGAGGAAGCTGACAACTGTTGGTAACCTGAATGCACAGGAAATAAATGAAGAGACTCAGAAAGGATAAATAAGAAGATTAATGAAAGAAATTCTACAAATACGTATTTCTCTCCTTTCTTCTCTCAGCTTCTTTAAAAGACATAAAACTATATAAAGTAATAATTATAACAATATATTTTTAGGTTCGTTACATATATATAGGTAATATGTATAATAACAATATTAAAAAAGAGGAAGAGAGAATAGAGCTATGTAAGAGTAAAGTGTCTATATTTTACTTGCATTAAGGTAGTACACATCATTCTGATAAGTTAATATATAAACTGTTCATACTATTCCCTTATAATAATTTTTATTTCTGTAAAATTAGTGATGATATTCCCTCTTTAATTCTTGATTTTAATAATTTGAGTCTTCTCTCTTTTTTCTTAGTCAGTCTACACAGCCCTAGGGCAACCACTAAGAAAACAGCTAAAAATATACTAAAAATCACTAAAAATTAAAATATTATACTTCAAACATTAATTTAATACAAAAGAAAGTAATAAAGGTGGAACAGAGGAACAAAATGTGATATGAGACATATAGAAAGCAAAGAGTAAAATGGCAGACATATATCCAATCACAGTAATAATTATGCAATGTGAATGGATTAAACAGTCAAATCAAAAGGCATAAGTTGTTAAATTGGATAAAAAAACAAGATTCAGCTATATATTGTCCACAGAGGATAAGTTGAAAGTAAAAGAATGAAAAAAGATATGTCGTGCCACTAGCAACTTTAGAGAGCCAGAGTGGTTATGCTAATATCAGACAAAATCAACTTTAAGACCAGAAAATATTAGTGGAGATAAGGAAGACACATAATAATGATAAAAGGGCCAATCTATGAGAAAAAGGTAATAATTATAATCATATAAATACCTAACAACAGTGTCCCAAAATACATAAAGCAAAAACTTATGGAATTGAAGGAAGAAACAGACAATTCAACAATAATAGTTAGGGACTACAAAATCTCACTTTCAATAATGTATAGAATGGGAAGAAGGTTATAAAGGATATATAATTATAAACAAACAACACTATAACAAACTAGAACTAACAAACATCTATAGACCATCCGCCCACAAACAGTAGAATATACATCTTCTTTTCAAGTGTACATGGAGCTTTTTTCAGGACAGTCCATATGCTAGGCCATAAAACAAGCCTCAGTAAATTTAAAAGGTTTGAATAATGCAAAGTATATTCTCCAATGACATTGGAATCAAATCAGAAATTAATAATAGAATAAAATTTTAAAAATGTATAAATATTTGGAAATTAAATAACACATTCATAAATAAAACCAGTGATTCAAAGAAGAAGTCATATGGGAAATTCAGAAATCCTTTGAGATAAATTAAAACAAAAACACACCAAACTAAAATGAATTGGATGCAGTTAAAGCAATGTTTAGAAGAAAATGTATAGCCATAAATATCTACATTATAAAAGAAGAAAGACCTCAAATCAATTACCCAAACTTCCACCTTAAGACACTGCAAAAATAAGAGAAAATGAAACCTAAAGTAAGCATAAGAAAGTAATACATAAAAAATAGAGCACTAATTAATGCAATAAAGATTAGAAAAGTTATATCAAAACTTAATAACCAAAAGTTGATTCCTTGGTCAAACCAACACAGTTGACCAAATTTCAGCTTGATTGACTAAGAAAAAAAGAGAGAAGACTCAAATTATTAAAATCGAGAATTAAAGAGGGAATATTATTACTAACCTTACAGAAATAAAACATATTATAAGGGAATGGTATGAAAGATTGTATGCCATGGACATAAATGAAATGGACAAATTTCTAAAAACACATAAACCACTGCAACTGACTCAAGAGGAAATAGAAAATCTTAAAAAAAAAAAAACCTCTAATGAATGAGTAATTTTAAAACTTCCCAGAAGAAAAGCCCAGACCCAGATAATTTCACTAGTGCATTCTACCAATTATTTAAAGAATCATTATTTATTCAAATGATTATTACAATTATTCAAAAACTCTTTGAAAAAATAGAAAACAATTCCTAGCTCATTTTATGAGGTTGGTTATATGGACACAAAAACAAAAGATATCACAAGAAAACCAGACCTACATCTATTACGAATATAAACACAAAAGTTCTCAACAAAATACAAGCAAATTAAATATGGATACATACAAAAAGGATTACACACTCACTATGACAAAGTGGGATATATCTCAGAAATATAATGCTGGTCTAACATCCAAAAAACCAGTCGATATAATGCCCCATATCAATAGAAAGAAGAACAAAAAAACACGTGGTCATTTCAATAGAGCATAAAAAGCATGTAACAAAATCCAAAATCCATTTATGATAAAAAAAAAACTATTCAATAAACTAGGAATAGAGGAAAACTTCTTCAGCTTGATGAAGGGTATCTACAAAAACAAAACAAACAATACAAAATCTCAGCTCATATCATACTTAATGGTGAAAGACTGAATGCTTTTCCCCAAAGCTCAAGTACAGCATAAGTGTGTCCACTCTCACTACTTCTATTTAACAATATATTGGAGGTTCTAGCCTGGGAAATTGGGTAAACAAGATAAATCTTAAAAATTAAGATTGCAAAAACATAAGGAAAAGTTCTTATATTTACATACGACATAATTTGGTATGTAGAAATTTTAAGTAATCTACTATTAATAATTAGAATAAATTAATTTAGAAAGGTTGCATTATACAAGATAAATATACACAAATTAATTGCATTGTTATAGGCTAGCAATGAAGAATCTGAAAAGAAATTAAGAAAGCAATTTTATTTATAACATCCAAAAAGAATAAGATACTTGGGAACAAATTTAATGAAAAATTATAAGACTTTCACAGTGAATACTATGATGCTGTAATGTAACACTTTGTACAACTACAAAACGTTGTTGAAAGAAATTTTAAAAGACCAAAATAAAGGGAAAGACATCCCATGTTCATGGATTGGAAGAGTTGTTATTGTTAAAATAGCAACACTCATCAAATTGATCTATACATTCAATGCAATACCTATCAAAATTCCAAATGGCTATTTTGTAGAAACTGACATGGTGATTCTAGAATGTATATGGGAATTCAAAGGAACTAGAGTAGCCAAAAGAATCTTGAAAAAGAACTAAATTGAAGATCTCACACTGATTTCAAAACTTATTTCAAAGCTACAATAAACAAAACAGTATGGTATTGACATAAGGATAAACATATAGATCAATAGAATAAAATTGAAAGCCCAAAAGTAAACTACTTAATTTCAATAAGTAGTGCCAAGATAATTCACTAAGGACATTATATTAACTTGAGGTAGGTCATAAACCTAAATAGAAGAGCTAAATCTATGAAATTCTTGAGAGGAAACATGAAAGCAAACTTTGTGAACTGCTGTTAGAGATGACAATAAAAACAAACAAAAAAAAACTGACAAGAGAGAAAAATAGATAATTTGGACAATAGTATAATTAAACATTTTTGTGCTGCAAATAATACAATCAGGAAAGTGAAAAGAAGACAATCCACAGAAGGGGAGAAAATATTTGCAAATCATATATCTGATAATGGGCTCATATCCAGACTGCATGAAGAATTTTTAACAACTTAACAATAAAAATATAAATAGCTGAGTTTAAAAAACAATAATGGATCTAAATAGACATTTACCCAAAGAAGAGAAACAACTTGTCAATAAAAACATGAAAAGATGTTCAACATCTTTAGCCACTAGGGAAATGCAAATCAAAACCACAATGAGATACTACTTCAAAACCACAAGGATAGTTATAATGAAAAAGACAGATAATAACATGTGTTGGCAAGGATGCAAAGAAATTGGAATGTTCAAACGTTATGGGTGGTAACATTAAAAAAAAGAAAAATTTTGGCAATTTCTCAAAATATTAAATACAGAGTTATTATATGATCCAATCATTCTATTCTTAGTTATATACCCAAGAGAAATAAAAACATACCTCCACATAAAAATTTGTGCATGAATGTTCACAGTAACACTCTTCAGAACAGCCAAAAAGTGGATGCAACCCAAATGCCCATCAGCTGCTGAATGTATAAACAAAATGTGGTATTGAAGCAAAAGTTAAAAAGAGGAAAAACAAATTTTTCTCCTTTAGGCAACTCGAGACCCCGACCCCCCACCCAACCCCGTGTGCTATTGTATCCTGGGAAGTTTTGTAAGTTTGCAAATTCCTGTTTTCTGTGGCTGGTTTCTGTAAGTTCCTGCTTTCCATCCGGGTGACACAGTGAAGGACACAAGATAAGCTTGAGCAAGCCTAGATTACAGCCACCTGGGCCGCATAGCAGGAGTCACATGACATGCTTAAACAAGCCTGAGTTACAGGCCTGCCACTGTTTGATAAACTGCCTTTGTTACCTGCTTTCACGCCACTGCGTTTTGCACCACTGTAAGCTTGTTTCAAACTAGCCAACCCCCTTTCAGAAGTGTGTATAAAAATCAAGCCCTGCCTTTGTTCAGGACTCAGCCTTTGGTTGTTAATCTGCTGGGCCTGAGCACACTCAATAAAATCCTCCTGTTCCACCCAGTAGTCTCTCCAGTCTCCTCATTCCTGCAATATTTTGGTGAACCAGCCAGGAGTGGAGATGACAGGTTTGCTGTCTCCTTTGCCTGTGGGTCTGGGGCCCTGAGCTGGGGGAGACCTGTGACCTCAGGCATGCCATCGGGGAACTTAAACCCAGAGAAGGGATTGGTTCTTCCGTGATCCAGTACCCCTCCCTGACAGCGCAACAGAATCCAAGGGATTACAGGATGATTTCAGGGATAGTGCGCCACAGGACTGTGGTAAGGTTTGGGGCCCAAGACAGGACCCATCCCATAAGGACAGAAGGGGAGCCTGATCAACTCCTAGGGGTGCACTGAGTAGTCTGACCCAGGATGTGGGAGTGGCTCACAAAGTCGGATGAAACCTACACCCCACCCAGAGAAAAGGAATGGGGAGCAGGGAAGTGTGTGAATGCATGTGAAAGAGGCAGTTCTAAAAGGAGTCAATGTGGGGAGTGAAGTGTGTGGGGCCACAGGTCTCTTAGCATAGACCATACGCCCCTAGCAAAGTGTGGGACCAACCAGGACTAGTGGCAAACGTCCTCCGGGGCTACCACATATGGCTTAGGGAGGCACCCCACAATTCAGTGATTGTGGTGGTCCAGGTTTGGGACTCATATGAACCCTCCATTAAAGCTAAGCAGCATCTGAAAGTTCCCATGAGGGAGATGGTCTAATCAGTCTGAAGAGAAAGTAAAAGAGTGAATAAGTTGTGTCATAACTGGGAGGAAATGGGAAGGAAGCTGTCAAAACCCACCCCATTACAATGTATGTTAAAGAACTTCAAGAAAAGTTATGCAGAGTGTTGTGGGATCAAGTTGACCCCCCAGAGGTTGAGAACTCTCTGTGAAATAGAATGGACCTCTTTTGGTGTGAGATGGCTGGTCGAAGGAACTATAGATAGGGAAACAATTGGCCATGTATTTAAGGTGGTGACTGGGTTGGGAGGACAGCCAGGGCATCCAGACCAATTTCCTTATATTGACTCATGGCTACATATAGTCCAAAACTGACCTGCGTGGTTGCAGCTCTGCCTGACAGCTTATGGCAAAACACTCGTGGCTCAAGCCAAGCTTAAAGTGAAAGAAAAATCAGCTTCGCTGTCAGCTACAGAAACAAAGGGAAAGCCACAGGAAAAACCAGTTCTGCAGGAATCACCAGAGGAGATAGGAATCCTCCCTACAGTCCAATCTACCCGCCTTTACTAAGGCCAGCCCCCGAGGAGTCAAATTCAAATGGTAACGAACCCTGGGCCTTGCCTCAAAAAGAAAAATCAAAACCACTGCCCCAGGTCAAGGAGGAAAGTCAGGATGATCAAGCCTGCTGCCTCCAGTCTGGCCATGCCTGGGCTTTGCAGATGCCTCCCCGGGAAACTCAGGGACCCCTCTATTATACTGAACATGGCCAGATTCAAGGGGAGAGAAAAGGAACCCCTCCTCTGGGAGGCTGACCAGGAGAAAGCATTTAAAAAAATCAAAGAAGCCTTAACACAGGCCCCAGTCTTAGGACTGCCTGACATAACTGAGCCTTTCTTTCTATATGTCCATGAACAAAAAGGAATGGCTGTAGGAGTCCTGACTCAATTCATAGGATTGTGGCATCGCCTGGTGGCATACTTATCCAAGCAACTAGACTCAGTGGCACTAAGGTAGCCTCCTTGCTTTAAGACACTAGCTGTCACTGCCCTACTGGCACAAGAAGCTAACAAACTGACTCTAGGGCAGCAGCTGACCATCCAGTTACCACATTCAGTTATAACTCTAATGAACCAGAGAGGGCATCACTGGTTATCAAATCCAGGAATGACTCAGTACCAGGGACTCCTATGCAAAAATCCCCACATAGCTTTAGAAACAGTAAACACCCTTAACCCAGCCACCTTGCTCCTGATTGAACTGGGAACCCCACTCCATGACTGTGTGAAAATGGTAGATGAAGTATTCTTGAGTAGGGGAGACCTTACAGACCAACCCCTCAGGGACCCAGTTGTTAAGTAGTTCACAGATGGGAGCAGTTTCATACTGGAAGGGGTCCGTTGGGCAGGTTATGCGGTGGTAACGTTGGACTCAGTGATAGAGGCTCAGCCTCTGCCCACCGGAGCATCAGCCCAGAAGGCAGAGCTAATGGCCCTAACAAGGGCTCTTTTGCTGATGAGAGACAAAAAGGTCAATATTTACACTGATTCCAAATCACAAAGACAAAAGTGTGTCTTTGCCACATTGCATGTTCATGAAGCTATATACAAGGAGAGAGGACTCTTAACTGCTGGGAAAAAAAGAAATAAAATACAAAGAGGAGATTTTACAGCTCTTAGGTACTGTATAGGCCCCAAAGAAGGTAGCTGTTATGCACTGCAGAGGGCACCAAAAAGCAAGAACACTAGAGGCCAAAGGAAACAGAAAGGCAGACAGGGAGGCAAAACGGACAGCAATGATTACTCCACACTTTGAAAAGGAATCCTTAGCTATGCTTCTCCTCCCAGAACCTTCCCTCCCCGAGATCCCAAGTTACTCTCCAAATGAGAAGGCCTGGTTTGCCCAAGAAACTGGAAAATGCACTGAAGGAGGATGGTGGAAATTCTCTGATGGGAGACTAGCCATCCCTGAAATGGTGGCCCCTAAGTTTGTAAAACAATTCCACCAAGAGACTCACATGGGGAAAACGGCACTACAAACGCTACTGGGATGCCACCTCTATGTGCCACGGCTCAATGCCCTCACCCAAGCTGTGTGCAGGCAATGTCTAACATGTGCTCAGAATGACCCATAATAACCTACTCGGCCCCTGGGAATTTAGGAAATTGGAGCCACACCCTGTGAAAACCTGCTTATGGACTTCACAAAGCTGCCCTGAGCAGGGGGCTATTAGTACATGCTAGTACTCTTCTGCACCTTGTCAGGATGAGTCAAAGCTTTCCCCACCCAAACAGAAAAAGCACGGGAGGTAACCAAAGTAATGTTAAGAGACATTATCCCAAGATTTGGACTGCCCCAACTCTTGGGTCAGACAATGGACCAGCACTTGTAGCTGAAATAGTTCAAGAACTGGTATGGCTATTAAAAATAAAATGGAAATTACACACAGCCTACCAGCTGCAGAGCTCAAAAAACATAGAGTGCATGAACTGGACACTCAAACGCTACTAAAAAAAATATTGTCAAGAGACCCATCTAAGATGGGATCAGGTCTTGCCCATGGTCCTCCTCTGAGTAAGGTGCACCCCCACCAAACAAACCAGGTATTCACCCTATGAAATCTTGTTCGGCCGGCAACCCCAATTATAGGTCAAGTTAAGGGTGATCTCCATGAACTAGGGGAACTAACTTTAAGAAGGCAAATGCAGGCTTTAGGGATAGCCATGCAGTGTGTCTATGGCTGGGTATGGGAAAGAATGCCCATAAGCCTGACAGACCTGGCACACCCCTTCAAACCCGGGGATGCTATTTGGGTCAAAAAATGGAATCCAACCACTTTGAGACCCATATGGGATAGGCCCCATACTGTAATCTTGCCCACTCACTCTGCCGTTACAGTTGCAGTAATTGTACCATGGATCCACCACAGTCAGCTGAAGCCAGCGGCCTGAGATGAATGGACCAGCCAACAGGATCCAGACCATCTGTGCTGGCCAATCCTACGACGGGACCAAATTGCCATTGAAGACAATGACAGCCCTGCTCTGGTCACTCCAGAAGCTGACCAGTCAACGCACGGCCGAAGCTTGAGGAGGCAACAGCCCTGCTCTAGTCACCCTGGAAGCTGACTAGTTTACACATGGCCGAAGCTCGAGTCATCATCAGGGAAGTCAATATGGTTAGAAATCTTAAGTCCAGTAGCTTTCCTTATAATATTAGTGTTTTACTGCTGTTTTGCCACTTTGCTCAGCCACCTCCCCAGGGTAAAGACCTCTTTTGCCCTTGCTGGGTATAAATATGCTACTCTCGGTACCAACTTGAAGCTCCAAATGCCTGACAGGCACCCTCCGGCCTCTATTGAATTTGTGGACTGTGGGCATATCGGCAACTGCCAGTTAAATGGCCAAGGGCCTGTGTACTAGGAACAATTAGACCGTCTTTCTTTCTAATCCCTTTAAAACAAGGAGAAGCCTTAGGGTACCCTGTCTATGATGAAACTAAAAGGAGAAATAAAAGGGGCATAACCATAGGGAAATGCAAGGACGATTAATGGCCCCCTGAAAGAATAATCCAATATTATGGCCCAGCCACCTGGGCAGAAGGTGGAATGTAGGGAATACCACACAACTCTTTACATGCTCAACCACATCATAAGGTTACAAGCAGTACTTAAAATTATGACAAATGATACAGTAAAGGCCTTAAATCTGCTAGCCCAGCAAGCCACAAAAATAAGGAATGCTATTTATTAAAATAGATTAGCCCTAAACTACCTTCTAGCTGAGGAAGGAGGGGTATGTGGAAAGTTCAGTTTAACTAACTGCTGCCTAGAGATTGATGACAATGGAAAGGTCATCAAGAATATAACTGCAAAAATCCAAAAATTAGCCCATGTTCCATTCCAGGCTTGGAAAAGATGGTCTTCAGATTCCCTCTTTGGGGGCTGGTTTTTATCCCTCAGAGGATTTAAAACCTTAGTAGGAATAGTTTTAGCCATACTAGGAGTCTGCCTCATACTCCCTTGTCTCCTACCTCTCCTTGTTAAGAACATCCAAACAGCTACAGAGGCTCTTGTAGAGAAACAAACTGCCACTCAACTAATGGCTCTAACTAAATATTAACCCTTGCCAAATAAAGAGCTAACTACCTTCACATGAAGAATTAAATAATAATGATTCTTTCTATTAAACCTCATTTATAAAAAGCATCAAAGGGGGTAATGAAGCAGAAGTTAAAAAGAGGAAAAACAATTTTTTTTTCTTTTAGGCAGCTGAAGCCCTGCCCCCCATCACCCCCCAACCTGCCCCGGCCCCATGTGCTGCTATACCCTGGCAAGTTTTGTAAGTTTGCAAATTCCTGTTTTCTGTGGCTGGTTTCTGTAAGTTCCTGCTTTCCATCCAGGCAGCACAGCAAAGGACACAAGATAAGCTTGGGCAAGCCTAGATAACAGCCACCTGGGCCACATAGCAGGAGTCACATGATGTGTTTAAACAAGCCTGAGTTACAGGCCTGTCACTGTTTCATAAACTGCCTTTGTTACCTGCTTTTGTGTCACTGCATTTTGCGCCACTATAAGCTTGTTTCAAACTATCCAGCCCCTTTTCAGAAGTGTGTATAAAAGTCAAGCCCTGCCTTTGTTAAGGGCTCAGCCTTTGGATGTTAATCCGCCGGGTCTGAGTGCACTCAATAAAATCCTCCTTTTCCATCCAGTGGTCTCTCCATTCTCCTGATTTCTGCAGCAGTATCGTTATAAATCCCATTATTCGGCAATAAAATGGAATGAAATACTGATACAGACAACATGGATGAACTTTGAAAACATTATGCTAGAACAAGATGCAAAAGGCCACATACTGTATAATTTCATCAATGTGAAATGTACAGAATAGGCAGAACTATAGAGATAGAAAGTAGATGAATGGTTGCTAAGGCTTACGGTGGGAAGCAGAGGGAGGATGGAGAGATGATGACTAAAATGTACTAGTTGTCTTTTTGGGGTGATTAAAATATAGAACGTAATGTGGCAATTGCACAATTCTGTAAACAAACTTAAACCATTGTATTACATACTTCAATTGTTGAATTGTTTGGTATGTGAATTATATCTTAACAAAGCTCTTAAAAACTTCTAATCCCCATAAATTAGTCATGTGATATAAATTTTAATCTCTTAGTACTTTTAGAAAAACAGTTCAATGTAGCAGCATTTATCAGTGTTGTTGCTGTTGATATTTTGGGTCAAATCATTATTTGTTGGGTGGAGCAAGAGGCTGTTTTGTGTATTTCAGAATGCTACACCCTTGGCCTTTACCAACTAGATTTCACAGCATCCCTTCCCTCAGCTGTTATCACCAAACTGTTTCTAGACTTTGACAAATGTCCCTTGGGGGTCAAAATCACCCCTAGTTGAGAACCATTGTATGCAATGTTTAACAGCAGTAATTGGGTTAAATCTGAAGCCTTCAGCTTCTATTAAGACTTTGTGAAAGGAAGATATCTTGGGCCCCTTCAAGCTGGGAACTGCTCAGGGCAAATCTGATTCTCATTCTATTTCAAAGTCATCCTTCTGCTCACTGAGATAGATGCAGATTCTGATTGCCTCCTTTTGGAAAGGCCTATCAGAAACTCAAAAGAATGCAACCTTTTGCCTCTCACCTACCTGTGACTTGGAAGTCCCCTCCCTGCTTTGAGTTGTCCCCACCTTTCTGGACAGAACCAGTGTACTTCCTTACATTTATTGATTAATGTCTCATGTCTCCCTAAAATGTATTAAACCAAGCTGTGCCCCAACCACCTTGGGCGCATGTCGTCAGGACTTCCTGAGGCTGTGTTGCGGACACACATCCTTAACTTTGGTGAATAAATCTCATAAAATGACTGAGACTTGTCTCATCACGTTCCTCAGTTGACATCCGGTAACCACAAAGGGATCCTGAGTGAAGGTGACCTGGCCTGCAGCAGCTTGCCTATTGGTGCCTGGTGCTGGCTTGGGCACCTTGTAGCCTAAACCAATAGGACGATTGCTGAAGTCCAGGACCTCTTTCCTCCAGGAATCCCTGATCTTCCAGCGTTTTTCAGTTGGGGGCTGAGGTTTAGTTGCTGCTTAAAAACCTCCTTTTTCAGGGGAGTTTCCACTCACTTCGATCAAAAAAGGTGAGCCTGTCTGCTTCTGCATCAGCAGAGAGCAGTTTTTCAGTTTGGGCCCTATCACTAGTAAGAAAGCTGGTTTGGGATTCTGTCTTGCAAATTATTTTTAAATGACCAAAGTTAGCATTAAAAACCTGGACAACTTTATATTTCTAGGAGCTTAAACATTTGCCCTTATTTTTCACATTAAATCTAAAGAGTAGATTATTACTATTACTTTCAGCTTGTATCCTGGAACTAAAGGAGAGCCCAGTTAGGAAAATGGTCTAAGTACAATTGTAACTGTCCACAGATGGGGTCTCCTCTGGGTCTCCATTTAACTATCATACTCAGCACTGCAATTTTAGTGAGTGTTCAATAGAATATTAAAATTACTCACTGCACATTTAGTAGGTTTTCCTAAATAGAAGTATTCAGAAAAATGAAAGTGCATTTATCTTTTATCAATGGTAGACTGGAAATAGAATAAGTATTATTAATACCTATGCAAAGAAAAAGAAACCCAAACAAGACTTAATGGAATTAAAACAAAAATGTTTTACCTGAATTTAGTTGATTTTGGTAACTTAGCCATTACATTTCTCAATCTGTATTCAAGGACCTAAACAAAAATTCTATTGACTGGAAGATGCAAAAGTTAATTTTCAAGCAAAGCAAGAAGGTGTGTGATTTATTCTACCACTATTTAAAACAAAGGTGAAAAAGGAGCAAATGAAAAAAATTAACCATGTTGAAACCCCAGGAGAAAACTGAATTAGAACTGTGAGTCCAGAAATGAGAAAAATGTGACAAACTGGACAAGAGGGTGTTGAATCAGTAACTCATAAAGGGAAATGCATCACTTTCACAAAGAGTTGCAGCAATAAGAGGGAGTAAGGAAAACCACATTCAATATAATGATTAAAAAACTCAGTTTTACACATGCATATTCATAAAAACATATTACTCATCATTGAGTAGTAATACTCATTGTCATACGCTCTTTTCATATTATGAAAACTGGACATCTCACAGCAATGAACTTTTCCTCTGCAACAAAATGATGAATCCTTTCTATCACTGAGCCTACATGCTAATGAAGTATCCCCTGTGTCCTCAGGAACATCTCCAGGGATCAACATACAGTCTCTTACTTTGTATTGTGCCTTTCCACATTCTCCCAGATTAACCTGCACTTGCCCCACCCAATGCTTATTTTTCTTTTCCAACCTGCCCAATTCAAAGAAATGGTCATCATCAAAGTCATCACACCCTGATCTGTACACTTTTTTCTATTTTTTTCTCTCTTCTGGTACTAAACTCTACACTGGACTTTTTCATCTTGACATCCTGCCCTGTGTGTCATGTAGCACCCCTCATCCCAAAAGCCAGATGACCTGGGCCATGAGTGAAGGAGACCAGGATATTCCTAGACACAGAGCTATCTGTTGTGCAAATCCATTCTGAACCCTCTGTGCTTCAACATTGACCACTCAGACTGGCTCCCGTTTTTTTTCCTCTGGGAAATCCCAGGATGCTGGTGCTGAGGGAAGGAGAGACTGAAGCAGCCCTCCATGTAGTGCATGTGGGCACCTGAGGGCATGTGTGCTCCTGTGCCTGGGTGCCTCTCTGTTGCTATGTGGAGCATGTGAGGTAGGATGAGACCCTTGATAACTGAGGTAGCCAAACCATAAAGTTTTTTAAACTTTTATTTTAGGTTTAGGGGTACATGTGAAGGTTTGTTACTTAGGTGAACTCATGTCACGGGGATTTCTTGTACAAATTATTTCATCACTCAGGTTGTTGTGGGAATTAAGGGACAGGAGAGACCAATGGGTGGAACAGGAAGATTTTATTTAGGTGGCCACTGGCCCAGCAGATTAACATCCAAAGGCTGAGCCCTGAACAAAGACAGGGCTTGACTTTTATACATGCAACTGAAGGGAGTTGGCCAGCTAGTGGCGTGAAACCTGCAGGGCGGGCAAGCAAGCTTCACAGAAGCAGAACAAAGGCAGTTTACCAAACAGCGACATGTTTTACAACTCAGGCTTGTCTTGTGACCTTCACCATATGGCACAGCTGGAAAACAAGAACTTACAAAATCCTTGCAAACTTGCAGAAATAGTTACAAAAGTAGTTGTGAGAGCAGATCAAAGGATAATGGTATAGGGAAAGAATTTCAAAGGGGGAAACTGATACGAAGAAACAGTTTTTCTTATACTTGCTTGGGGGAGGAGGTGTTGGGAGAGTCTCTGGAGCTCATTCCTTTGGGCTCTGGCTTTTCAGATAGTGTTATCAAGGCCCCACTAGGGCCCTGCCTACTGCTAGCCTTGGAGTGAGTCAGCCAAGTAAGTACAGGAAAACTCGTTTTTCTCTTTTTAACTTCTGCTTCAAGGTATTAAAAGCCCAATACTCAATTGTTGTCTTTTGTGCTCCGCTCCCTCCTCCCTCCCTGTGCCCTCAAGTAGACCCCAGTGTCTGTTGTTCCCTTGTGTTCATGAGTTCTCATCATTTAGCTCACACTTATAACTGAAAACGTGGTATTTGGATTTCTGTTCCTGGTTAGTTTGCTAAGGATAATGGTCTCCAGCTTCATCCATGTTCATGCAAAGGATATGATCTTATTCATTTGTTATGGCTGCACAGTATTCCATGGTATACATGGACCACATTTTATTTATCTGAGCTGTCACTGATGGGCATTTAGGTTGATTCCATGTCTTTGCTATTGTGAATAAGGCTGCAATGAACATTCCCTTGCACGTGTCTTTGTGGTAGAATTATTTATCAAACCACTCTTGTCTCACAAGGAATTTCTACAAGTCCTTGGAGTCGACAGGATTTAGACAAGCCTGTCTTACCATACCCCAGAACAGTGGGGAAAGTAGGGATGCACTCTCACCCGCTCAGAGTTGCAGTTGAAGGTTCAGAAGGGGCTGGAGTTCCTTTCACAACGAGGAAAGTCCATGGTAACTCCATGCAAAGGCAAAGTTGGCAGGGCATGGTAAATGTTGTGTTTATTTTGTGTTTGGAGGGGTAATTTTTATTCAGAGTGGCAAGCAAATGAAAGGTGCTTCACCTTCAAAGAAAGACCTGCCTGCTTAAAATGTTTTATTAATATAACCTGCAGACTTCTGTCCCTGCCTTTGGATATTTTCCTTGTTTTTCCTCCTGTCCCACTGTTGATACAATCACTTCTTTTTTTCTTTTGAGGAAATTAAAACAGTAAACAGAGTTGGGTTGGCAAAAGATATTTTCATGTGTTACTTGGAACAGATTAACACATATCAGCTTCCCTGAATATCTCAAATTTCACACAGCTCAAGTCCGTCCTCAAACTCTCCTTTAAATAATAAACGACTTCCTCCTTTCCTATCTCAGGAGCGCTGGGCCCTTCCCTCGGGGATGGTTATACTTACGCCATCTGCTGGTTGTTAATGGGACTGCACTTGCTGCTGTAAGCCGCAGTACCATGGTTCTGTGCCCAAGTCCTCCTAGAAAACGGAGGCCTTGGTATTGGTGGACTAATTGAAGAAATACAGATATGCCATTCATCATTTAGAACACCAAGAGGGCCACCTGAGGTGTTAACTTTACTTTTAGGAGTATTTCTTAGAAGAGGATATATTTCATATTTTGGCTCTCCAATTCTTTATGCTGAATCTAAGGAAATATTCTTGAGTTCAGCTTCAAAAACAGCCCAGGTGGCCGGGCGCGGTGGCTCACGCCTGTAATCCCAGCACTTTGGGAGGCCGAGGCGGGCGGATCACGAGGTCAGGAGATCGAGACCATCCCGGCTAAAACGGTGAAACCCCGTCTCTACTAAAAATACAAAAAAAATTAGCCGGGCGTAGTGGCGGGCGCCTGTAGTCCCAGCTACTTGGGAGGCTGAGGCAGGAGAATGGCGTGAACCCGGGAGGCGGAGCTTGCAGTGAGCCGAGATCCCGCCACTGCACTCCAGCCTGGGCGACAGAGCGAGACTCCGTCTCAAAAAAAAAAAAAAAAAAAAAAAAAAAAAAAAAAAAAAAAAAAAAAAAAAAAACAGCCCAGGTGAGGTTATAAATGCTGATGTGGAAATGTCAGAGTATGTGGTCAGTGTGACAACAATCTGGATAACCTGAAAATGTTCATGCTGCAAATGTTTAGAAAGGCTGTATAGCATTAAAAAAAAATGCTTTCAATCGAGGTGCCAGAAACATGTGACCTAATGCTTGCAGGTGGGAATGGAGTGGATTTTGGCTTTGGAAACATATAAGACTAATTTTTATTTCTTTTTTTATAGAGACAGGGTCTCTCCCTGTTTCCCAGGCTGAATCATAGCTCATTGCAGCCTCAAACTCCTGAGCTCAATAAATACTCCTGCCTCGGCCTCCAGAGTAGCTGAGACTACAGGCATATGCCACTGTGCTCAGCTAATTTCTTTAAATTTTTTGTAGCAATGGGGTCTTTCTTTGTTGCCCAGCTGGTCTCAAACTCCTGGCCTCAAGCAATCCTCCTTCCTTGTCCTCTCAAAGTAGTGGGATTACCTCCCGAAGCATGGAGCCAACATGCCAGCCAGAAACCTAAATTTTCAATGTCCATACATGGACAGAAGTTGAGGTCTCGGAACCATACAAAGCAAGAGTGGGAAGTGAGATTTCCTCCATTAGGACAGAACTCTGAAGGTAAGACCAGAAAATTACCTGCATATTAGCACAGGATTGCAACAGGGAAGTCTATCCCTTTCTGCCTGGTTTAGGTGTGAAGGTAGGAATCTCCTAATCCATTAGTGCAGCCCTTTTCCAAACACAAAGTTGGGGCTCAGATTTTCACTTCCTTCTTTGTTCAGGAATTCCCTAGCTAAGAAATTAGCTTGCAGATTTTCCCAGACAAACATGCCTCTTTGGAATCTTAGCAGAAGCAAATATAAAACCTGGTATATAAAAATATACCAGGACACAATATACTCCACTTAAGGGTCAGCGGGAACAAAATAAATAGAATTAGAACCTCAGTAATCTGGGTTAATAAGAAGCCAATCTGAAAGAGAATATAAAATAAATGTTTAACATGATGAAAGACGTTAAGTAAAAAAGAGCGTGACTTCCCGAGAATGAGTCCTTCCAGTAAACCTAAGAGTGTTTCAAGTAAAGAGAGCTCACCTGAAGTGAGGGCATCACATTCCAACTTGTCCCCTTGAACACAAATCTAACCCACTGATCTGGGATTGTGTTTCCTAATATTTGGACAACAGTAAGCACATAGTGGCATATTAGATTCCTAAGCCTAATCTCTGTTGTTTAATGTCTTGCTGATCAAACCTGTTTTAGTAATGCCCTGGGGCAGTGAGAACACCCCCACTCTTCTCCTCACAATCAGGAGATTGAGCTGTGGTCCTGTGGCATCAAAGGCTGTCCACTGTGGCATCAGTACAGGCGTGATGCTGGAAAGAGCCAGTGGCTTTATCAACTGGTCCTTTCTGGGAAAGACTTTGAATGAGAGTATGCAACATTCTCGGACACAAAAAGTAAACATCATGGGAAATAGACTAGATACCTTACGATAGGTGATACATTTCAGCTTCCGCTGAGGGCTAATAGTCATATTCCTTTTGAGTTTCCTCTGAGGTGACAAGTAAATAATTCTTGTAAAAACACATAATTTTTATAAATTATGGCACCCCATGGATATTTGCTGTTATCACTATTATCATTCTCATAGATGAAGATATTTCTATAGGAAGTGAGCCCTTGGATCATTCAGTATTTGAATTTAAACCTTTTATTGGTCATGACCTAGAGGCAAAGTCTAAAAATATTTCCAGAGAATGAGTATAATTCATTTCTAAGCTCAGAAGTAATAACACAAATTATTAAGAAGTGTTTAATAAAAGCCACATCACAGAGAAACCTGATGACATTAGACTCTGCAAGACCATTTGGGGCCTGCCTGTCAATTTTCTAGCTTGTTGCTTTGCATCCCAGCTCAGCATCTGGGTTAAGCTTTAAATTCTTTATGGCCTTGCTGTGATTTGCTCCTTCTACCGGATCCCTATGGGTCACTGAGTAGGTGCTGGGCCACTCAAGGGGCTGTGGGAAGACTGATGAGAGGCATTGCTCAGCCTCTCAGAGCAAAGTGGAGCTACAGGCATGGCCATAGGCAAGCATGCTGTCCCCAGCCACTAAGGGACAGAGCAGCAAGCCTCAGACAGACCTGAGAAGAGGGGGCATGATGGGCTGAATCGTGACCCCCAAAAGATGTTGAAGCCCTAATCTCCAGTACCTGTGAATAAGATCTTGTTTGGAAATAGTCTTTGCAAATGATCAATTTAAGATAAGACCATTAGGGTGGGATCTAATCCAATATTACCACTATCCTTACAAAAAGAGGAAATTTGGACACAGAGCCAGACACATGGAGGGAAGATGATTTCAAGACATAGGAAGAAGATGACCACCTTCAAGCCAAGGAATGCCCAAGGCTACCAGAAGCCAGAAAAGAGGCCAGGAACAGATTCTTCTTCATTGCTGTCAGAAGGAACCAACCCTGCTAGCACCTTGATCTTGGACTTCCAGCCTCAGAAAAGAGGCCAGGAACAGATTCTTCTTCATTGCTGTCAGAAGGAACCAACCCTGCTAGCACCTTGATCTTGGACTTCCAGCCTCAGAAAAGAGGCCAGGAACAGATTCTTCTTCATTGCTGTCAGAAGGAACCAACCCTGCTAGCACCTTGATCTTGGACTTCCAGCCTCAGAACTGTGTGACAATGAATGTCCATTATCTGAGACACTCTCTCAGTGTCCTTTGTCACAGCAACCCCAGGGAACTCATACAGGAGGCAAGTGGCTTCCCCCACCATAGCTCTGTGGTCTCCTGGGTGGGACCTGCTGTGTTGCTCTCAGAGGCTGCTTAAAAACAGCTGGCCCTGGGCCACTCTGCTGGGGCTCCTGCTTGAAGGAAGGACAGAACTTCAGGGTGAGTGGATAGATTTAATTTGTGCCATGTAAATCCCTTCGTAGATAATCAGAAGGGGACACAAATATCTAAATATTTGTTTTTCTCTTTCTACAGTGTATTTATATGAAATATACAATTACTATACCCTCTCCAAGAAAGCACTTAATAGATGACCACTCCAGAAAAAGTGAGGTTTGTCCTGTGCTTTGTCCAGATTCCTCTTTCTGTCTGTTAGTGATGGTCACTGAATTCGCCCCAGAGATTAGTAAGCAACTCCTCTGTTCTCAAGGAAGGATTCGTAAGTACATTCACTTCAGAGTATAAATGATTGGTTCTCAAATTCTAATGTTCACAGGAATTTCCTGGAATGTTTGCTAAAATGAAGACTCCCAGAGGCCTCCACAGATCTACAGAATAAGAATCTCTCATGATGGGACTCAGAAATCTCCAATCAATCATCCACCCTCCTCCTCCCTACCCCAGGATACTGATGCAGACAGCCTGGCCACCCCTTTTGGAGAAACACGATTGCAGATGACTGATTAAATTGTATGGCTTTACCTCTCTTATATATGCATTTTGGGAAGCAATACAATTTCTGCAGGTTAAAGCCAAAGGAATGATGATCTAGCTGTGAAATGTTAGACTTCGTTGAGTTGGGTGGTGGAGACACCTCCTCAACTAGCTCTTCAGCCTAGGCTGGGCTCGTTCCTCCAGTAAATGGTAAGTTACTGGGTCAGGGATGCTTCTCTGTCTTTCAACCTATGGGCCTTTATCATGCCTAAGTATATGGTATGGTCCCCTACAGCGGTGACTGTCAGTCTGGATCAGGTGGCAAAATGGGAAGCCATGACACTCTGTGAAGTATGATATAAAATATTGATATATTTAACTCCACTTAGAAAGCCATGCTGGGAGAAAATATGACTTTATTATTATATGTATGCAATGTAAAATAACAACCAAGAGAATATATGGAAAACAAGCTGTCATGTCAAACATGAGTGACTATTTCTGAACAGATCTATGGCTCATCTTTTGCACATGGTGACTCATTTTCTTACAGGCCAACAAGGAACAACAGGTGCCCAAACTGTATGAAATTTAAGGAAGGAAATTTTACAGTGAAAAATTGAGACCCATCGATTTTGTTTTTCTGTACATTGATAAATTTATATCTAGTGAAAGGACATCTCATACCTATTCCAGACTTGGAAAGGAGGTTAGTTTTGCTTGAGTAAACCTACTTCTTCAAGACTTGAAATTTTGTCCAAGGAGTCCCTAAATGGATGTTGTTCTTCTGCGTGTGGGTGTGTGTGCATGTGGGGTTGTATATAAAAAATTGCCATCAAGTTTTTTCCAGTGACATAGAATATTTTAAGGTTGCTATTTCAAGTTGGGCAAAGAAATTCTTACGCATGTGGTAAGCAGATATGTTTAAATGGTATGAAATTAAAATTTTAAAGAGGACATAGCATCTTTCATTTATGTACAGCTTCATACATTTCATTAATATTATTTTGATATGCTTTATATATTATAATTTTGTAGTTTATATTTTATGTCTATATGTACATAATATTTACTTATCTACAATGCAGTTTACATTTTATATTTATATGCTACATATTTGATAGTAAAACAAATGTGGGTATGTTTTGGAGTGGATTGCAAGATTCAAATAAATGTTTCAGATAAAACTCTAGATCTTAAAGAAAAACAATGTTTGCAATACGTGTCCTAGGGAGATAGCCGTTCACATACTACAATATAAAGATATGATTAAATTAAGCATAAAGCAAAAAGCAACAGGACAAATATGAATAGGGCATAAATACAATTTTTTAGAAAAATAATATATATACATCAGAAAATGATTTTGTGGTATAATTGTATAATTTTAATTTTCTTCTACATGCCATATTTTTATGTCCATATTTTCCACAAAGAACATGTGTATTACTTATATAATCAGGAAAAAAATATGATTCCCTGCCAAATTTTCCATGCAGTTTCATGTTACTGTGTTTAATTACATTTGTACATCCATTTTCTACATGATGTTAGAAGCTCCTGGTAAAACCATAAACAGAGCTTTTCAGGTTTCAACAACTCCTCCTGCTAAGGGAAAGCCATATTTTTTTTATCTTCAAGTCTGTTATTACATTCCTGCTTAGAATCTGGCTCTCAAATTCTGTTCCCATTATTACTACCAAACACTCCTCAGCTAAAAGAACAATCGTATATGCATGACTCTTTCATTATATAGTAAGTGCTTGATGTTAATTCCAAAGAACTTTTCAAGACAGTCTTGGAAGTATTTGCTCTAGTGTTTTGAAATAACAAAATGATCCTTCTTAAGCCTTTCACATTGAGACAGGACAGCAGAATTCAAGGAGATGTGTCTCTTGGCAAGGTTTGAAATGCAAGCTCACCAAAAGGATAAAGAGTAGTTAGTAAATTAAAATCCCCCAAAATCCTGGTGCCTGCTTGTCTTGCAGGTGCCAGTTCCCAATTCTCTGCACCCAGGGAACTTGCTAGAAGCTGTAGCAGTGGCCACATTTGACTGAACTGTTATAAGGAAGGTGCAAACAAGAATAGCCCCCTATTTTAGGAAAGATTGTTAAAAGAAACTGGAAAAACAAATTCTTTTTTACTTCCTCTTGGGACTTTCATTAAAAGTGTTTATTCTTGGATGAAGGGGATTACGGGAAAAGGTATTTCAGATGTTGGTTCACGGCTGGATCCTGAGATGCTGGCTCTCAACGTGTGATGAAATAGTTGTATAACGCGCACTTTTGTAAGAGCTGTTTAATCTCCCCTAGTTGGAGATTTTGCTAACTGAAAACAGCCTTCCTTATTGGTATTCTTGAGTATTGTTTTGACAGTCTTTGCTTAACATTTTCTCTCTCTAAATTATTTTAGCATGATTGTTCTCAGCAGTGCTTTACAGGATGAGAGAGATGACATGAGTTTCTCTTGTTCAGAGAGCATGAATTCAAGCACAAAACGGGGGTGAGTTTCCAGGAGGTGAAGAGCTGGAGACCAAGCATTGTCCTACTTTGCAGCAGAGGACAGACCACCCCTTTATCTCTGGGCACTGATTCATACAGTACCCCTGCATGACCTCTCCATTGCAATATGGCTAGATGGTATGCTGCCACATTGGCCTGAAGTTTACAGCAATGTCAGCACTGCCACTGCGATCTAGGACTGATCCTTCGACAAAATTAGAATCTCCCAAGAAGGTGTGGAGAGGGAGCCAACTACCACTGAATAACATGAGAGGCGTCACACAGGGTACATAATCTACATCATTTCTTCAATCCTCTCAACTTGACTTTGAGGTTCACACTACAGGTTGTATTAGTGCATTCTTATACTGATATGAAAATACTACCTGAGACTGGGTAATTTATAAAGAAAAGAAGTTTAATTGACTCACAGTTCCACATGGCTGGGGAGGCCTCAGGAAAATTACAATCATGGCAGAAAGCAAAGGGGAAGCAAGGCACATCTCACAATGCAGCAGGAGAGAGAGAGAATGAGAGAGCAAGGAAGTGCCGCACTTTTAAAACTATCAGATCTCATGAGAACACACTCACTATCATGAGAACAGCAAAGGGGAAATCTGCCTCCATGATCCAATCATGTCCCACCAGGTCCCTCCCTGGACATGTGGGGATTATAATTTAAGATGAGATTTGGGTGGGGACACAGAGCCAAACAATATCACAGGTGAATAAACAGAGGCTCAGAGAGGTTAAGGAAATTACCCAAGTTCATCAGGTTAGTAGGTGGCAGAAATGGAATTCAGCCTAGGATGTCTTGCTGTAAGGGCTGAGCTATTTTCCACTACTATGCTATCTTATTGTTTTTTTTTTTAACTTGCCTTTTAAATAGAAATAGAAGGAAACTGAGAAAAAAACAGATGAGAAAAAAAACAGATGAGAAAGTCGCTCCTTGGGCAAAATGGTTAGTTGGTTTTGTTCCATGTAAAGATCTACTTCTGATGTGTTCTCTTTGTGCTTTTAGAGATAAGAGTCTTACAATGGTATGAACAAATTAATCATGCCTGTGCCCAAACTATGAGCCAGTCCAAGAACAAAAGCAGTATGATTGTCTCCTCGTCTGTCTGTAATGCTGGCAGGATGATCTGCCCAATCCATACTTCATAGAGTACTGAAAAGCTCTCCTGAGACTTAGCACGAAAGCAGAGCTTTGTCGATTACCAAGTTCCAGACTTATTGCTATCATCACTATTTTTTCATAAAGTCTGGCCTTCATAAAGATGCAATGAGAAAGGCAGCCAGAATTTCTTCACAACTTTAAAGTGAAGGAAATCATTAAATTGTTTCCTTTAGGCAAGTGGTCCTAATTGATCAGGACTCAAAACATACAGCCTGGATTTTTTCAGTTGATCAAATATGCAAGTAATTAATTTTTCTTTATCTTAGAGCCAAAATAACTAGAATAGGGTTGAACAGAAAAATTCAGTGGTTCTGAGTTACTTGACAAGCCACAGTCCTCCATGAGAATTGGAGAGTCTGTGAGCAGGATCTTGACTTACTCTTTAGGACCGTACCTCAGTCCCAGCAAATCTTTCCTCTGTAGGATCTTGGGTAGAATCCACATATGAGACACATCATATGTTTAACAGGTGTGGGTCCTGGGAGCCAAGGAAGGGTATGGAAGGATACCGCCTGTCTCTGTGAGATACAGAATAAAGAAAAAGGAAGTTGAACAGGAGACAGAGAGAAGAGAATTCTAAGTTGTGGGTGGAGAGAAGGAGCCCTATTCAAAGGGAAAATTTGGAATCCAGGAGAAATAAAACCAAGCTAGGGGTTTTCAAATAATCCAGAGAAACTCCATGGAAATTGATTGAGGCAGTGAAGACTGGTGTAGTGGGTTGGATAATGGCCCCCAAAAGTTCATGTTCATCTGGAATCTCAGAATATGACCTTATTTGGAAATAGGTCTTTGCAGATGCAATTAGTTAAGGATGAAGATGAGAGGGTACTGTATTGCGATTGGCCCTAAATTCATGATTGGTATCCATAGATTAGAGAACACAGAGAAGCACACAGAGAAGGCCATGGGAAGATGGAGACAGAGAATGGAGGGGTGCAGCCACAAGCCAAGGAATGACAGGATTGCTCACAGCAACCAGAAGCTGGAAGGAGCAAAGAAAAACCTTTTCCTAGAGACTTCAGAGGGAGTATGGCCCGGCCGGCACCTTGATTTGGGACTTTAGGTCTAGAGGACTATAAAATAATAAATTTCAGTTGTCTTAAGCTACCAGGTTTATGGCTATTTAAAGAGAGAGCTTTTCACGGAAGCCAGCAGAGAACATAGGTGCCAGAAGCTCTTTAGACTCAGAGTGTGTTCAGGCATCATACTGGCCAGAAAGAAGACTGCAGGAGGAACAGAAGGATTGAAGGACTTGATTGGAGAAGGACATCCACAAGTAATACGTTCTCCATATTCCCTGAAATGTCCTGGAGGACACTCTCAGACATAGGTAGACTCAAGGAAGTTAGAACTTGAAGATGTTTTATGATGGTTTTACCTGCTGTGTTTTCACATTAAGTACCCCACCAGAAAATGAGAAGAGACCTACCATGAGCCATACATAGCTTGACCACAATGTCAGGAAGGGATCATGGTTGAAGAATTTTAGCAACTCTTTGTTTTGAAATAAGTTGAAGTTATTAAACCCACTGACACTAAATTTTGACATTTCCTGACCAGAATGCAATGATCAAAACTGGAATTTAACAGTGACACAATCCTTACCTAATCCATTGTCCATATTTAAATTTTGTGAGTCTTCCAAATAATTTCATCTGTAACTAGTTTTCTTCTGGTCCAGGGTAGAATCCAGCATCATGTATTGCATTTGGCTCTCCCATCCCCTGGGTCTCCTTAATTCCAAAATAATTATTCAGCCTTTTCTACGTTTTATTGACCTTTATAGTTTTGAAGAATATGGGCTGTTACCTTGTGGTATGCCCTTCAACTTGGGGTTCTCAGCTATTTCTTCATGGTTAGATTCAGGTTATGCATTATTGGCAGAAAATCATAGAAATAATGTTGTGTTCTTTTCAGTGCATCATATCAGGAGGTACATGATGTCAGCTTGTCCTAATATTTTTATGTTAACTTTTATCATTTTATCATTTGATTAAAAGGGTGTTCACTCTGTATCTCCCTGTTAAATTACTATGTTCCTCTATGCTTAGAAATCTAGAAGAAATTTCCCATCATGTGCAGAAATACGAACTACACACAGCAGATTTTCAACTTCTACAAGAAGATGGCAGAAGACATGAACAATGAATTGGAAAGAATCACTTCCTTTTACCAAAAGGAGATTCTCTTCTATGAGGAAGAGCTCAAGAAAGCTGGGCAGCAGTTCTGCTGACTGAGATAAAGCTCCATGAGCTAAAACAACAAAATGATGGCAACAGGCAAATCATGGCTGATGTGGAGTTCAAGTTCCAGCCTTTCCCAAGCAGCCCCTTTGCTCCTGCTGCTCCAGGCGCAGCTCACAGAGGAGTGGAAGTACTAGGGGCCCCCTGGGTCATCAGGTTCCCAGCAAGGAAGAGGCAGGTGCTGTGAGGCTCAGGGATCCAGGGGTACCTGCAGGTTTCACTCAGAGTTTATGATTTGTTTGTTTTCGTCCTTAAAAGTAATTTTCATTTATCTTCTAGTTAAGCTACTGTTATTTAATTGATGTGCAATTTCTCTTTCTGAAGTTTTATAGTACTATAATTTCTAAAATTGTATTTTTAAATATACATTTATTTAAAATAGCTCTTATGAATACATTATTTCAAAATCATTGGACCCTCTAAAATTATATGCATAAGTATTATATTTTGATTTAAATAACAGGTCCACTATGATTTAAACTGTCATCAAAATTGGACATGAATAGAAACATGGAAAACAATAAAGTTCACTTCTGTAAGCTATTATTATAAATCTGTACAAATAATGTAATATTTAGCTGAATAAATTTTGACTGGTTTTTAAAAAACAATGCCAAAAAATACTAGACAACAACAACACACCATTGAAACTTCATACTATTTTTATTAGATTAGTTCTAAGTTCAATTTAAGACAAATTTAGAGGAGTTGAAATTTTACAACAGTTTGTTTCTTGTCTTGTTTTTTTGAACCTTTGATGTTTTTTAAAAGATATTGTTTGTTCTCTAAATGTTTCCAAATGTTAGCAGCCAAAATAAAGGTTTTCCTTCGATGGCAAACCCACACACACATATTCTCACACAGGCATACACACGGGGACAGCTTGAAGGTGACACACAGTGACACGGGAGCATGGCTCTGCACAGAAAGGGATCCCATAACCAGACTCAGCAGAGAACACCCTGACAGGAAGCGGAGGGTGTGCTGACTGTGAAGAGCTGAGGCAGAGGCTGGTGCAGGGGTACGGTGTTTCTGTCTGGAGCCCAGGAAGCAGGAAGGAGCAGGTCCACATCAGGGCACACAGGGGTGCATCCGCAGGGAACCCCTGCACAATCTGCATGTTAACCCCAACTTGGGTCCATGTGAGCTGTCTGCTAAAAAGGTATGAATTGCATACACAGTACTTGTATTAACAAAATCAAAAATATTTAAAGTACATATAAGAAAAGACAACATGGAAGAAGAGAGAGCAGAGTACAGGACAGAGGGAAGGAGGTGGAGAGGAGGGGAGGAAAGAAGAGGAGAGAGGAGTGGAGGAGGAGAGAGGAGGGGAGGGCAGAGGGGAGGGGAGAGGAGAGGGGAAGAGAGGAGGGGAGGAGGGGAGAGGGGAGAGTAGAGAGGAGGGGAGGAGGGGAGGAGGGAAGAAGAGGGGAGGAGGGGAGAGGAGGGGAGAGGAGGGAAGAGGAGAGGGGGGAGAGGGGATGGGGAGAGGAGGGGAGGAGTGGAGGGAAGAAGAGGGGAGGAGGGAAGAGGAGAGGAGGGGAGGAAGGGAGAGAAGGGGAGAGAAGGAGGAGGAGGGGAAAGGAGGGGAGAGGAGGGGAGAGAAGGGGAGACGAGGGGAAAGGAGGCAAAAAGGGAAGGAGGGAGGAGGAGAGGAAGGTAGGAGTGGGGAGGGGAGGGAGGAAGGGAGGAGAGGAGAAAAGAGGAGGGGAGAGGAGAGAAGAGGGGAGGCGAGAAGGGAAGGGAGGAGATGAGAAGAGAGAGAAGGGAAGAAGAGAGGAGAGAGGAGGAAAGAGGAGAGAAGTGGAGAGGAGAAGCCAGGAGAGGGGAGTAGAGGGGAGAGGAAGGGAGAGGAGAAGGGAGAAGGGAGGAGAAGGGAGATGCGAGAAGCTCAGGGAGCAGCTCCTCTTTGCTTCTTCAAATTCTGCTTTCAAAGGAGGGAGTGAGTACGTGTCCTTTGAGATTTTTGTGGATTCCTCTCTACATGTGTGCTTTTGCATCTTCCTATTTCACTCAGCAAAATATCCTGGATCTTCCTCGGGTCCCTGGTTGTAACTCTGTTTCACTCATTTTAGTGCCAGGTTGGTGTTCTAGGCATTACTGTCGTTTCTTCAACACATTTTGATCCTTTTAAAAGACCAACCAGTTGCCCTTGCAGAGTTGGGGTCCTGCGGCCCTGCAAGGGATCTGACTTCTCCTGGGAGGGCCACTTCCACTGCCCCTCTATGTCCTGTGAGGGTCTGGAACCCCAACACCCTTAGGACCCCAGACTGGCCCCAGCTGCCAGTTCGCTCGCTTCTCTCTCAGATCGAGATTCTGAGACTAATTGCTCCCGGCAGAGTCCAGGGCTGCACGAGGAGGCTCTGAGCCTGACTCTGCCGGGGAAGAGGTTTAGTGGAATCCAGGCTGAGAAGGACCTGCCCCTCTGCAGATGCATGCAGACTTCTGAAGATGACTCAGTGGATTGGAGACTGTCCCCAGGGCCACCTTGGGAGGCATGTACCAAAGATAGCAGGGCCACACAAGGGAAAGAGCCAGGGTCAACCTGACACCCTCGAAGCAGAGTCCCGCTCACTCAGGACACTTGGATGGAACAGGGACAAACCTGCTTTACAGAATAGCCGTGACATTTTAGACCCCGTCAGTTCCACTTATTTCTCCTGGGTTCTTACATTGCAAATCCAGGTCTCTCAGCTTGTACCTTTGGGGAGACCTTTCAGTCCTCTCCCCATCTCCCTCTCCGTTGACTAAACCCAAAGGAGAGAGGGGGCCTCAGAGGAGGATCCCTGGGACCTTGGTGGGCAGGACCCAGCTTCCCTGTGCGGAAGGAAACTTGAAATCAGGAAACTGAGCCTCACCCAGGGATGGGCCCCACCACTGTCCCCTGAGAGGCCCTTGTGGACAGGAAGGGACAGGGCATGGACCCACTTGGACCCTCTGGTTTGCTGTGGGGCCAGCTGGGCCTGGTGTGGCCGAGCTCCACCGTGTCATCAGCCATTTCCAGGTCCCTCATGGCCTGGGCGGAGACTATCACCTCTCTCTGCACAGTTAGCAGAACAAAGTCAGGGATGCTGTTTCTACAACCTGGCTGGCTCCCCTCCCCCAGCACAACTGATCTTCTATCCTGGTTGCCAGGCACTTGTGAGCATTAGAGACAGAACACTCCGCAGGGTTCCGAGTAGGCAGCTGTGGCCCACAGGCCACTGGCAAGCAAAGGCAGAGCCACAGAGGGGCTGCTGGTCCCCAAATGTCTCTCCAGCTGCTCTGGAGCTGCTGGGGCTACAGAGCTGGTGAAGGCTGAGATCATGAGATAAACCCCAGGGCTCCCTGGGAGATCCTGGTTTGTACTGCTGTGTGGTCTTAATTATTAAGAAACAAGGCACTTTATGAAGAGGAAAAGAGCTGAACAAAAGGTGTTCTCTTCAGGAGGTCCATGTAGAAGGCAGGCAGAACACTGGGCTAAAGACACAGACCCAGGAAGCCCTCAAGTTGCCACAGACCTTAAATATTACAATCCCCCTGCTTGTCAATCATTAATACAAATCTGAGCAGGTCTTCCCTGCAGGACACAGGCGGCTTTCTGGAAAAAGCATGGAAAAGTGAGTCTCCTAAATGTTCTCAAGTGACTGATTCAGGACACATCTTAAAAGGATCAAAGAAGGATGGAGAAAAACTTCAGAAGGAAATAACAGTTTGAATGAAAACACTCATTTAGCAGAAAGTCCAGAAGTGCTCGACCAAGAAATTGCAAGATGGAAGCAGACAGTACAGGAAAGGAAGGAGAGAAAGAAAAGCTGGAAACCTTTGAATGCACAAATAAAACAGGTCATGAAAGATACCATGAGCCAATTAAAATCTATGGCTGAAAACCTGCTGGACACCATGCAGTTGGGAGATTTCTCTAGGGACCACAGTGACGAGGACTCGAAAGTACAGCTAAAGAGGAAAGCAGAAAATGAAGACTGCCTGCCCCAGCCCCTCCCGCCCAACTATCAGTCAGAAGGCCATCTGAAGAGCGTCCTGGGTGATGGTGACTTAAATGTGTTCTGTGAAAGTCAAGAAAAATCAA
This sequence comes from Homo sapiens, assembly GCF_000001405.40. NCBI lineage: Eukaryota > Metazoa > Chordata > Mammalia > Primates > Hominidae > Homo > Homo sapiens. The sequence goes on along the minus strand of NC_000021.9, from coordinate 38,205,219 downwards.
GAAATAGCTTGACAATTGTGGGAAAAAAAATCAATGAATGAAGAGCTCACAGGACAAATCAAACATCTCCAAACTGAGAAAGCGTCTTTGCAGTTTGAAAATTCCCAACTTGCAGGTGGGATCCAGAACCTGCAGCTGAAGCTTCAAATCCTACCTGAATCACATCAAGAACACATAGCGCAACTTCAGAGAAGATCACCTGCGGTGGAAACACACAGGTTAGAAATGAAGAAGAAACTTCTGAGCGTGTGTAGAAATGTGAATACACACAGCAGATTCACAGCCTCTACAAGGAGATGGCTGAAAATATCAGCAAAGAATTGGAAAGAATCACTTCCTTCTATCAGAAGGAGATTCTTGCCTGTGTGGAAAGAGCTCAGGAAAGCTGGAGGGCAGTTCTGTCCACTGAGAGAAAGCTCCGGGAGCTAAGAAAAGAAGATGATTGCAGTAGGCAGATCCTGGCTGACATGGAGTTCAAGTTCCTGCCTTTTACTAGGGGTTCTTTGCTCCTGCTGCTTCAGGTACAGCCAACAGAGGCCCACAAGGACCAGGGGTCCCCTGAGTCATCAGGTTCCCAGCAAGGAGAAGTGAGGTGCTGTGAGGCTTAGGGATTCAGGGCCAGCAGGTTTCACTCAGCTCTCCCAGCAGCAGGGCCCTCAACACCCACAGTCACAGTGAGACACAGCAGCCTGGGCTATCTCTTTAAAGTTATCTTGATTTATCTCTTTTTAGTTTAGCTACTGTTATTTAGCTGCTCTTATTCAAATAGATATAGCATTATAATTTCTGTTTCTGTTTTTCAAGGAAAATTTTATTTCATTCAATTCTTATGACTTTTATTTCCATGTCTTTGGACCCCCCCTAGAATTATATAGTATAAATATTGTGTTTTAATTTAAAGGAAAGATTCACTATTACTGAAGCCATAATTGAAGTTTAACACAGAGATATCTGAAGCAATAAAGGCCATTTTCTGTATGCTATGAACTGTTATTAGAAATTTGCATAAGTAACTTAATATTTACCTGAAGAAATTTCGACTGGTTTTATACAACAATAAAAAATCTTCAACAAAACCACCACTCAAACTTTTAAAATTTGTTTTATGAATTTAGCCCTCGATTCATAGATTTATTTACAGGAGCTGACATTTTGCAATAATTTGTTTTCTGTTTTATCATTTTTAAAACCTTTGTTATCGGGGAGATCATGGTGGACGGGAGACAGGACTAGATTGCAGCTCCCACTCGGATGGACAGAGCAGCCTGTGGAGGCTTGAATTGTGAACTTTTGCTCCACAATGACCGCAGGAATACATTAGGAAAGCCAAGAGAACCCACAGAACCTCTGAAGAAAACAAATTGCTCCTGCAGGACCCAGGAGACACCCCAAATACTGTGAGTGCCCAAACTGTGGAAGTGAAAAAGGGAGATCGTCCACCCCCAAACACAGACCCCCACTGGGGAGCCTGAAGGTCTAGATTATGGGAGAAGATTCTGACCTTACCTGGAGGTGAGTCAATTTAGGCAGCCAAGCGAAATACAGGGGTAGAGGAAGCAGCAGGAAAAGCTCTGTGGACTCACTAGATCCCCTAGCAAGCCATTTCTGCCTTGCCTCACAGGGGTCCTTGAGGAGGGCTGCCAGAGGCACTGGCAAAAGACCACAGGGAGAAGGAAACCTCCAGCTGAACTTTGTAACAATTCCAACGGAATGAGAAGTCTCCTGGCCAGATTCAGGGGAGGGCATGAAACCAGTGTGCAGACTCCACCGGTGGGGGAAGAACGAAAGCCCCACTTGCTTTTGCAGCTGGGAGGTGGGTAGCCTGGGGCAAGTTCTCAGCCCTGCTCGCCCGCTGCCTGGAAACAGACTCAGTGCTGTTGCGGGGAGGCATGGTGGGAGTGAGACTGGCCCTTTGGGGTGCATGGGAGCTGGGTGAGGCCTGTGACTGTTGGCTTTCCCCCACTTTCCTAAAAACCTGCGTGACACAGTAGAGGCAGCCATAATCCTCCCAGGAACATAACTCCATTGACCTGGGAACCACTCCCCCATCCCCCACAGCAGCCACAGCAAGCCTTGCCCAAGGAGAGTCTGAGCTCAGACATGCCTAGCCCTGCCCCCACCTAATGGTTCTTCCCTACCCATGCTGGTAACTGAAGACAAAAGGCATATACTCCTGGGAGTTCTAGGGCCCTGCCCACTGCCTGTTCCTCTCCATACTACCACAGCTGATGATCTCTGAAAAGTGTCACCTCCCAGCAGGAGGCCAACCAGCACCAAAATAGTGGATTAATCACAGCTAAGAACCTTCACAGAGTCCATTTCACCCCTCTGCTACCTCCACTGTGGAGCAGGTGCTAGTATCCATGACTGAGAGACCCACAGATTGTTCACATCACAGGATTCTGTGCAGACAATCCCCAGTACCAATCCGGAGCCTGGTAGACTTGCTGGGTGGCTAGATCCAGAAGAGAGATAACAATCACTACAGCTTGGCCCTCAGGAAGCCACATCCCTAGGAAAATAGGGAGAGTATTACATCAAGGAAACACCCCGTGGGACAAAAGAACCTGAACAACAGCCTTGAGCCCCAGACCTTCCCTCTGACAGAGCCTACCCAAATGAGAAGGAACCAGAGAAAGCCATCTCTGGTAATATGACAGAACAAGGTTTTTTAACAACCCCAAAAAATCACACTAGCTCACCAGCAATGCATCCAAACCAAGAAGAAATCCCTGATTTACCTGAAAAAGAATCCAAAAGATTAGTTAGTTATTAAGCTAATCAGGGAGGCACCAGACAAAAGAAAAATCCAATGCAAGGAAAAAAAAAAAGATACGAGAAGGGAGAAATATTCAATGAAATAGATAGCATAAATAAAAAACAATCAAAATTTCAGGAAACAATGGACACACTTATAGAAATGCAAAATGCTCTGGAAAGTCTCAGCAATAGAATCAAGCAGAAGAAAGAACTTCAGAGCTTGAACACAAAGTTTTCAAATTTACCCAATCCAACAAAGACAAAGAAAAAAGAATAAGAAAATATGAATGACGCCTCCAAGAAGTCTAGGATTATGTAAAACAACCAAATCTAAGAATAATTGGCATTCCTGAGGAAGAATATAAATCTAAAAGTTTGGAAAATATATTTGGGGGAATAATCAAGAAAAACTTCCCTGGCCTTGCTAGAGACCTAGACATCCAAATACAAGAAGCTGAAAGAACACCTAAGAAATTAATCACAAAAAGATCATCACCTAGTCACATTGTCAACATGTTATCTAAAGTTAAGATGAAGGAAAGAATCTTAAGAGCTGTGAGGCACAAATACCAGGTAACCTATTGCATTAGTCAGGGTTCTCTAGAGGGACAGAACTAATAGGAGATAGATAGATAGATAGGTAGATAGCTAGATAGATAGCTAGCTAGATAGATAGATAGATAGATAGCTAGCTAGCTAGCTAGATAGATAGATAGATAGATAGATAGACAGCTAGCTAGCTAGCTAGCTACATAGATAGATAGATAGACAGCTAGCTAGCTAGCTAGCTAGCTAGATAGATAGATAGATAGATAGATAGATAGATAGACAGATAGCTAGCTAGCTAGCTAGATAGATAGATGATAGACAGATAGATATAGATATAGATATATAGATATATATGAGTATGGGAATTTATTCAGTAACATTAACTCACACAATCACAAGGTTCCACAATAGCCATCTATAAGCTGAGGAGCAAGGAAGCCAGTCCTAGTCCCAAAGCTGAAGAACTTGGAGTCTGATGTTCCAGGGCAGGAAGCATCCAGCACAGGAGAAAGATGGAGGCTGGGAGGCTAAGCCAGTGGAGGCTTTTTATGTTTTTCTGTCTGCTTTATATTCTAGCTGCACTGGCAGCTGATTAGATGGTACTCATCCAGATTAAGGGTGGGTCTACCTTTCCCAGCCCACTAACTCAAATGTTAATCTCCTTTGGCAACACCCTCACAGACACACCCAGGATCAAAACTTTGCATCCTTCAACCCAATCAAGTTGTCACTCTGTATTAACGATCACATTAACAGCAGATTTCTCAGCAGAAACCCTACAAGCTAGAAGGGATTGGGGCCCTATCTTCAGCCTCCTCAAACAAAACAATTATCAGCCAGGAATTTTGTATCTAGTGAAACTAAGCTTCATAAATGAAGGAAAGATACAGTCTTTTTCAGACAAACAAATGCTGAGAGAATTTGCCACTATCAAGCTAGCACTACAAGAACTGTTCAAAGGAGCTCTAAATCTTGAAACAAATCTTGGAAACACATCAAAACAGAACTTTCTTAAAGCGTAAATCTCAAAGGACCTATGAAACAAAAATACAATTAAAAAAAACACATACACAGAAAACCAAGTTATGCATGCACAAACAACCTGATGAATGGAATGGTACCACACATCTCAATACTAACGTTAAATGTAAATGGCCTAAATGCTCCACTTATAAGATACAGAATTGCAGAATGGATAAGAATTCACCAACCATCTGCTGCCTTCAAGAGATACACCTAACACATAGGACTCACATAAACTTAAGTTAAAGGGGTGGAAAAAGACATTCCATGCAAATGGGCACCAAAGGCAAGCAGGAGTAGCTATTCTTATGTCAGACAAAACAAACTTTAAAGCAACAGCAGTTAAAAAAGACAAAGAGGGATATTATATAATGGTAAAAGACCTTGTCCAACAGAAAAATATCACAGTTCTAAATATATATGCACCTAACACTGGAGCTCCCAAATTTATAAAACAATTACTAATAGACCTAAGAAATGATATAGACAGCAACACAATAATAGTAGGGGACTTCAATATTCCACTGACAGCACTAGACAGGTCACCAAGACAGAAGGTCAGCAAATAAACAATGATTATTTACAGAATATTCTACCCAACAACTGCAGGATATATATTATATTTAACAGCGCATGGAATCTTCTCCAAGATGGACCATATGATAGGCCACAAAATGGGCCTTAATAAATATAAGATAATTGAAATTATATCAATCACTCTCTCAGACCACAGTGGAATAAAACTGGAAATCAACTCCAAAAGGAACCTTCAAAACCATGCAAATACATGGAAATTAAATAATCTGCTCCTGAGTGACCATTGGGTCAAAAATGAAATCAAGGTGGAAATTTAAAAAGTCTTCTAACTGAATGACAATAGTGACACAACCTACTAAAGCCTCTGGGATACAGCAAAGGCAGTGCTAAGAGGAAAGTTCATAGCCCCAAATGCCTGCATCAAAAAGTCTGAAAGAGCACAAACAAACAATCTGGTCACATCTCAAGGAACTAGGGAAATAAGAACAAACCAAACCCAAACCCAGCAGAGGAAAGGAAATAACCAAGACCAGAGCAGAACTAAATAGAATTGAAACAAACAAACAAACACAAAATAGAAAAGATAAATGAAACAAAAAGCTGGTTTTTTGAAAAGATAAAATAAAATTGATAGACCATTAGCAAGATCAACCAAGAAAAGAAGAGAGAAAATCCAAATAAACCCAATTAGAAATGAAATGGGAGATATTACAGCTGACACCACAGAAATACAAAAGATCATTCAAGGCTACTATGAACACCTTTATACACATAAACTAGAAAACTTAGAGGAGATGGATAAATTCCTGGAAAGATACAACCTTCCTAGCTTAAATCAGGAATAATTAGATACCTTGAAGAGACCAATAACAAGCAGTGAAATTGAAATGGTAATTTAAAAATTACCAAAAACAAAAAGTCCAGGACTGATGGATTCATAGCAGAATTCTACCAGACATTCAAAGAATTGGTACCAATCTTATTGACACTATTCCACAATATAGAGAAAGAGGAAACCCTCCCTAAATTATTCTATGAAGCTGATATCACCCTATTACCAAAACCAGGAAAGGACATAACCAAAAAAGAAAACTACAGACCAATATTCCTGATGAACATAGATGCTAAAATCCTTAGCAAAATACTAGTGAACCGAATCCAACAACATATCAAAAAAAAAAAAAAAATCCACCATGATCAAGTGGGTTGTATACCAGGCATGTAGGGATGGTTTAACATATGCAAGTCAATAAATGTGAACATCACATAAACAGAATCAAAAACAAAAATCACATGATTATCTTAATACATGCAGAAAAAGCATTAGACAAAATCCAACATCTTTTTATGATTAAAACTCTCAGAAAAATTGGCATACAAGGGACATACCTCAATGTAATAAAAGCCATCTCTGACAAACCCACAATTAACATAATACTGAAAGGGAAAAAGTTGAAAGCATTCCCTCTGAGAACTGGAACAAGACAAGGATGCTCACTCTCACTCCTCTTCAACATAGTACTGGAAGTTCTAGACAGAGCAATTAGACAAGAGAAAGAAATAAAGGGCATCCAAATGGGTAAAGAGGAAGGAGGAAGTCAAACTGTTGCTGTTTGCTTATGATATGATTGTTTACCTAGAAAACTCTAAAGACTCCTCCAGAATGCTCCTAGAACTGACAAAAGCATTCAGCAAAGTTTCCAGATACAAAATTAATGTACAGAAATCAGTAGGTCTTCTATACACCAACAGTAACCAAGGTGAGAATAAAATCAAGAACTCAACCCCTTTTACAATAGCTGCAAAAAAGTAAAATACTTAGGAATATACCTACCCAAGGAGGTAAAAGACTTCTACAAGGGAAACTACAAAATACTGCTGAAAAAAATCATAGATGACATAAACAAATGGAAACACATCTAATGCTCATGGATGAGTAGAATCAATATTGGAAAAATGACCATACTGCCAAAAGCAATCTACAAATTTAACACAATTCCCATCAAAATACCACCATCATTCTTCAAAGAATTACAAAAAAAAACCCTAAAATTAATATGGAACCAAAAAAGAGCCCACATAGCCAAAGCAAGACTAAGCAAAAAGAATAAATCTGGAGGCATCACATTACCTGATTTCAAAACATAGTGTAAGGTCATAGTCACCAAAACAGCATGATACTGGTATAAAAATAGGCACATAGAGCAATGGAACAGAATAGAGAAACCAGAAATAAACCCAAATACTTACAGCCAACTAATCTTCAACAAAGGAAACAAAAACATAAAGCGGGGAAAAGACACTTTATTTAACAAATGGTGCTGGGATAACTGGCTAGCTGCATGTAGGATAATGAAACTGGATCAAACTGGATCCTCATCTCTCATCTTATACAAAAATCAGCTCAAGATGGATCAAGGACTTAAATCTAAGACCTGAAACTATAAAAATTCTGGAAGATGGTATTGGAAAACCCCATCTAGACATTGGCTTAGGCAAGGATTTCATGATCGAGAACCCAAAAGCAAATGCAATAAAAACAAAGATAAACAGCTGGGACTTAATTAAACTAAAGAGCTTTTGTACACAAAAGGAACAGACAGTAGAGTAAACAGACAACCCACAGAGTGGGAGAAAAATCTTCATAATCTATACATATGACAAAGGACTAATATCTAAAATGTACCATGAACTCAAACAAATTATCAAGAAAAAAACACAATCTCATCAAAAAGTGGGCTAAGGACATGAATAGACAATTCTCAAAAGAAGATGTACAAATGGCCAACAAACATATGGAAAAATTCTCAACATTACTAATGGTCAGGGCAATGCAAATCAAAACCACAATGTTATACCACCTTACTCCTGCAAGAATGACCATAATCAAAATATCAAAAAATAATAGATGTTGGCATGGATGTGGTGAACAGGGAACACTTCTACATTGCTGGTGGGAATGTAAACTAGTACAACTACTATAGAAAACAGTGTGGAGATTTCTTAAAGAACTAAGAGTAGAACTATCATTCGATCCAGCAATCCCACACTGGGTATCTACCCGCAGGAAAATAAGTTATTATATGAAAAAGATACTTGCACATGCATGTGTATAGCAGCACAATTCGCAATTGCAAAAATGTGGAACCCCAACCCAAATGCTCATAAATCAATGGGTGAATAAAGAAACTGTGATATATGTATATGTGTGTGTGTGTTTGTGTATAATAATTAATGGTATTCACAATGACCTGGATGAGATTGGAGACTATTATTCTAAGTGAAGGAGCTCAGGAATGGAAAACCAAACATCGTATGTTTCACTCATAAGTGGGAGCTAAGTTGTGAGGATGTGAAGGCGTAAGAATGACACAATGGACTTTGGGGAATTGGGGGGAAAGGGTGGGAAGGGGTGAGGGATAAAAGACCACAAATTGGGTGCTCGGGCGATGGGCGCACCAAAATCTCACAAATTACCACTAAAGAACTTACTCATGTAACCAAATACCATCTGTTGCCCAATAATCTATGGAAATAAAAAAAAACCTATGGAAATAACCTATGGAAATAAAAATATATAAATATATTAATAAATATATATAAAATTTATAAATTATATAAATAATTAAATTCAATTTAAATTAAAAATTAAAAAAAATAAAACCTTTGTTATGATGTTTAAGATAGTGTTTGTTGTTTAAATTTATGTAAATTTTATTCAAAGAAGTTTTCCCCTGATGGCAAACACACAGAAACCACAATGCAGATACAAGCAACTTTTAGTTGTTATTTCAGCACCTGAGGAAAATGTAAAATTAAGAGGGACAGATTGTTTTAACATTGTTTAAATAAATAAAAGGGAGAAAAGAAAAATATGTACACACACATTTTGTACTTACACAAAAGTTTCCTAAATTATATACACATAAAAGGAGAGTTGCTCAATGTATGGGATAAGAATACACTAAGAAACAGTTCATCCCAAATTGTGCAGAGGAAGAGCCTTTGATGACAGAAGTTTCCTGAGCTGTGGGCAGGGATAAGGGCCCAGACAAGGGAAGGGGAGGCTCCCAGATGACAGCAATAGGGGGAAGTTGTTCCCACCCCCAGGTTTCAAGGAAGGAGAGAGGAAGTGCTATTGTCTGGGCCCAGTGAGGCTCTGTCACGGGAAAAGGGGAAACTGCCTCTACTTTCTGCTCTCGTCCTCCCATTGGCTGCTGTTGTATGGGCAGTCTCCTGCAAGGGGGCCTGGGCAGTGCAGGCCAGAGTCAGTCTCCTGGGCATAGAGCAGGCAAAGAATGAATCTGGAGAATGGCCAGCACTCGGGTTTATTTGACTGAAAGTGCGTGTTTCATTGCATTCATTCACATTCATTTGTGTACCTCATAGTGTTGTGAAGATTAACTGAGTAAAACATGTAAAATTAGAGAATGGTGTCTGGCATTTAAGAAGTGCTTAAAAATACCACCTCTTACAGTTGTTTGTGTGTGTGTGTAATAAAATGTCCCTGACAATTTGAACATCCTGAAATGAACTATTCAAAGCACTGCCCCTAATGGGCATCTGCTTATCCAACAGAGTCTGAAGCCTCACACCAAAGACAGAGGTAAGGAACTGCTCAGGGAACAGAAGGAATGTGCACTGACAGCTGGTGCCCACTCCTAAAACTGTGCTGCACTGAAGACTGCAGGTCATTTCCCAAATCAGGGCTTCAGGGTCTTGCCGCCTACCATTCTCCTATGGGTACCCATCAAACATAGGATGACTAAGGCTATGGGAAGGCTTTTGTCAGGGTACATGTGACCTGGGAGGGAGGGGAGAGCACAGAGAGGAGCCTACGCATGAAAGACAGGACACAGATGGAAGGTGGCCTTCCCCTGTTGACTCTTTGCTGGGTTACATCCCAACACAGCAAAGAAGGGACAAAGCGAAAGACTATGAAGAGCTTAATTGTGTCCCCTCCAATATTCATGTAGAAAAGGGGCTGAATCCAAGCTGAAAGCCAAACCAGGAATGCAATCCCTTTCATAATTGCCACAAAAAGAATAAAATATCTAGGAATACAGCTAACTAGGGAGGTGAAGGATCTCTATGAGAATTACAAAACACTGCTCAAAAAATCAAAGATAACACAAACAAATGGAAAAACATTCCATGCTCATGGATAGGAAGACTCAATATCATTAAAATGGCCATACTGCCCAAAGCAATTTACAGATTCAAGGCTATTCCTATCAAACTACAAATGACATTCTTCACAGAATTAGAAAAAAACTGTTTTAAAATTTATACAAAACCAAAAAAAGAGCCCAAATAGCCAAGGCAACACTGAGCAAAAAGAATAAAGCTGGAGATATCTCATTACCCAACTTCAAACTATACTACTGGGCTATAGTAACCAAAACAGCATGGTAGTGGTACAAAAACAGACACATCGACCAATGGAACACAAAAGAGAGCCCAGAAATAAAGCCACATACCATCTGATCTTTGACAAATTTGCCAAGAACAAACAATGGGGAAAAAATTCCCCATGAATAAATGGTGCTGGAATAACTGGCTAGCCATATGCAGAAGATTGAACCTGGACCCCTTCTTTATACCATATACAAAAATTAACTCAAGATAGATTAAATACTTAAATGTAAAACCTAGAACTATTAAAAACTCTGGAACATAACCTAAGAAATACCATTCTAGACATAGGACCAGGCAAATATTTCAACAAAAAAACCCAAAAGCGGTAACATCAAAAACAAAAATTGATAAATGGATTCTAATTAAACTAGAGCTTCTTAGCAAAATAAACTATCAACAGAGTAAAAAAGATGACCCATAGAATGGGAGAAAATATTTGCAAACTATGCATCTGTATTAGTCTGTTCTCACATTGCTATAAAGAAATACCTGAGACTTGATAATTTACAGAGAAAAGAGGTTTAATTAGCTCATGTTTATGCAGGCTGTCCAGGAAGCATGAAGCTGACATCTGCTTGGCTTTTGGATAGTCCTCAGGAAACTTACAATTATGGTGGAAGCTGAAGGGTGAGTAGGCATATCATATGGCAAAAGCAGGAGCATGAGTGGGAGGTGCCATACACTTTTAAATGACCAGATCTCATGAGAACTCACTCACTATTGTGAGAACAGTACCAACAAGATGATACTAAACCATTCATGAGAAATTCATTCTGATGATCTGATTACCTCCCACCAGGTCCCACCTCCAACACTGGGGATTAGATTTCAATATGAAATTTGGGCAGGGACACACATCCAACAAAAGTCTAACATCCAGAAGCTATAAGAAACTTAAACAAATTTACAAGAAAAAAAAAACCACATTAAAAAGTGGGCAAAGGACATGAACAGATATTTTTCAAAAGAAGACACATATGTGGCCAACAAGCATATGACAAAAAGTTCAATATCACTAATCATTAGAGAATGCAAATCAAAATTAGATGCCATCTCACACCAGTCAGAATGGCTATTATTAAAATGTCAAAAAATAACAGATTCTGGCGAGGTTGCAAAAAAAAAAAAAAAAAAGGAACCACTTATACACTGCTGGTGGGAGTGTAAATTAGTTCAGCCACTGTGGAAAGCAGTGTAGCGATTCCTGAAAGAACTTAAAACAGAATTACCATTCGACCCAGCAATCTCATTGCTGGGTATATGCCTAAAGGAATGTAAATTACTCTACCATAAAGACACATGCATGTGTATGTTCATTGCAGCACTATTCACAAGAGCAGAGACATGGAATCAACTTAAATGCACATCAGTGATAGACTGGATACAGAAAATGTGGTACATATACACCATGGAATACTACACAGCCATAACTAAGAAGGAGATCATGTCCTTTGCAGCAACATGGATGGAGCTAGAGGCCATAATTCTAAGTGAACTAATGCAGAAATAGAAAACCAAATGCTGCCTAGTCTTACTTATAAGGGGGAACTAAACAAGGAGAACACATGGATACTAGGAGAGGAGCAACACACACTGGGGCTGACTTGTGGGTGGAGGGTGGGAGGAGGAAGAGGATCAGGAAAGATAACCTATTGGGTACTATGCTTATTACCCAGGTGACAACATTATGTGTACACCAAACCCCTGTGACACACAGTTTACCTATATAACATATCTGCACATGTACCCCTGAACCTAAAATGAAAGTTAAAAAAAAAAAAAAAAAGGCTGCGCGTGGTGGCTCACGCCTGTAATCCTAGCACTTTGGGAGGCTGAGGCGGACGGATCTCCTGAGGTCAGGAGTTTGAGACCAGCCTGGCCAACATGGTGAAACCCTGTCTCTACTAAAAATACCCCCCCCTCAAAATAAAAAAATTAGCCGGATGCAGTGGTGCATACCTGTAGTCCCATCTACTCAGGAGGCTGAGGCTGGAGAATCACTTGAACCTTGGAGGCGGAGGTTGCAGTGAGCAGAGACTGCACCACTGCCCTCCAGCCTAGGTGACATAGTGGGACTCCATCTCTAAATAAATAAATAAATAAATAAAAATAAAAATAATTTTAAAAAAGAAAGAAAAGGGGTTACGTCCTAAGCCCCAGTACCTTAGAATGTGACTATGTTTGCAGACAAAGCCTTGAAAGAAGAAATTAAGGTAAATTGAGTTCATATGGGTAGGCCCTAATCCAATATGACCGCTGTCCTTATAGGAAGAGTAGATTAGGACACAGACACACACAGAGGGATGACCATGTGAGAACATATCAAAAAGACAGTCACTCACAAGCCAAGGAGAGAGGCCTCAGGAGAAACCAACCCTGCCAATACCTTTATCTCAGACTTCTAGTCTCCACTGTGAGAAAATAAATTTCTGTTGGTTATGCCACCCCATCTGTGGTATTTGTTACAGCAGCCCAAGCAAACTGATACGACTCCTCAGTATAATATTTTAAATGCACAAAATAAAATTCAGAGAATGATAAAGGAATCCATTTTTATTAAAATCCATATTAAGTTATAATTATGGAAGCATAATCTCTATGTTTCTTTATTAGCTCCTTAGTAAACTAGCCACAGGAAACTAACAGGGCCATGCCAATACACTTTAAAATACAAGCATTGCAAAACTTCAAAGTTGGACTTCAGTTAGCCTGATAAAAAGAAAAATGATGTCTAATTTCAACTCTCTATACTTTTAAGGAGATATGGCTAGTAAGAAAAACAACACAAAATAATTAAACCCCTCCTATTAGATATTCATTTTATAAGTAACCTTCTAGGGAAAGCCCTTGTATGAACAAATCCAAGCATTATGAACCTGATCAATGACACTGAATCATTGTTGAGTTCATTTTTGGAATCTAGGTAGAACACTGCAAGGTGCTAGATATAAACAGGTCCAGCTGTTGGTTGGTTCTAAATCAGCAGCAGGGAGGCACTGCTCTGACACAAGACAGGTAGGAGAAAAGGTGGGGAAAGCATGCAGGTTTCTTTGTTAGGAATGTGTTCAAAGGAGGGTTGGAGGTTCTTCCACTGACATTACCTCTGTGAGGCTCCTCTCCTCTTTCTGTAGTGAGAGCAGAGATGGCTGTAAGTCAAACCACCCCCAAAAGGCATTTGTATACCAGCCCATCCACCATGTTCATTAAGCACTTAGGGTGAGCAGAGTTACAGGTGTGCAGTGATGGAGGCTGGAGGTACAAGGACATTTTAGATGTGACTCCAGCCGTCCACGATGGTGTGATACAATTGGACGCAGTATCCATTGTGTGGACGAGTCAGAAAGCAACTGACTGTCTGAGAGCAGCAGAGGACCCAAATCTCCTTGGAGGAATAATTCCCTTCATTGAGGGGACCCACAGGGGAGCTACAATCCCACATCCCTGGCACCCTGTGGCTCATGGACATGGGGCCACTTGCCTGTTGCGGGGGTGACAGGTGATCTGTCACTGCTCTGTAAGGCCAGGCATGGGCTCACCAAGAGATGACCTCATCCCTTATGTTGCCCACCTCCTGGACAATCTGTGACACAGGCCAGCCTTTGGAGGGTGCTTCCTCCTGTCCGTCCCTCGCTGGGGGAGCAGGAAGGCTCTCGATTGCCACCCAGACACAGGAGTCAAGCACAGGGAGTGACATCAGCCTGGGGCATTGATCCCCTTGGTAGATGTCTCAACAAACATGTACCCATCAGAGACAGGGCCAGGGCATTAGGGGAAACTGCAGTCTCCTCAGCTTTGAATCAGTTATTGAGGAGGACTTCATCACAAATGCAGAATTACATTCTGAAATGTTCATTCTTTTCAACACAAAGCTTTAAAGGTATTACAATTTGAGTTCCAGTTAAGACATGACTCTGTAGTACCACTGTGGCATAAGGTTCAAGTCCAAAAGGACCCACGGTCTTTTTTTCTTTAATATTTTCTCTTCTATATTGAGATGTAACACTGTACCTTCTACGGTTAGGTGCTGCAATCTTCAGTGTACCATCCAATAACCTCTTACATATGTCTACAGGCTTGCAACCACCTGCCAGAACAACATCTAAGACATTCCCAGGCCCCAACAGGCTTCCCAACCTTCATTCTCTTTCAATATGAATCCCCAGTCCTAGAGGTAATTGCTATTCTGACTTCTAGTACCATGTGTTACTGAGCTTCAAATAGATGGAATCATACAACATGGACTCCTTGAGATCTGCTTTCTTCTGATTAACATTATGTCTGTGAAACATCCTTGCATGGGGCAACAGCTTATATTTTTTCATTGCCATATACTATTCCATTGTGCGCATACACCACAATTTATTTAGTTCATCATACTGTTGACAGACATTTATTGTTTTATGTTCGGGGCTATTATAAATAAAGGTGCTAGGACCTTTCTCATACATGTCTCTTGGTGGCCACAGTCCTCATATCTCTTGAGAATATGACCAGGAATTGCTGAGCCATGGAGACATAAATGTTTAGCTGTAGTAGATACTGCCAAACTGTTTTCCAAAATTGAACCAATTTCCACTTCAACCATCAGTGTATGAGAGCTCCCACTGTTCTCCACCATTGCCAACACTTGATGTTGTCAGTGTTTTTAATTTTTGCCATTCTAATGAGTGGATAATGGTATCTTACTGTGGGTTTAATTTGCATTTTTCTGTTGGCAATTAATGCTGGAGTGTTTTTTCATATGCCTATCAGTCACTTGGATAGCTTCTATTTCAGGGACAAGCAAATCATTTTCTAAGGGGCCTGATAGTAAATATCTTTGGCTTTGCGGGCCATATGGCCTCTGTCCTAACTATTCAGTTTTGCTGTTGCTGAGCAAAAGCAGCCATGGACAATGTGTGAATGAATAGGCTAGGCTGTGTTCCACCGAAATTTATTTATAAGAAACAGGCTGGGGCAGGGGGTGGATTTGGCTGCTGGAGACTTGATCAGTGGCCCATGCTATATTGTAATATGCCTGATCAAGATCAAGACTTCTGAACATTTTAAAATTAGGTTATCTTTTAAAATTGATTTTTACAAGTTATCTGTAAGTTTTGAATCCATTTTGTATTCTTTTTTTTTAATTTTTTTTTTATTATACTTTAAGTTTTAGGGTACATGTGCACATTGTGCAGGTTAGTTACATATGTATACATGTGCCATGCTGGTGCGCTGCACCCACTAACTCGTCATCTAGCATTAGGTATATCTCCCAATGCTATCCCTCCCCCCTCCCCCCACCCCACCACAGTCCCCAGAGTGTGATATTCCCCTTCCTGTGTCCATGTGATCTCATTGTTCAATTCCCACCTATGAGTGAGAATATGCGGTGTTTGGTTTTTTGTTCTTGCGATAGTTTACTGAGAATGATGATTTCCAATTTCATCCATGTCCCTACAAAGGACATGAACTCATCATTTTTTATGGCTGCATAGTATTCCATGGTGTATATGTGCTATGGAACAGAACAGAGCCCTCAGAAATAACGCCGCATATCTACAACTATCTGATCTTTGACAAACCTGACAAAAACAAGCAATGGGGAAAGGATTCCCTATTTAATAAATGGTGCTGGGAAAACTGGCTAGCCATATGTAGAAAGCTGAAACTGGATCCCTTCCTTACAACTTATACAAAAATCAATTCAAGATGGATTAAAGACTTAAATGTTAGACCTAAAACCATAAAAACCCTAGAAGGAAACTTAGGCATTACCATTCAGGACATAGGCATGGGCAAGGACTTCATGTCCAAAACACCAAAAGCAATGGCAACAAAAGACAAAATTGACAAATGGGATCTAATTAAACTAAAGAGCTTCTGCACAGCAAAAGAAACTACCATCAGAGTGAACAGGCAACCTACAAAATGGGAGAAAATTTTCGCAACCTACTCATCTGACAAAGGGCTAATATCCAGAATCTACAATGAACTCAAACAAATTTACAAGAAAAAAACAAACAACCCCATCAAAAAGTGGGCGAAGGACATGAACAGACACTTCTCAAAAGAAGACATTTATGCAGCCAAAAAACACATGAAAAAATGCTCATCATCACTGGCCATCAGAGAAATGCAAATCAAAACCATTTTGTATTCTTAATCATTTATAATTTTCTGAAAATTGAAGGAAACTGTGATTGTTATATTGGACCATTCCTATAGCTTTTGCTTTCAATATTTCTACCATGGGCCCCTAAGAGATGAGATCACTGTTGCCACAGGAGCTTCCTTCTGATAGGTGGGCCCAAGAAAGCTGTCTTCTGCCATTTTCTCCCCAGGGTGACCATGTGGCAGCCCAGCTTAGAAAACTCTGCCTCTGCATGTATCTCTTGAGGAGTCTTGCTGCCTAGGACAGGTTGGGTAAAAATGGTCCTGACTTGTTGGAATGGACACAGCTTCCAGAAAGAATATAATCTTAGTGTTCACAATGTATATGTCATTGGGAATTTTTTGAATTGAATGAAATCTTCCAGTCCAAAGATGGTCAAAATTGAAGGAGCTGGTAAAAACTCCTTTTACATTATTCAACAAATGCTTTTTAGGTTGCACATCAGCTGATAGTCTGATGGAGGAGAAATTGCCTCCTCAATTAGCTGGCTCACTACCAAAATGATTACTGTCTTTAGATTGCAAAACCTTTCTTCATATGTAAGCACCCCAAGGGAGCAAAAGCCATGTGCTATGGCATGCCAGGAGCTGTGGTGATTGCTTTGCTTGCTCATTTAAGCAAACATCACCTCATTTTGCAGCAAGGAAATTGAGGCTCAGAGTAGTTAAATAAGATGATGAAGATCAGAGATGAAATAATTGAACAAACCAAAAGTGCTTTAGTCCAAAGTCCACGATGTTCCCCACGAGGCCATACTGAGGTTTCTCCTTCATAGGAAGATGGGGCCGGAAAGGCTGTTGTTGGAAACATGGTTAAGGCCCCTCACTTGATGGATGAACCTCCAGGCCTAGAGGGAGTTTAAGGACTCATTACTCAGGGTTCCCTCAGCAAGCTAGCAGCAAAGCTTGGATGAGAACCTAGATTTCTACATCCAAAGTCTTCATTACCCCTTTTCTTTATTTAAATAATTTTGACTTTACTATATCAGCCATCATGCAAGTTAAATAAAAACAACATTTTTTAGTCTTTTTTTTTTTACCAGTATACCTAGTGTCTATCTATAATAGCAATGAACAATTGAGATGTTTCATTTGTTGAATAAATGAACCATAAGAAAATAAGTAACAAGTCATTCAATTATGTCCTGTGAAGAAGTTTTGATGCTCTTCCTGCCTATCACTCCCTCTCAAGTCTCTACTTAAGATGGAGAGGGTAGATCCTTTTGTAGTTCATAAGCGTGATGCTTGGGTGTTCACATGTGCATGTGTGAGATGTGCCTTCCTCAAACCTTGTTACAATGTGGGCACATTACCCGTCCAACATGGAAAAAAAGACAGCGAGGGTCCTTGGATACCCAACATCAGCCAGGACCCAAGTCCAAAAGGAAGCTCATATTATTAGACCATTTTTCCTTGTTCATTAAAAAGAATCGGTAACTATACAATAATTTGTTTCCTTTATAGATACTCTAATTAAAAAGAGACATATTAAAATATGGAAAATTCTGCTTGTTTCATCCTACTTGGCTTTAGAATGCCAATTATCCCTACCTTCAATTTAATCCATTTCCAAATATACAGCTTCTTAGAAATGTAGGGAAGCTGTTCTCTGCCTGCAAACATGAGATTGTCAACCTTCTATTGTTTATTATTGTACAATTGCAACATCACTTCTGAAGAAAGGACTTTCAGGACTGATAAATTTGGTCATGTCAGCATTTTGCTTCCTTATGCATTTTCTTATTTCATACCAAGCTTGGTTTATGGGAAGTTTGGGTTAACAGAGCTCTTAAGGGTAATTAGTGTCCAATAAGTGTCCCCTTAGGCCAAGGTTTCATGTCTGTGTGAGTTTTTCTGTGCTTGTTCTGTGGGAGTTTCCATAGCCTACCAGTGTCACCAAGAAGCTTCATCCAGACACAAAAGGAAGGTTACAACACTGCTTTTTGGGTGAAAAGGTCATGACATTGTCCTTTCCATAATCAGCCCTACTTGAAATGACTAACCCGGAGTGAAAGCCTCTCTACTAACATGCATTCATACCTGATTTATTTCTCCCAATTTTGCATTACAAAAATTTTCAAAAATACAGAAAAGGTAAAATAAAAGAATAACATAATAAACATTTTTATATTCACTACTTAGTTTCAACAACTGTTGACATTTTGCTGAGCCATTTGAAAGTGAGTTGCACTTTATCTAATATTTCTGCATGGGTCTCCTGAGAATAAACACATTCCAATACAAGCAAGGTAACATTATGACAGAGGATTTATCCATTTCATTTAGGTTGTTGAAGTTATTGGAATAAAGCAGCTCATAATATTTCCTATGATCCTTTTAAAGTCTATAGGATCTGTAGTGATGCTCCTCTTTTACTCCTAATGTGGTAATTTGTGTCTTCTTTCTTTTTTTCTGCATAAGTCTAGTGAGAGTTTTATC
Source organism: Homo sapiens (assembly GCF_000001405.40). Lineage (NCBI taxonomy): Eukaryota > Metazoa > Chordata > Mammalia > Primates > Hominidae > Homo > Homo sapiens. The sequence continues at coordinate 38,186,340 of NC_000021.9, read as the reverse complement.
AATTTTATTCATTTAAAAAAAAACAGCTGCAGGATTCATTCATGTTACTATTATTACCATTATTATTATTATCATCATCATTATCATTATATTTTAGTTTTTATTTCATTTATTTTTACTTTTATGTTTATTGTGTCTTCTTTCTATTGGGGGTTTAATTTTCTTTTGCTTGTATTTTCTATATCTTAAAATGAAAATTTAGATTCTTTAAATCTGTATCCCACACATTTTGATATGTTGTTTTAATTTTTAATTAATTCAAACAATGAACTTTCATACTTCAAATAATGTGAATATCATGAATAAACTTGCATTAAATAAGCAATTATTTTTGTGAAATTCCAGTAAATCTCTAATAGCCTTTTTGAGATATAACTAACACACCATGAAATTCACCTTTTTAAAGTGTATGAGTCAGTGATTTTGAGTATATTCACAAAGTTGTACAATTACCAACATTATCTAATTTTATAACATTTTCATTACCCCAAAAAGAAACACCACACCTATTGGTAGCCACTTCCCATTGCCCCCTCCTCCACAATCCCTTGTCAAGCATAAATCTGATTTCTATCTCTATAGATTTACCTATTTTGGACACTTAATATAAATTGAATCATGTGATATGTGGTCTTTTGTGACTGGCTCTTTTCACTTAGCATCATGTTTTCAAGATTCACTGATGCTCAACATGAATCAGTACTTCATTTCTTTTTATTGCTAAATAATATTTCAGTTAATAAATATACCACATTTTATTTATCCATTTATCAGTTGATGGATATTTGGGCTGTTTCCACTTATTTGCTATTATGAATAATGCTACTATGAACATTAATGTGTGAATTTTTGTGTGGACACATGTTTTTAGTATTCTTGGAGGAGAATTGCTGAATTATATGGTAACTCTATGTTTAACTTTTGGAAGAACTCCCAAACTGTTTTCCAAATTGACTGCACTCTTTTACTCCCATTAGCAATGAATGAGAGTTCCAATTTCACCATATCCTTGACAACATTTATTATTGTCTGCCTTTTCTTTTTGAGCTATTCTAGTGGGTGTAAAGTGATGTCTTGTGGTTTCCATTTCCTGAAAGACTAATGATGTTGAACATCTTTCATGTGCTTATTGATCATTAGTATTTCTTTTTTGTAGTAATGTCTGTTCAAATTATTTGTCTGCTTTTAATTGGGTTGTCTTTTTATTGCTGAGTTGCAAGTGGTATCATTTATACATTCTGGATACAAGTCCCTTATCAGATATGTGATTTTTAAATATGTTGTCCCATTTAGTTTTGGTGAAGTTCAATTCACGGATTTTGTTTTGTTTTGTTTTGTTTTGTTTTTCCCTTGTGTTTTTGGTGTTGTATCTTAAAAAGCTATTGCCTAACTCAAAATCACAAATATTTACTCTTATGTTTTCTTCTAAAAGTTTTATAGTTTTAATTTTTACATCTAGGTCTTGGGTATATTTTCAGAGATTTTTTTATTATTATACTTTAAGTTTTAGGGTACATGTGCACAACGTGCAGGTTTATTACATATGTATACATGTGCCATGTTGGTGTGCTGCACCCATTAACTCATCATTTAGCATTAGGTATATCTCCTAATGCTATCCCTCCCCCCTCCCCCCACCCCACAACAGTCCCAGGTGTAGACTGGATTAAGAAAATGTGGCACATATACACCACGGAATACTATGCAGCCATAAAAAATGATGAGTTCATGTCCTTTGTAGGGACATGGATGAAGCTGGAAACCATCATTCTCAGCAAACTATCACAAGGACAAAAAACCAAACACTGCATGTTCTCACTCATAGGTGGGAATTGAACAATGAGATGGTTTTGATGTGTGGAGTGAAGAAGGGGTACTCCACCATTCTTTTGAACATAGACATCCAGTTGTTCTAGCACCATTTGTTGAAGTCATGAATCATTTTTGTCAAGAAAAAGAATTTCCAATATGTAAATGAGTGACTTCCAGATTTTATAAAATCATAGGACATTACCTCTAGAATTCTGCTTATAGGTAACTTATTCCAAATATCCTTAAACAGGTCAATTAATTTACCCAAAATTATCCCTGCATCAAGTCTGTTCCCAGCTCATGTACCCAGGATCTGTGCCAGCCTGGAAACCATGTGGCTCGTCTTCTACTGTGTTGGTGGTCAGAATCTACTTCTCCTTTTTTTCCCCACACACTTGTATTTTCACTCAAGACTAAGATTCTCAAAAATCTAGTGAGTATGGTGAGTTGTGGTGTGGAAGGTTTGGGGAGAGAATTGCTGGTGACACATTTCATTTAAGAAAATAAAGCTTTGTGGAGGAAGATGCAGGAAGGAGGAGCCCTGGAGTTGATATAAGAAGGAATTGCAATTTTTAAAAAATCTTTCTTTAGTATAGAGTCCCAGAAAATCAGTGACATGATGAGAGGTCCACTCATTTACAGTGAAGCCACCATGGATAAAGGTCTTCTAGACCTTGGATTTGAGATGTGGGTATTCCATCCAGCACTGAGATTGTTTAGTGCAGCAGATTTTTCACTGGCTCACTCCGCTGCCATTCCCACTTCCTTCTACTGAACCTTCTAGTATAACAGATGCCAGGAGACTAAAAACCGTACTTAGCAGAGAAGATTTTGCATGTGGCTTAGATTCTGCCAAGCAGATGTCCACATGAGACCAGGAGGGTGTGAACAATGGGAGCCAGTGGCCATGGTTCGTGACAGAAACGTTCATTCTCCCGTTGCAGGTCTGGCAGTTTCTGAAGTCTGATTCCTAGAAACTTAGGTACTGAGCAGTAGGCAGCAGCAACAGAAACAGTTCCATAGGTGGTTGGGCATTTCCTTTGATTGCTGTATTTTTGATTATGTGATAATTAAACCTTATGCCCTGGGCCTCACTGAGATTCTGTAAGGTTCATCATTCCATCTGATACATCACTTTCTTTTCAGATCAAATAGAGTGCATTCTACTTTCTTCCACTATGAGCCTTGACCAATATAACCAGTAATCTAATCAACTATGAAAGGGCAATTAACACATTTTTCTCTAGGCTTTTGTCAAGTCTAGATAAATGTTTCTTTTGTGAAGAATGAATCTAAAAGAAAAAGATCAATACAGTCCTGATTTGAACAAAAGATTCAAAAAGTTGAAAGAATCAGTATCCCTGAAGACTCAGAGAAGCACAGAGACTTTTCAAAATGATTTATAGAAAAGCCAGAAATAAATTATTTTGGAAACAATTTTCCATTCTCAATAGAATAAAAGAAGGCAATGCCTCCATGCAATAAGATCAGTGAATCAAGCTGTGATCAAACAGAAGCAGTTATGAGATTCAAAAACATAAAGATGAGCCAAGACTATAAGGGGATAAAAAGGTTCTGTAATTTTATGCTTTAACATAAACTTTGCAAGGTCATGGCACCCAGATATTTGGTCAAACACTAGACTGGATGTTGCTGTGAAGACAGTTTTTGGGTGAGATTAACATTGAAATCAGGGGACGTTAAGTAAAGCAGTTTATCTTCTATAATGTGGGTGGGCATCCTCTTATCAGTTGAAGGCCTTAAGAGAAAAAGATGGAAGTTCCCCACCCAAGGAAGAAGGAATTCTACCTGCCATCTGCTTTTGAACCAGAGCTGCAACATTAATTCTTCCTGGGTCTCCAGCCTGCTGGCCTACTATGCGGATTTTAGACTTGCCAGGTTCCAAGGTAACATGAGCCAATTTCTTTAAATAAGTCTCTCTCTCTCTCTTTTTTTTCTCTCTCTCTTTTTCTCTCTCTCTCTCTCTCTCTCCTCAACATCCACACCCACACATCCTATTGGCTCTGTTTTTCTAGAGAACCATCACTAAGAAAAACAGCATATAGTTTAGTCTTATATTTTTGTACAGTCTGATCATTTATACCTTTTAGTTTAAATGTTTACTCCATCTACATTTATGTAATGAATTATATCATTAGGTTCATGTCTATCAAGTTCTTACTTGCTTTCTATTTGTCTCTGTCTATTATTCTGCTTTCTCCAATCTGCTCTTAAGGAAAATAATTGAATTTTTCATCTCAGACATTTTGATTTTTAGTTCTATAATTATTTCTTTATGTATATATATTTATTTTCTCCTGCCAGGATTCCCAGTTGACCCTCACCATGACCCCGTGTTCCTTTATATCTTTGCATATACTCTTCATAGGTGCTGTGCACTCCTTCTCTCATAACTCCAAACTTTTGGTCTCTTTAGAAGTGGTTGCTAATGACTGCTTTTCTTTTTTTGAGTCCCATTTTTCTATTTCTTCACATGTCTACCAATATTTTATTTTACTATGGGCTTTGTAAATGTTTTGTTTTAGAGACTTGGTCAGAGTGTTGAGTTCTGCCTTAGAGGGTGGTGAAGTTGGCTGCCTGTCTGTGGGGGACTGCAGTTGATATCTCCTCTCAATTCCCTCTGTCCTCCATCTGCTGCCTCCTTCTAGGACCCTTGACATTTTCCACATGCATGCGCAGTTTATGCGTGTGTAGTCAGCCAGGAACTGGGGCAAAGTCTGCACACAGATTTGGGGGATCCCCCCTCCTTGACATCCTCCTTTTTGGCATTCCTACCCACCTCACACCCCAGAAGTTTTTCCAGTTATGAACTCCATACTCTGACTTCTCAAACAAGGAAGACTGCATATTTCTGCAGGAGCTCAGCCACTTCATCTTGTGCAGACAGGGCTGTGTTCTCAGGTGAAACACCCTGCAAAATCCATTTACATACAGTGCAGTTTTCTTTGTTGAAGGCTGACTCTATTCCACATTCAGCCTGCATTTCTTCCTTCTTCAGTGCCTTCAAATAATGTTTTAAACTTGGCTATAGTTTACAATTGTCACCTGTGAGAGGATTAGTACGATACAAGCTTCTTAGTCATTTCCAGAAGTAGAATGCTGCAGGTTTTAATTACATCCAGCTTGAACTGTTGCTTAAAATTAGCCCTGGGTTCCCACATTTGAATGTAATACATATCATAATGCAGCTTCCAGCATCTGTGGTTAGGGTGGAGTGCCTATGATTCTCAGGAATTCTAAAAGCTCATTTCATTCCTATGCCCTTCACTGTGAAACGGGAGGGAAAAAATGATTTATTGCCGGACCCTATGTGTGTACTATCACCCTTTCCCATCAACTTTTTTTTTTTGAAGGAAGAATAAAAAGCTTGACTGTGTTTTGTCTTTTAGTGATTGTGGGACTTTTCAGCCGCATTCACAAACCATAAAGGAACATGAGGCAAACTACTGTGTTCAACCTGACCATAGAGAACATAATATAGTGGTTAGGAGAGTGAGCTCTGAAGCTGGATGCCTGAATTTCCATGCTGTTTCCACCTCTACCTTGTCAATTGGAAGAGTTATTTAATTCTCCTGGGCCCATTTCCTCATCTGTAAAATTATTTCACTCAACAATCTGGACATCATGACAATACCTATTTCTGTAGGTTTTTGGGTGGATTACATGAGTTAGAGCAATGTCTAGTGCATATGAAGCACTCAGTAAATATTAGTTGCTGCTGTTTTCATTATCATTGTTATCACTGTCACCAAATGCTACCTAACTGAAACAATGTGGATTCCCTCTTCTGCAAGTCCCAGGTTACTTCATTCTGAATTGTGGAGGCTAGTGTCCACTGTTGAGGTCTCCTCACTCTTTTCTCTGTCCAGAAGAGAAACACATGGACCCCTCTGATATTGTACATAGTGGATAGAATAAAACCCAGGAATCAGACAGGCCAGCATTCGAATACTGTTTTGAATGCTTACCAACTATGTGAAAAATGGCCTTGCTTCTCCTGAAGCTTGTTTCCTTATCTGTGAAATGAGTAGTAAGTACATCTACTTGGGGTTTGGGGGAATATTAAATAAAATGAAATATGTTGGGTCCTGGATAAACTGATGTGTTTAGTCAAGGGAGTATAATTCTGGCATGACCCAGGGTTAGAGACATTGCCCCTGGGCTGGATGGCAGGCCATCACTCATTACTTAAGCTCAGGGGGACTCTTCCTTGAAGCATGCCCCTTGAAAGCCTCTAAAATTGGCAGGATCCCAGTTTTGGCTAATTAGGACTAAAAGCTCCATTAGCCATACTCCCTGCTTCCTAAGGACATTGGCAAATAGCCTCAAGACATGTAGTTTTAACCCTTCCTCTCTTCGTCCTGCAAGGGCAGTCCCAGTCAGTCCTGCCAGGGCTGATTGTTTATTTCGTGCAAGCTCTCTTGTACCCCTCGATTTAGGCCGTCATCTGGCCCTGCTACCTGCTACTCTCCTCTTGGTATCTACTCCCCATCCCTACTTGCCATAGTTTAGTCCAGGCCCAAACCATCATCCCCTTGGACTATTGCAGTAGCCTCATCAGGTGACCCTCTTAATTTCTGACCTTCTGTTACACTGCCTCCAGGGTAGCCTTCCAAAAGCTCTACAGTATAATCGTGATAGCTCCTATTATTCAAAGACAATACTCCATTTCTATCATTGGGTTTATAAATGAAGCTATCAATCTGAGAGAGAAACTTGAGTCTATCAGGGACTCTTTTTTTCTGTCAGTTCAAAATCTGAGCTTCCTGCTATGTCCCTCAGTGCCCTTTATGACTCAGTCTCTGCTGATACTGCAGCTTGGTTTCTTGCCACTCCCTGCATGGGATTCTAGGTTTTTCTCATATTAAGCGAGATGGGGGCTCTGGATTCACCCAAGTATTTTCTGCCTCTGAGCCTTCCCTTGTCAGCTTCCCTGTACCTAGATTGTCCTTGCTTCTTGCCTTCAGCCACAGAACACTTAGACACCTAGCTGTTTCAGTTCAGGGCCTCTTGCTTTCAGAAGCCTTTCCTGAGGCCTCACAGACCTAAGTGTCCCTCCAGTGTTCACGCACAGACACCAGGACCCTTCCATGCAGGTCCTCATCAGAGTCCACTTTGGTTGTCCCTTGAAGTGTATAACTCTCTTATCTGACAGCACACTTCCTGTGTGTCACTGTTCCTTGTAACCTTAGACTTAGTGCACCACTGTTGATGAGTGAGATTATTTTTGTGTCTGTGTGGGTAGGTGTGTGACCCTCAGTCTGGGCATTTGCTGGTGGAATGTAGACATATTCAGGCATGTCTGAAGAACCACTGGGATGGCCCCAAGACAATGGCAGGAGAGATCAAAGAGTCTCTCAGGAGAAAGCGCAAACTGTGGGAGAGGCTCCAGCTGTGAGAGTCTTGTTTTATGCTCATTTGTTGAACTGATGGTCTTCTTTCCAAAAAACGTAGATAAGAGCCTGGTGCAGAGGGTGGGGGTGGTAGTAGAGATTGTGGGGAACTGTACTGAAAGGAAAGATGGAGGATGGGAAGTGCTATGTGGTTCTCGGGATTTCCCATGACCTCTCAGGGTGAGGTTTTCCCACTGGGACAAGCTGCTGCTGCTACATCACATAAATGCCCATACCCTCACTTCCCTCATCCTGCCACGTAAGCCTCACAACCTCTTGAAGCCGCATTTTCTTCACTTGGAGTAACCAGCTATGGAGCCTGGAATATAGCTCCCACCAAACAGTGTTCTTCTTCTTCTTTCTTCTTCTTCCTTCTTCTTTCTTCTTCTTCTTCCTTCTTCTTTCTTCTTCTTTCTTCTTCTTCCTTCCTCTTCTTCCTTCTTCTTCCTCCTCCACCCCCTCCTCCTCCCCCTCCTCCCCCTCCTCCTCCCCCTCCTCCTCCTCCACCGCCACTGCCACCGCCTCCTCCTCCTCCTCGTCCTCCTTCTTCTTCTCTTCCCTCCTCCTCCTCCTTCTTCTTCCTCTTCTTCCTCCTCTTCCTCCTCTTCTTCTTCTTCCTCTTCCTGTCTCACTTTGAAGAACCAGAAGCATCTTCACTCCCATGGTGAGATTCATTGCGTAACATGCAACAGTGAAAGCAGGTGGCTACTGTATATGTGCACATATACCTGGCCACTTGGTGTAGCTGCGGAGAAAGGAGCTCCAAGACCCCTCCAAGTAAAGATCCTTTGCAGGCATCTGCAGCAGCAAGAGCAGGGTCTATTCCCTCCTCTCCCAGCAGGCTGTTGCTGTGATGAAGTGTCCTTTTATCCAGGTCAGGGCAAAATCCAATCCCCACTGATTTCTTTGTGACAGGTTTGTGGGGAAGGCAGTGGCTGCTGCTTCTGCTATCAGAGGACACAACACTCCATCTCTATCATTTGGAATTATACATGGAGCTATCAATCTGTGAGTGAACACCTGGCAAATCTCTCAGCAGTTACACACTCAGTAAGTGCTGAGAATAAGAAATGGTGTGATGGAAATGACACAAATGGTATTCCATTTCCCTTAGCTTCTCTTGTCTTTGTACTGGCCAATTAAAAGACAATTTCTGGCTGAAAGCACAAATCTTGTATCACTTTGTAAGTTTTAATCTATTTTGCAGGAAATCTTCATTAAAGTACCTCAGTAATTTCATTATAAGAAATGAAAAAAAATTAAACTATGCTGTACGGGAAAAAATAACCCTCTATACCCATCAGGCAATGAAAAGAAAGTCATTACTCACGTTTTCATTTTCTGGTGGCATTTTACCTTATTGTTTTATTCTTGTTTGCGGTTAGAAAAACTGTTCTTAATAAAAACTTAAGGTGGCTTCTTTATCTATTCAGAAGTATAAGGATGTATTGAAAACAAGTATAATTTTCTAGTGGTTTTCTTATGGTTTATTTGATTCAGCCATCAAACAAGCAGAGGGATTATAATTTTTAGTTAAGGGCTCACACATTCCTTGTATTAAAGTTTAACTTTGGTCACATTAACTTAATAATTATAAGTACAGTTAAGTATTTCCTTGATTGCTTATTAATTACATCACAAATGGCCAGGCATAGTGGCTCATGCCTGTAATTTCAGCATTTTGGGAGGCTGAGGCAGGAGAACCACTTGAGGCCAAGAGTTCAAGTTTCATATATCTCAAATGGTTATTTTTATAAAAGGAAATATAACACTATTTGAACAAATTCATATCCGTAAGTTATAAATTCTAATTGAACTCAGAAGTTTGTGTCCGATGATATCATTTGGGGGAAGTAACAAAAATATTAATATGTAATATTTAATGAGTATATAGTTCTGCACAGTGCAATATACTCTGCATTTATTTCTTTGTTTTCCATTTATTCCTTATAACAATCCTAATGGATGGTACTGCATGTACCATTATTACAGATAAGATAAGCGAGGCCTAAAGAGTTTAAGAAACTTACCAAAATTCACAGATTACAAAATAGAAAATTGAAGTATATTGAGTGCCTATGTAATGTGTTAGTCATTGTGTTGGACATTTAAACTTCTTCCTGCCTCCCTTCATCCCTCTTTTTCACACTCCTTTGTCCTTCCCTCCCTTTCTCCCTCCCACCAAACCCCTCTTCTTCCTTTTATTCCTTTCTTCCTTCCTTCTTTCCTTCATACAAATATTGATCAAGTGACTACTATGTGTCAGGCATGTTTTCAGGCACTGGATGCTAGAATAATGAACATGTCAAACAAGGTCCTGTTCTCACAGCATTTGTTCTCTTACAGAGGGAGTAAGATATATATTTAATGAAATGAATATGATCAAAGCAGACATAAACAAGTGCTATGAATCAAGAGATATAACAGTCATTAGATGGCTATGTTAGCTAATTAGTCAGGGTTACCCTTTCTACAACAGTGAGCGACATTCAAAGGACAAGAAGACATCAGTGTGGATGGTCAGGAGAAAAAGGATTTCAGGCAGGTGGAGCCATATTTAACCGTCTTAGTAACTTGGTGAGATAGGAATTATTCTTCCTGTTGTAAAAATAAATGAACATCCAAATATGTTAAAATATCCAAAGTTACAATGATGAAGTAAGTATGCTGTAGTGTGGGTGTCAGTCACAGGCATGTCAAATTCTAAAGTGATATGTTTGCCATAATACAAAATCTACTGCCCAATTAGTTGATAAGAGTATCACACACAAACATAATAAAACCTATTTAAAACAAACTGTTAGGGTCATTTTGCTTATACATTTCTTCTCTATGTGTTCTACTCAGATCCTCCCAAACTTCAGAAGTGTCAAAAAATACTAAATGCAGATTATTAAATCTTGGCCTTAATTAGGTTCCATTGCAAATTTTTTAAATAAAAAGATTGTTTTAGTATTAAAAACATGCACGCACACACACACAGGTATACACATACATACCCCCTATATGTATGAGGTGTGCATAGAAAAGGGAGAGGCACAGGGATATGTTTATGATCATGGTTGTGTGTGCATACATGAGTGTGTGTTTATTTGTAACTATAGCAGTTACCAATTTATTTGCAGATGCTCAGGTATGTGATACCATTATTTGTAAATTAAAAAAAATCCTTGCACAAAATTATATCCAAATGCTTGACTGGCCTCTAAAATCTGCCTCTTAGAGAAAATATCATGTATAGATAAAACTAAAAATGTCAGTATGGCTAGAGCTATTAATACAAGATAATAAGATGTGTAAAGGAACAGCACATTATTAACAAAATAATTTATTTATAAATATCTAGTTTTTCTTTGTAAGTAATAGGCCTTTTACATTAGAAGCAAAAAATAGTGTCATGCTAAATCACTTGCTTAAATATTATTTGTTTCCTGAGAGGAAAATGCTCAAATCATTAGTAAGAGAAGGAGTTCACTTTTCTTTGAGTAAAACAAAGCAAAAGCCCTTTTGTAAGCTCTTCAGACGTTCAGGAAAGTATGGGAGGCTGGTCTTAAAGCATAGGACATAAAATTAGGCAATCTCTGGCTTGCCATTCTAGCATAAATCATCACAAAAGTATTGACAAACATAATGTATGATGCACCATTTATTTTTGTTACATTTGTGAATTTTTCCATTAGAGGATACTGGCTGCCTGCACCAATCAGGCATTTTACATGGAACTCTGCCTATTGTTCTGTTTTGTCTGGCAAAATCTTTCCCATAGTTTTATTTTTCTTTCAGCTTATGCTAAAAATCTGTAAGAAGGGACAAAAGCCAAGATGTGCTTGTTATCCCTTGTGAAGAATTTTTTTAATACTAAAACAATCTTTTTATTTAAAAAATTCACAATGGAACCTAATTAAGGTCAAGATTTAATAATCTGCATTTAGTATTTTTTGACACTTCTGAAGTTTGGGAGGATCTGAGTAGAACACATAGAGAAGAAATGTATAAGCAAAACGATCCTAACAGTTTGTTTTAAATAGGTTTTATTATTATTCCAGTATGGTGAGGCCAACAAATCAGACGATGACTGTTACTGACAAGATAGTTTGTTATTCACAGTTCCCAAGAGGAGGGGCTACAAATGGAAGGACCAAAGTTTATAAGGAAGCAGAGTGGGGAAATGGGGAAAGCAGAGGCAGACATCTTTATTGTGGTTTTCATGGGAAGGAACAGGTGAGGCAGGGTAAACAGACTAGGTAGGTGTATGATCTGCTAGATTAAGTAATTTTGATAGGCTCCAGGGTATAGGGGCTGTCTCTAGCTGTCTGGTACCTGGTCCTGAGATGATCAGAGCAGAGGAACATTACCTCCTGGAGTGTAAGAGCCAGAGAGAGAAGGTGGTTCAAAGTAAGGCCTCTGGATTGGTTAGTTTTCATATGAAAAGCATGCTCCAGGGCAAGTCCTTTACAATCTTTGGGATAGTAAAGCCTTGGGAAGGGTGGTTTCCTCCTGTCAACAAGGCCCTAGATGCCAGAGCATCAAGAACAAAGCAAATAAGAAAATACAGTGAATATCCAATTTAGCAACAAAATAAAATGAAGGTGCATTGATTTTCTATTGCCAGATAACAAATTACGTATAGACCTAGTGACTTAAAACAACATAAGTTATTGAGCCAGGGCTGGAAGGTCATCTGAGGCTTAGGGCCCTCTTCCAGCTCTCTGGTTGCTGGCAGAATTCAGTTCCTTCTGATTGTAGCACTGAGGTCCCCATTTTCTTGCTGGCTCCTGGGCTGAGGCTGCTTTCAGCTCTCAGACCACTCTTTGGTTCTAGCTACTGTGGCTGCTTTCTTCTTCCAGGCCAGCAGGAACATGCCTCTCTCTGACTTCTGTCTCAGACTTTAAGACCATAAGAATTCACCTGATTAGATAAGGCCCAACCGGGGCAGTCTCCCTTTACCTTAACTCATCTGTTAAGAGACCTTAATTGCATCTGCAGAAGTCCCTTTTGCCATACATTATAACACAAAGTGAGATCCCATCATATCCACAGCTCTTGCCCCTACTCAAGAGGAAGGGATTATTCAAGGCACAAGTCATCTTAGAATTCTGCCTACCATCGAAGAAAATTATGCCTCCAGAAACCAAATTGAAGAATAGCTGTCTGAAAAGGTTTTTCCTTTCCATCTGGGATGTCTTCTGTATTTAAAGTGGGTTTGTATTGAAAATTTGCATCAAATAACACACGATCTCCCAGCAGAGGGAACAGACACTCCCTTTGAAAGATTGACTAACTCCTATGACTCATCCTTGAGGTCACCTCAGGACCACCAATAGTGCAAATATCCAAGAGGGCTGGTGAGGGTCCCCTGAATAGTGTGCTCAATGGCTTTAGTGCATATGAGCAGCAATACCCTGAGCAACAGCTGAAAGCTTCTCCCATTAAAGGAGTTGGGTACCAAGAGTACACTCAATGGAGTAGACATTAGAGAGTACATGAAAGACAAAGAGGAGACTGAGGGTCTGATTGGGACTGCCCTTTCCCCCTCTCTCCATGGCTCCCAGACATGCATTTTTCAAGTTCCATAAATTACCCACACTCTGGAGCTTTAATGCGTCAGTCCATCTGAGGCTGAGAATAGGCTAAAGATGGTAGAAAAGGAAATATGGAAGAAATGAGGAATGTCCAGTTCATGTTTGCATTTACTGTGTAGAAGATTTAGAATTTTAATTTTTCCCAGCTTTGCTTCCAGTACTCTAGGGCCTCACTGTGAACTAGTATATGCATTCAATGTGTGGAATGTTGTTTTAGGCTGTTTCTGAAATCTGTAAAGAATATTGAGTAAGGTAGAGAAAAGCAATGCTTACTTATTAGACATGTCTGAATGGCTCTTCCCAAATGGCATGGTCCCCCTCACTCTACCCTTGAACCAATCTGAGAGGCCATGTTATAATTAATCTTAAATAATTTGGGAAAATTAGGTCAATCCTGGACCCAATAATTCTTAACAAGAATTCTGTACAGAAATATAGTTATAATTAAGCATTAATCAGGCTGCACTTCGGCCCACTTCCTTGTAACAGAAAGTCAGGTAGGCCTAGACACTGACCATCTGTATCCCTGTTGTTCTTATAGATAGCATCTCTGAGGTTAGAATCACAAGGCTTTTGCTTAAAAATTGCTTAAGATGTGGCCAGGCGCAGTGGCTCACGCCTGTAATCCCAGCACTTTGGGAGGCCGAGGCGGGCTGATCATGAAGTCAGGAGATCGAGACCATCCTGGCTAACACAGTGAAACCCCGTCTCTAGTAAAAATACAAAAAATTAGCTGGGCGTGGTGGTGGGCGCCTGTAGTCCCAGCTACTCGGGAGGCTGAAGCAGGAGAATGGCGTCAACCCGGGAGGTGGAACTTGCAGGGAGCCGAGATCGCACCACTGCACTCTAGCCTGGATGACAGAGTGAGACTCTGTCTCAAAAAAAAAAAAAAAAAATTGCTTAAGATGCTTTTCAGATCCTGAATTCCAGTGGAACAGCTCACACCAACCAGTTAGAAGACCCTCACCTCACAGAGGAACTGAATCAGTATGAGAATACAGCGTCTTCATCTTCTTGTCCAATGCCTTCACCCTGCACTCTTCGATCAACCACTGATCTCCACACTTTGGTCAACTCTAAAACCCTTAAAAACCCTAACCCTAAAACTCCTCGGGGAGACAAATTTGAGGTTTCCTCCCGTCTTATTCAGCGGCTCTGCAATGAACCCTCTTTCTCTGCTGCAACTGGCTGTCTCGGTGTACTGACTTGCTGGCTGCCCATCAGGCAGCGAACCTATTACGGTTACAGCCATTACTGGCATCTAGTGGTGGAGGGTCAGGGATGCTGTTAACATTTCACAGTGCATCCAGTAGCCCCACGACAAAACGTCAATAGTCCTGAGGTTGAAAAACTGTGGACTAAACCAAACCTCAGAGCCTGCTCAGGGTGTGTGACTTTCATTCAGGCCAAACTCATCCCTGTGATGGCAGGTCAAGAATAGACTGAGTCACTAGGAGCTTAGGACACCGCTGCCCCTCCTCATGCCTCTTCCCCAAGGAGTGCAAATGCTCCCTGCTCTCCATAGATGCCGGCCCCGAAGCAAACTCAAGACACTGGGTCGAGAAACACAACCTCCCATAGGGGCAGGACAAAGCTGCCTTCGCCCCTGGCCTGCTGACCTCCAGGGGCTGGTGGGAAGGAAGCAGCATTCCAGAAGCATTAGCTAATTACCGCCCTCTCTAGGACTGCATTCCTTGTCACAGATGCAAAACCTAATAAATCACAGTATATGTTCCTGCTTTTTACTTTCAGGAGAAAAAAAGCAAAAATCCATCAAAGGAACTAACAGAAGGGACTCTGTATACGTCTAGGTTGGTTATGCAGAAGCAGTTTAAGGTGGATAAGCTTGAATCGAATATGCCTTTCTCATGAACAACATTATTTTGTAGATTTATGTAGATTATGTTATGTTAGGTAAGTTCCAGAAAAAAAGAAAATAGTTTATCTTTTGGCGAAGGTGGGGGAGGAGGTTGTGGGTTGTAAAACCAAACATCCTAAGTGTTTCTGGCTATTCATATCTCTGAGTAAGGGAAATACTGCTTGGACTCCTTGCTCTGTGACCTTGGGCATGGTGCAGTGGCTTCCGAGCCTAACCAAACGGGTGCGAAGCCTTATCAGCTGTGTGTCCCTGAGCACCTTTCTTAACTTTTTCATGCCTCAGTTTCCTTATCTGTCAAGTGGAGATAATGCTAGTGCTTATATATAGGGCTGCTGTGAGAATTAAGTGAATAAATATTTATAAGGTGGTTAGAATAGTTCTTGACCTTTAGTTAATGTTGCCTCAATGTTTGTTGATTAATTCTGAAGTCCTTTATCAGCTGTAACACCCTGTGAGTCAATGGTCCTTTTCTGTTGCCTTCGACAATATTATGTAATCAAAATTCTGATCCCAAATGCTGACCTGAGAGAAAATGCCTGATTCGGAATGAGCCAATAGCAGCCCCATTATATTTTCTTTACTTGGCTTTCTGAGCAGCAGTCACATTTAAGGCGTTGCCATCAAAAAGGGTGAAACACAGAGGTGTTTGATTTAGCTGACTTTTGTCAGAAACTTGATTCACTGGACACTGGTTGAGTGGCCTCATTTTGGCTGAGATTTTCATTTGAGGCTTTCTGTGTTTCCACTAGATGGCATATCAGTTTGTTCCATTGTGTTTCTGCTGATTCCTGCTCCTCTTGGGTGTAGATCAATGCTCTTGTTCTGGTTTGGGGGAAGGCTGGTGCTGGAGAAGCTTCTAGAAGGAGCATGGAAACAGCCCCATTTAGCCCCAGGGATACAGAGATGTGGGGAGGTGAGATACAAGGCTCAGCCAGCCTGGAATGGTGCAACAGTCCCCTTTACTCCCCGGCCAGTTAAACCCTGGATTGCACCAAAATGACAGGCTGAGGGTCATCAGCTGTGGTCCTGCTCACTTCCTGATGACAAGAAAAGTGGCCCCAAGGCAATCCTGAGGACACTAAGGCAGTGAGAAGAAAGATAACCTACCCCCACTACATCATGCTTGGCTTGAGGGGACTGCCAGCTGCCAGCCTCCCAACCACACAAAACGAGGATCCAACCCAGCTCCCTTAGAAACAATCAGTGCCTGCCACTTCCTTCCAAGTCTTCTGGTCTCACAGCCTCCTCTGCTGGTGAGAGGCGACAGGAGTTTGTCAAACAGGGTGAATGACATATGTCCAGCATCCACCTGTTGTCTCAGTTATTAATAATGCCTCTTTTACTCTCAAAAGTGGCCCAGTTTGGAGAAGGAAGTGTGTGGTTCATCCTGCACTTAGCATCTTCTGAAATGCTGCAGTGGGGAGGTGGATTCAGTTACCTGGAGTGTGGATGTTGTGGATGTCCCTATGCATGGGAGTGGAAGTGGGCAGAACAGGGCTGCAGCCTGGGGGCTTCTACCAGGTCAGCTGGCAGAATTAGAATCTCTGCTCAGAAAGCCCTCCATGAGCCTGGCTATGGAAGGGCACAATGCCTGATGCCCTTACCTGCCCTTCCCTGCCTAGCGTGAGCCTGTGGGTGCAGCCAGAGGTGGGATGTGCAAGGTAGGCATAGTGGGTGACCTGAGCACTGGTGCTCCAGTGAGTGAGGGGTGGCAGAGCTGAGCACTGTGGGGTGAACAGGAGGTGATGACTTAAATACTACGTGGAATAGAGAAAAGGAAGAAATGGGGAAAGACAGAGAGTTTGCAGCCAACTCACTGACTGGCCTTGGGCAAGTTATTTTTTAGAGTCTTTCTTTCAACATCTGTTAAATGATGGTGTTGATAGATCGTGGCAGTGTTTTGGAGGAAAAGGAAGGATAAGGTGTATATCATGTCTTGTGGATTCTATTTCCCAGAACCTTAGTAGGTGTACTGCACAACAGCCTGCATTAATATTATCATATCATTACTATCATAATACCATTAATTTCATTGCATTGCAGGTACTGTGGCTGAACCTGAGCTCCAGACCTTTGAGATCCTGATGGAATTACAGAGGGTGCTTACATAGGGAGCAGCACAAACCAGCTCATATAAGGTGTAATGAGTTAATCATGTAATATGGAGGATGTTACTAATGTAATATGTAATGTGAATTATTGTGATATGTAGTGTGTATCAGTATAATTTGTAGTGTGTTAGTAATGTAATATGGTTCGTGCTGCAGTAGTTTGCTGTCTACTAGGATGGAGGACTTACATGGATGTCTGGGGCAATCTCCATCCAAATGAGCCATCCAGTTATGAGCATGCAAAGCAAACATTTCCTCCCAAATGTCCACTTACATTTATTGCTTTCATGAGACAGATGAGGCTTCATGGAGTGAAAAGCTTTAAGCACCTTTTATGGATTCACACAGAGCTCTCTGAAGGATGGGCAATGCACCTAGAAACCACAGAGCAGGGGGAACAAATGAAAGAGAGGCCTCAAGACAGAACTCACCTGGAGGGAAAGAAGAGTTGGACAAGCTTCCCCAAGCCCAGCACCCAGGTCTAAGAACTGAAACCAAATGATCTTTTTCCTCACAGCTAGATATAACAGCACATCACCCTTAATTCCAAGTTATCAATGGGTCTTTTAATTAAAGTCTTACCTCTACTCCGCTCTCCTGCTAGACCCAAGCTCCAGAAGGGCAGTGACCCTGTCTTGACCTGCACCTGCACCATCTCCTTCACTCAGCCAGAGCCTGTTACTTGTGGGAACTGATCAGCATTGAGGAATGGCTCGCTGGGCCGTGTGAGTTGTCAAGCACTGACATCGCTTCACCTGTCTCCCTGGTCAGCCATGTAGGCTGTAGTAGAGCAGCTGTGGGGGTGACCCCAAAGGACCAGGACCCCACTGGGTAAGCACAGCACAAAGGGGATGTCTGTGGGCCGTGAAGCAAGCTAGGGTGAAGAACATGGAGAACTTCCCAGGCAGCCAAGGGGCCTGTGCTTGCCTGGGAGGGAGCTGCCCTTGGGGGAACTGTCAGCTCTTTGAGAAACCAGCGTTGTCTAGATCAGCTGCAGGTGACAACTAGGACTGGAGGTGACCAGGAATATTAGAGTTGGGGACTCCAGAAAGAATGAGCTTCCTTCAACCAGGCATCAGGATGTACATATTAATATAATGTGTAATGTGCATTAATGCAATATGTAATGTGTTAATCATATATTCCATATAATTACATTATATGTAATGTGTTATGTAATATCGAGTGCATTATGAATGTAATATATAATGTGTATAAATATAAGATGTAATGTGTTAATCATGTAATATGGAAGGTGTTACTAATGTGATAGGTAGTGTGCATCACTGTGATATGTAGTATGCATTAGTGTAATTTGCAATGTGTTATTAATGTAATTTGTAATGTGCTGTCAATGTAGCATGTAATGTGTATTGATGTAATATTTAATGTGTGTTAATATAAGGTGTATTAATGTCATGTGCTAATAACAGAATAGGTAATGTCTATTAATATATTACATAATGTATATTGCTGTAACATGATGGAGTGTGATATTAACATAATGTGTAATGTAAGCTGGATGTAATTAGAATTAAAATGACTGAGAACTTGGCCTTGGCCAGATGACCTGTCCTGGCCCAGCTTTTTTCTCAAAGGCCAAGTGGAGACAAAAATCACAGGTACAAGGTCTTAGGGAATGACCTGGACTTTCCACAGCCAAAGGGAAAGTCCACAGGAACTAAAGTGGGAGCCATCCCTACTACACACACACACCACTATATTTTCAAGGAACAATAACTTGTAAATCACTTTACTCTATAACTCTTATATGAAAATTACTACTAAAAGCTTTCAAAATAGTGAATACTTTAAAGGCCCTTTCAAAAGAGTAAACCTTTTAGCTGTCTTCTGGGAGCAGAAGGAAGACATAGGTAGCTAGCTAGATAGGTGGATCAACAGAGATAGATTGATTGATTGATTTACTATTTATACATCTGTGTACATTTCTGTGTATGTGTCCGGTGATTTCTTTTCATCGGGGTTTTTTTCAATGTCAGCATTATTGATACTTGAGGGAGGAGAGTTCTATGCTGAGGGGAGCTGCCCTGTACATTAGAGGATGTTTAGCAGCATCTCCAGCCTGGCCTCCACTCACGAGATTCCAGGAGTGCTTCTCCACCTGTGACAATCAACAATGTCTCCAGACAGTGCTAAAGTAGAGGGCCCCTGCCAAATGCAAAATCACCCCCAGCTGAGAACTCTTGCTCTACATTCTAAGGGGGACCACAGCAACATGTTTAGGAGCACAAATCCTGGAGCTCCATGGCCTTGGTTCAAACCCACACATACTAGCCTGTGACCTTGGGCAAGTTAACCTATCTGTGCCCTGATGTCCTCATATGTAAAATGGGGATGATAATAGTATATCCCTCTCCATGCCTTTGCTCTGAGGACTCAACATGTTAAGACGTGTGAAGCCTTTGTTACGGACCCTGACACAAAGTAAGGATTTAGCTCTTGTTCTTCTAAATCCCTAAAGCCACAGAATGGAGAAGCAAGGAAAGAGAATTTCGCATCTATAAACAACCAAGAAGAAAAGTGAGGAGGAGGAAATCTGGACATGTGCTTTGATTCTAAGCCAGCGACCCCTTGTGCCTGGAGAGCTGTAATCTGATGGAGTTCACATGAAACGGCATCTTCTTGAATTAGAACTGGATTTATGAAAACAAAATTATTTCAATAATAAGAGGGTGGTTATCAGTTGATAGATATTCAGTGTTTGGCAAATAGCTAATTTGGGTGATACTGATCCTTCCAAATCATTCTTTATAACTAGTAGCATGAGGTTAATCCCAGCTTTGTCTTTCCCCAGACCCTCCTCCTCCTGCAGGTGCAGGGTCTACTATTTCCCCCTGTTGTTAAGATCCATGGAAAGGAACCAGGCTCCAGGGCAGAAAGTCTTCTCTATTCCACTCTCACTGGAAAATGGAAAAATCCTGATAATGTAGGAGTGTGGTTCAGTTTTAGAATCACAGCTTTTTTTTTCTCTCATTGTTGCACTCTTGTGACCTTACAAGGGTCTATCACAGCATTTGGCGAACTCGGAGTAGCAAGGAAAGTATCCAAAAGCCAATGAGGGTTCCCGGAGGGGCATAGAACATGGGCCTCTGTGAGGTCCAGTCAGTGCCGATGCAATTTAACAGGCTCCAACCCGGTGTGTGTCTGAAGAGGAGAAAGCTGCACTACAGCCGTCTGGCTTCAGGGAGGGTGAGGGGGCAGGGGTGGAACAGATTGCTTTCTAACTTGGAGCTTTTGCTTTCCAGCCAGCCCAAAATTATAACACTCTTGATGATAAGAGCAAGCAGCATGTTCCAGGCTTGGTGTGTGTGCGTGTATGCATTTAAAATAATCCAGGTTCCCCAACCACCCTCTTAATGGTACCACTAAAGTGGTAAGAGGCTTGACTTTTCCTCGAATGTACATTTCCTGGGAAGAATGAGGAACTCTGCAAAGGTCAGTGTCACCATCTGGACTCCAACTGACTTGGCAAGTAAAATAGACAAAGAATGCGGGTCTTTTCTACAATCGATTGCTTTTGGCATGCAGATGAAAATGAATAAGCAGGAGCCAAATTTTATAATGGCTGGTAAATCTGTGGATGATCAACGCTGAAACCTCTGTGACTCCTTTCTTTCCATTTATCACCATTTGTCATATTCTGCTTCCCATGTTTTTGGAACGATGACCAGATGGAAAGCAGACTGCAGCCATCAGGCAGGTGAAAAACAGATGGCCCAGGAGGGAAAGAAACCAGAAAACAGGCAGGCAAGGTGGCCCGGCCTAAGGACCAGCCAGGCCATTTCAGGCGCCAGGGCCCAGGCAGACTCCAGAGACTGTCCCAACACTGTCGGAGCTTGACTTTGTCCCCAGCATCATTATCAATGCTAGGGCACAGGTCGCCTTTATTTATCCAGGGAGAAGTGTGAGACAGCATGATGAGAAAGGCAGGCTTAGAGGTCGAGTGTGCTTCTGAATTCCAGTCTTCTTGGTTGTGGCTGAGTAAAGGTGGATGTGCCTGTTCTAAAACCTTTGAACCATAAGAACAGTAAGTGCTTTATATTCCCATTCATCTGCATTTACTGATTCTCTATGGTTTTTTGCACATTACAAAGAAAGGGAGTCTTCTGTGTCTCCTCTCCTCAGCCACTCACGAATCCCTTAACAATAAGTGTGAAAGTGCACACACAAGCATAACAAGGCTAAAGTTGAATTCGAACTTCACGCTTCTCAGTATCAGAAGTTGATCCCAGAGCTCCTTGGAAGGAGGGGCTACAGCCCAGATGTTCCCAGAGTAAACTTCAGGTACTTGATGAAGTCTTCTGGATAAGATGCCATTATTTATTATCTCCCACCAGGAAGAACCGACTCTGATAAAACCACATTAGGACACTGTCTCTGGGAGGAAATGTTTCTTATTTTTTTAAAAATATTAGTTCTGGGGGTACATGTGTACATTTGTTATATGGATATGATGCTAAGGTTTTGGCTTCAATTGAACCCGTCACCCAAGGAGTAAACATAGTAGTCAATTGGTAGTTTATCAGTCCTTACTCTCCTCCCTCCCTCCCCATGTTTGGAGTCCCCAGTGTCTGCTCTTCCTGTCATTATATCAATGGGTACCCAATGTTTAGCTCTCATTTATAAGTAAGAACATGTGGTATTTGGTTTTCTGTTTCTGCACTAATTCACTTAGGAGAATGGCTTCCAGCTGCACCCATGTTGGTGCAAAGGACATAATTTTCTTTTTTTATGGCTGCACAGTATTCCGTGGTGTATTGTACCACATTTTCTTTATCCAATCCACCATTGATGGGCATCTGGGTTTATTCTATGTCTTTGCAGCTATTGTGAATAGTGCTGCAATAAACATGTATATGCATGCAAAGCTGAAGCCCAGTTTCTTCTTTTATGCCAGGTTTCCTCTTCTCTTTATTGAGCAGCCTCACTGATGTTGAACAGAGCAGCTCAAAAATAATCCCATTTCACCCAATGAATAAAATGTTTTTATGTCATTTCCTTCTGTCCTGGGTAGGGCAAGAAATGTTCTCAGGTTGTCAACAATCGAGGGATCATAGGTTCTTCATTTTGGAGAGCACGATTGGCAAGGATCAGATAAAAGACAAGAGGAAAAGGGAGAGGAGAAATAGAAGCAGATCAAAGACAAAAAGGAATAGGAGGAAGAATCAGAAAGTGGGGTCCCAGAGGCTTCTGTGGGGTCACAGAGACAAAGGGGTTGTTCCTCATACCTTCTCTTTGCAGGGAATACCTGGGAGTCTGAAAACCTTTGTTCAAATAGTAACTCTGTCATATATCTTTTTTACATGACTTTTGAGAGTTATTCAGTCTCTCTGAACCTCACAGCATTATTATTACTATTATTTTTTACCACACAGCATTATTGGGAAAAGGGGTATGCCATGAAAGTCCCAAGAAGGAGACAGGTATCCTATACTTGTTGAATTTGCAGCTAACAGCTATTGAAATGGCCACCAGTACCATCAGATACTGTCCATGATTACCATGTTCTAAAATGGCCCCTAACCCCAGGAAAGGTACAAACATAAACTTCAAAATTGAATTTGAATAATATGCCCCTTTGCACTTAAAGATGACTCTATTTTTAAAAATTCTTAGAGCAATATTTTAAATTTTAGGGTTTATATTTCATTGAAAATTTGTAAACTATGCCAAACTATGACAATAAAATTGTTGTAAAAGAAGAAATCATCACATAGTTGAGTTTAAAAAAAAGAAGTGGGAGGAAGAAGAGAAGAAAAAGACAGAGATGAAGAAGAAGGAGAAGGAGCAGGAGCAGGAGTAGAAGGAGAAGTTGGAGGAGGAGAAGAGAAAGAGGAAGGAGGAGGAAAAGGAGGAGGACGAGGAGGAGGAGAACAATAATAATAACTATGGCAATCAGTCTTGGGTTAATTATTTTGCCCTCAATGCATTAAATCTAGAGAGAACTGTGCAAAAATGCCCCAAAGAGGAAGGTTATTTGAGAGGTAAAGAGCCAGTTAAGAAACAGATAATCTACTTTCTCCCATCTCCTCATTGTTACTCTTCAGGAAAGCACTGCCTGCATGACGAGGGAGAGAGGCTGAAGAGGATGGGTGAGCAGGGCACCATGTCTACCAAATAAACCCATGTAGGCCCAGTCCACATGATAGCCCAGTGTTTTCCAGTGGGTGCCCCACTAAAACGTGAATCCTTTAAGGAGTTCTCTGACAGAAGATTCTGGACAAATGTATTTGGGAAATGCCACAAACCATGCTCCTCTTTTACAGAGTGTTCCAGTGCTCATTAGCACATCAAAGGCTCTGGTAAGTTCTGAGGCTGAAAAGGATACTGGCTTTGCTTGTTATCCCTGAGGAGCTAGGGTTCCCTGGTCACCTTTTGGGAATCACTGGACTGACAACAACAGTATATAAAGTTAACACATCCCATTTGTACACCACTGTAGAGTTTACAAAAAGTGTTCACCTATTATAAGTTTATTTAATCTTCCTTCCAATACGTTGAAAGAGATTTTATGATGACTTCACTTTCCATTTCACAAATAACGAATCTGAAGTCCAAATGTTTAGGATGGCCAGGCACAGTAGCTCATGCCTATAATCCCATCACTTTGGGAGGCCAAGGTGAATGGATCACTTAAGCCCAGGAGTTTGAGACCAGTGTGGGCAATATGGCAAAGACCCATCTCCAAAAAAAAGAAAATTAGCTCGGCATGGTGGGGTGTCCCTGTAGTCCCAGCTACTTGGGCGGCTGATGTGGGAGGATCACCTGAGCTCAGGGAGGTCGAGGCTGCAGTGATCTATGATCCTGCCACTGCACTCCAGCCTGGGTGAAGAACCTATGACCCTCGATTGTTGACAACCTGAGTGAGATCCTGTCTCAAAAATAAATACATAAATAAAAGTTTAGGTAACTTGTCAAGATCACTCAGTGAGTAGGAAAGCTAATGTTAAGGCCCCAGTGTCCTAACACTTTTTCTTGTTAGAGGAATATTGAGAGGTTAATTCAGGGTGTTAAAAACGCTCTTTTCCTGAGGGGTCCACTTACTCTTTCATTCATCTGCTCAGGACACATTTGTTCTTGGATGTGTAGGAACCTGGGATAGGCTCTGAGTCTCCAGAGGCTATAAAAGATAATCCGGTTTCTCAATGAGAAATGCCTCGTAAGTGTTAGGTGACTAGACTTGGGTTCTTCTTTTAAAGTCTTATTTAACTGACTTTCCCATATTTATGATTTAGCCATGATAATGCATTGTAAATATGAACTTTTGCATAGTACATGTAAGAGCAACTCAAGAAATACATATTTTATTATATTAAATTGCAGGTCACTCACATATATTTCAAGAACGACATACAATTTACTTAAATTGAGTACAAATTATCTGCATTTACTGACTTCATGCCAGGGTCAAGGCTAGCTGTATATGCCAGGTGAACTCACTCAGTATTAACAACAATCCCACCAGAAAGGTGGGATTCTGTTTGTAATTCTGTTTTGTAGATGAGAGAACTCAGGCTGGGAGGGAGGATGCTATCACTTGTCTAAGATGACAGTTACTAAGTAGAAGAGCGGGATCTGATCCAAGACTGCCTAATTTTAAATCCAGAGCTCTCCAAATCCCACCATGCAGTCCTACCAGGACAAGCTGTGTAATTTGTGGAGCCCAGGACAAAATGAAAATTCAGGACCCTTGTTTACACAGTATTAAGAATTTCAGGATGGCCAGCTGGGCGCAGTGGCTCATACCTGTAATCCCAGCACTTTGGGAGGCCAAGGCAGGCGGATCACTTGAGGTCAGGAGTTTGAGACCAGCCTGAGCAACATGGCAAAACCCCATCTCTACTAAAAATACTAAAACTAGCTGGGCATGATGATGCAGGCCTGTAGTCCCAGCAAGTCCAGAGGCTGAGGCAGGAGAATCGCTTGAACCCAGGAGGCGGAGGTTGCAGTGAGCCAAGACTGCACCATTGCACTCCAGCCTGGGCGACAGAATGAGACTCTATCTCAAAAAACAAAAAAGAAAAAAGAATTTCAGGATGGTGCCATCAGGGCATTAAACCAAGTGCAAAGCTCTTCTGAGCATGGGCCCCTGTGCAGTGGCACAAGTCACACCCTGATGAAGCCTGTCCTGCATCCCACCAGTCCACACACCAAACATAAGTTCCTTTCCTTTCACCTCACAGGTACGTTCCAGAAGACAGGTTCTTTAGTGTTCACTCACAATTTTGTCAAATCTATGATTTCTTCTCAATGAGAAGTAACTTTGAGCATTGGGTAGATGCAATGAAAGACATTTTCTCACAGTACAGCCCTAGAAAAAGGCATCCAATGGGCCACTTCCCCAAGCTGCTGTTTCGGGGAGGATTTGCTTTTCTGTTTCTGCTGATAGGTGAGGGTCTTGTCCAGAGAAATACAGCCCTGTTGGTTTTATTGCTTGGAAATCAGAGAATGTAGAGCAAAGGGAAGATGAACTGAGTCCAAGGTTCATCTAGAAGTGGTTTCCAGAAACAGAAATGGACACGGGATGTCTGAAAACAGATTTCCAATGTAGCTCTCCATTTCCACTTCCTGATAAACTCACTGGAATTATCTTGTTTAAATCTGGCAAAACTCACCTTGTGTTTCAGTGGGGATTTCCTGGGGAGGTCACTCAATGTAGAAACAGTGCCAGCAGCACAAAGTGCCATGTCCTTTGTGCCCCTGTATCTTTGTTCCTTCAATGCCACAGAAAGGCTCCATGACACCGTCTTGCAAACAGATCCCCCCACCCAACCACTGCCAACCTGCACCCTCTTGGCTCCATGGAACTGTTGATTCTTGACACTGAGATACCGTGTAGCAACTGCATTGCCTGCAGCTCTAAGCCCTGTCGGCACACAAACTGGGAGGTCACCGATCACAGGAATCCACTCCAGCAAGTGTCCCAGACACCATGTGCAATTCTGGGACATGAAGAGTTTCGGGATGAACAATTCTGATCATCTGGGGCTTTATTGTTGGATTGGATTTTTTTATAGCAATAATTCCTTTCAGTGATTCTAGAAAATGTCAACTTGCTGTGATGAAGGACATGCAGAGCCATCCTTACATGTATTTCCAGTGTCAGTGGAGGTAGAATTATTATCTTCTAGAGCAATTGTTCTTAAATTTTAGGAAATGTAAAACCACCTCAAAGTAGTTGCATATTTCTGAGATGTACATCAAGGTAGTCTAATTCCAGGGACTGGGGGTTTGACAAACATCTCTAGTAATTCTCAAGCAGGTGATGCCTGGCATATTGGTTTAATCAATGCCCAAGAAAGCCTACAGGCTCTTGGATGCACCCTCATTGGCCAGTGTACATTTTTCCCCTCTGGGGAACAGCTTTCATACCTTGGCTGTATTCTGTGTTCTGGGAAAAGCAGTTCGATTCATCACACCTCACCCTGTATTCCAGTTCTTTCTCACCTGCTATGGGTTCTGGGAAGCCCGTGGCATCTCATGCTTCCTAGGATCTAGTTACTTTCAAAACAATAGGGGTTAATTCTGATAAGAAATTCTCCATGGTTTCCTAGATATCTCAGGGACATTGCACTCTCTCTTTCCTCTCATGAGCCAGGTTTAAAAGGCTATGAAAAGGTATGACTCTAGATGGAAACATCTGATCCAGACGTGGTTGGCTCAAAAAGTCAGAAACATTTTACAGTAAGGATGCTTCTTTCTTCTACATAACTCTTCTTCCTCTTCCACACAACTAAGGATATTGTCTATTTTTCCAGGAATTGGAGAATACAGAAGAAAGAGGACTGAAAGTAAATGGGGCTGAATAGAAAAAAATATTTTAAAGTATGAGTTCATAATAGCTGGAGCTGGTGAGTCACAGGGAGGAGCTAAGAAAAGTTTCTTCATTTGACATGTAAGTGTAACCACCTTCCCAAGCAGAAATAGCACCATCTGTATCAACCATTCCCAAACTTTGCTCCAAGAAAATTAAATGAGTTACAGGATTTACATTGCAGGGCAGTGGAGCAAGTCCCCGAAATTCAGTGCTTGTTTTCCATGTAGTTAGTGCCCCCTAGTGGCCGAGAGGACCTTCCCTCATCTTGGAGGCCCCTCCAATCAGATCTGTCCCTTGAATTAATGTTGAGTCCTTAGTTGCTTGTGAGATGACCAGGGACTGAAGACCGAGGTTGGGAATGGAAGCAACTTCACTGACTTGGGGGCATACTGTGTGCCAAGCATTTCCCATTGATTGTCTCATTAAATCCTTCAAAATCCATGACAGGGTTACAATTAGGACCCCATTCTACTGTTCAGTAGTTGAAGTGCAGTTAAGTTCCTTGTCTAAGCAACCTGAGGGGAAGGACTGCAGAAAGATCCTGGGGTCATGGGCTCTCAGCACATGGCAAGAAGGAAAGGGAGAGAAGCTGCACCTCGCATTCCTCTGGGGGTGCCTCTTTGCCAAGTCAGCCCTGCTGCACGGTGTTTCCCCTTTGCCGAAGGCTGCTGATGCATCTCCAACCCTTTCTTGGGATGAGCTGCAGGTGGCATCAGGAAGCCTATGGCGTGGAGAGCCCTCAGGACTGAGTTTTTCCAGGGATAATTACTCTGGCAGCATTTGTTTTTTGTGCCTGATGATTTGATTCAAAAAGAGTTGTTTTTCTCTCTTTCTATAAAACCAAAAACGCTGCACCCGTAGGGAGATTTCTCTGTTTTTTTCTCCCCACTTTTCTAGTCACATACAATGACCTATTGTTCAGACCCTTACAGGAGCCCCCCTTTATGGTCTATGTCTATATGGAAATTGCTTTTCACACTAAAACTAGACTTGCACCAAGTCTATCCTGTAGGTAGTGGAGGTCACTTGTTTAATTTGAATTGTTGATTGACAATTAGAGCACACTGGGAATTTTAGATAAGACCCTTCACCCAATCCATCCTGATGGAAGGGTGAGGGCCACAGTGTCTCATTCAATAACGTAGAAACTGGAGGTGCTTAAATAGTGAGAATTACGTCCAAATGATAAATGATTTGTGTAAAACCCTAGGGTTTTGCCTAGAGTAATATTAAACCTACTGCCAGAAAAACATTTAATGTCAGAAAGAAAATGCTGGAAATGAGCCGGCTTCACTCTATTTGCATGAGGCATGCTTGAGGATGAGGACATCTTGGTCCTCGCTGCAATAAGCTCGGCCTGGATGGTGCCAAGGAAAAATGGCTGAGACCAGGATGGTGGAGGTCACTACAAAGCTGATCTGCAGGCATCTTCTGCCCAAGAGTCCCCCTGAGCAACCATAGGATACAGGGCCCTGCCTTGGGCAGCTACAGAGAAATCACATTCACCTGCAGAGCTCCTGCTGCTTTCAGCAGCACAAGGTGTAGCAGTAGTGAGAACCGTCTTCAGAAAGGTGCTGCCCTCTCACGTCACAGGGCAACTGGCTTGAAAAGCCATACCTTGGCTTCAAAGGAGGCCAAGCATATAATTATAAGGAGGTAATGAGAGGTGTTTTTAACTCTGTGTTTTAGACAGGCAAATCTGCACAGGAAAGATTTGTCTTTCATTCAGTTACATTTGTTGAAAGCCCAGTGGCTGTTGGAACGTTTAAGGAACAAGCTCATACTGTAACTAAACAGCATGTACAGAATGAGGTCAGAAGGGGTCAGACATTGGGTCTTAGATTACCAAGAATCCCAAACTGCAGATGATCTGGCTGATGGACCAAACATCAGACCCAAATCCTTACAAGTACATATCACTAAACCACAAATAGCACCAGTTTTAAAGAGAAGACAAATCATCAGGAAGAAATCAATGAAACCCACCACAACCACTAATGGATTCATTAGAAGGAACCCAAACTCAAAACTCTGTGTTTTCTAAATCGCCGGACATGGAATAAAATCGCATCACCAGAGCGGTCCTAGAACTGAGCTGGGCAGCAGTGTGACCTCACTTGGAGAAAGTTCCCAGGGTACAGAAGATCAGCATATTTTGCCTGACAGATCCTCAAGCTCAGTAAGACATTATTAGAGCACAGTAGCTGAGTATGCACAAGAACTGCATTCATTACAGAGGACTACCCTTTAAGTTAACAGAATTACCCTCCCAAAGCTCTATGCACTGGGGATTTAAGAACTCCAGTTTGCTGTAATGTTTTTAACAAGATACGTGTGAGTCTCAGTGTGTGTGTGCATGTATGTGTGTGCCTTTTCTTTATAGGACTATTCTGCCTCCTCCTTAGCACCTTTCATCTTTTCCCCTGAGGTTGCATTCATATTTCTCTGGATTGCTTAGACCCCAACCACCCCTAAAAATTTCAGTTTCTAGAAAATCCCATCCTCCAAGAAGCTTAAAGAATTTTGATTGCTTGCAAACAAACAAACAAAAAAGCACACAGTGGAGGACTCATATTCCCCTACTTTACAGAAAATAAGAAAAGGTGAAGCATCAATTACCTTCTCATTGAGTCCTTCACCACGCTGTACAGCTATCCTTCCTCTGAAGACGCTGCTTGGTCATTACCTCACTGGGCTGGGAATCCAGCAATCCCACAGGGAGGCATGCTTCAACGTACCATGAAATGGGCTGATGTACCAGGAGCACAAGCCTAGGGGTTTCCCAGAGTGGTAGAAATTGAAATCAAAGGATTCTATACCATTGGTGAGGATTCACAAGAGAACATGGTCATTATAATGACACTATGATGTCTTGATGGGATACTTCAGCCATTCCTTTAAGCTTACCTCCAGTCTCAACTTCAATCCTCTTAATCCTAGAAGCATTTCCCAACTACTATCCTCCCACCAATGTCCCAGTTTTCTTAAAATCATATAGAGCAGAACACTTTCTGGAAACCCATAAGAGATAGATTGTTACCCTATAGCTGCAAAAATTATTGTAATTTCTTACAGCCTGTTTTGGTAGACAGTATGGCCAATACTGTCTTGGTTTAAATAAGATGATGCAAATCAGATACAGAATGATTCTGCTTTTGGAAATGCCTAGCACACAGGAAAGATGTTTGTGCAGTGAGGTACTATAAGAATTTTTATTAATGACAGCTTTGCAATTAAATGTACATTCACTAAATATGGAAACAAGTGAGAACTAACAATAAAAAGGAGTTCCAAGAAAATTGTCACGGCATGAACTGAATGGACTCATACTGGGCCAGCACTTTCGGTCTTGGCATGAACAGCTTCATCATTCCAGAACTTTCTTGATTTCCAAGGTTTGTCTGAAAAACAAAACAAGAAGACTTTGTAGAAAATGATTCATGGATCCACTAATATGGGCAAATATGTCACTGTCTCAGCCCATTCCAGAACCCCATGGTTATTCCACATTAGGTGGATCCTGACTGCACACTGAGTGAAAGCCAAGACCCTCACTCAGGTCTCCCAACTCTAACCCTCTGCTCCAGCTTCCCCTAAGTTTTCTGACGTTTTCAACAGGTTTTGCTGATTCCTTGTTCTGCATTGTTATTAAATCTTGCTTCTGCCTCCCTTAAGAATCTTCACCCTCACTTCTCCACAAATTTATGTTCTCAACTTTCTTTAAGATCTAATGGAAAATAGGTTTCAAAAAGCACTCCTCTACCTTCCCTGTCACAATTTTACAATTCATTCTTTACTTACTGCCACTAACACTTACAGAAATAACATAAAATAACTATTACTCTTGCTTACATCTTATGGGAAATTGCTCCTCAATTTTTGCATATGTGTGTATATTTTGACTGTCCAGTAATTTCTTTGAATGCAAAGTCAGTGCATTATTTTATTAAAAATCACAGTGCCAAGGATAGCCTGGAAGCAGGATAGAGATTCCTCTCATGCTGATCATGACCTGCCAACCAATTTGTGTCTTGACTGCTCCATTCTCAAGCTGACTTCCAAGATCACACATCATTCTCAGTCCACAAACAAGCCTTGATATCACCTTTCTTTAAAAGGTCTCTCCCCAGATTCTACATCATTTCCAACTGCTGCTCTTTTTTTCTGCTCTCTTTATATTACATCACAATGAGTCCAAAGAATTGTGTAAATTCTCTCTTTATTTGCTCACTGCACATTCTCTATCCCCACCTCCATCCACTTCATTCAAGATTTTGAAGACTACTCTGCTTAAGGTTTCCTACGGCTTCCATCTGGCCAAATACAGTGTTGAACTCTCATACTCCATCTTCTTAAAACTCTCATCACTGAGCATTAGAGACATGCAAATCAAAACCACAATGAGATACCATCTCACGCCAGTCAGAATGGCGATTATTAAAAAGTCAAGAAACAACAGATGCTGGCAAGGCTGTGGAGAAACAGGAATGCTTTTACACTGTTGGTGGGAATGTAAATCAGTTCAACCATTGTGGAAGACAGTGTGGCAATTCCTCCAAGAACTAGAACCAGAGATACCATTTGACCCAGCAATCCCATTACTGAGTATATACCCAAAGGAATAGAAATTATTCTATTATAAAGATACATGCATGCGTATGTTCACTGCAGCACTATTCACAATAGCAAAGACATGGAATCAACCCAAATGCCCATCAGTGATAGACTGGATAAAGAAAGTGTGGTACATATACACCATGGAATATTATGAAGCCATATAAAGGAACGAGATCATGTCCCTTGCAGGGACATGGATGGAGCTGGACGCCATCATCCTCAGCAAACTAATACAGGAACAGGAAACCAAACACCATATGTTCTCACTTACAAGTGGCAGCTAAACAATGAGAATACATGGATGCAGGGAGGGGAACAACACACACTGGGGTCTGTCAGCGAGGGGCTGAAACGAGGGAGAGCATCAGGATAAATAGCTAATGCATGCTGGGCTTAATCCCTAGGTGATGGGTTGATAGGTGTAGCAAACCACCATGGCACACGTTTACCTATGTAACAAACCCGCACTTCCTGCACATGTATCCCAGAACGTAAAATTTAATTTAATTTAATTTAAAAAACAAAAACTCTCATCAGGCCAGGCACGGTGGAACATACCTGTAATCCTAGCTGCTCAGGAGGCTGAGACATGAGAATTTCTTGAACTGGGAGGTGGAGGCTGCAGTGATCCGTGATTGAACCACTGCACTCCAGCCTAGGTGACAGAAAGAGACTGTCTCAAAACAAAAACAAAAGCAAAAACAAAAGCAAAACAAAACATAACTCTCATCAGTATTTGACATTTGACTTTCAGAGGACCATACTCTGTAGACTGCTCTCCCACCTTGTCAGTCGCATTGACTGGCATCTCCTCTTCTTCCTGACCTCTAAGCCCTCTTGTAGTCTTGACTGCAATATGTAAGCCATTTGTCTGAGCTTCTTTCAGGTCCCAGTCCCAACTTGTCTTTTTTTTTTTTTTTTTCAGATGGAGTTTTGTTCTTTTTGCCCAGGCTGGAGTGCAATGGCACGATCTCGGCTCACTGCAACCTCCGCCTCCCGGGTTCAAGTCATTCTCCTGCCTCAGCCTCCCAAGTAACAGGGATTATAGGTGTATGCCACCATGACTGCCTAATTTTGTATTTTTAGTAGAGACGGGGTTTCACCATTTTGGTCAGGCTGATCTTGAACTCCTGATCTCCAGTAATCCACCCGCCTCAGGCTCCCAAAGTGCTGGGATTACAGGTGTGAGCCACCGTGCACGGCCTTCAGTCCTTTTAACCCTAGAAGTGCTTCCTAATTTCCCCAATGTCCAAGTTTTTCCCGAAGCATATGGAGCTCAGTTCTAAGACCTTTCTCTATCTACACTTACTCCTTAGGTAATACTCTCCACTTGCATGCCTTTAATTACCATTTATGTTCTAATGGCTCCCCAATTTATATTTCCATCCTTGACCTTTCCCATGATTCCTGGACTTGTGTATTCTACTTCCTACTTGACACTTCTGCTTGGATGTCCGATAGACACACAGATTTATGACATAACAATACAAATATTTTATTATCTGTCCCTTAGCCTACAAGATTCTATTGCTCTCCTCTGTCCTGTGTTATATGCTTTCTTTTGCAATGCCAGCTGAAAGGCTGGAAACTTTATCTGTCAGATTCTTCTGCCTTTCAGTTTCTGGTTGCAGCTATATTCTGCTAATGAGGTGCACTAGTGAGAGATTTCAAAGATGAAAGAGCACAGAACATACTCTTCTTCCCCATGCATCAATGTAGGACACGAAAGCTTTGGCAGACAAGAGTTTTTGCGGTGGCTTCTGGGTGATCCATTCCAGTTACTCTTCTCAGTGCTGTAGGGCAGCACTAGTTTTCCTTTACTTTCCTCATCTGAGTGGTAGCAACAACTTCTGAATTCACTGGCCCAAGCAGTGACAGCAGAACTAAATACTACCGGGCACCTTCTCTAACTTGTGTTTCCTCAGCTAATCCAATGCTTTTGAAAGCACTCGATTCCCTTTATTAAACCACTTCATACTTAATACACCTGGAGTGGTTCCTTTTTTCCTGCATGAGTCCTCACTGATACAGCACCTCATCTCCTCAGTTAACACCACCACCATTTACCCAGTCGCTAAAAACAGAAACCTAGCAGTTATCCTTGACTCCTTCTTTCCCTTTACGTCCCACATAAACACAGCGAAAAGTCAGGCTGGATTTTTCTCCAAAATATGTACTGAATCCCATTATTCTACACTACCCCTGCTATAACTACTCTAGTGAAATGCACGGTCTTCTCTCTCCTAAACAGTTTCAGTCATCTACTAACCAGCTTCCACTCTGGTCTCATGACAGTCTGTTATCAATATGTTAGTCAGAGTAATCTTTTTAATATGCAAATAAGTTGCATCATTCTCCAACTCAAAACCATTCAATAGATTACCATCTCAATTCTGATAAGATCCAAACCCCTTACTTTAGCTGACAAGGTCTTGAAACTCCAACCTTTGCCTACCTGAATGGGCTCCGTCCTTCAACCATTACCCTGTTCCAGCTGCACTGGCCAAGTTAATTGTTTGTTTCCACCCACTGTGTATTTAATATTTTCTGTGCCTCCATTGCTTTTTCTCTATTCCTCCCCATGGCTTGTTCTCCCACTGCATTCAGATCTCAAAAATCACCTCCTCAGATCGACCTTTCCAGACCACCCCATCACTTTCACTGCCCCTTCCCCTGCTTTTATTTTTCTTCATAATACATCCCATTATCAAAAATTTTATTTCTTCTTTATTAATTTTTTGAGGGGTTATCTACATTCTCCACTAAAATGTTAGCTTCAAGAGGACTTGGTCAGCTAGTTGGCTGCTGCATCCTATTACCTAGGAACTATGTGCACCTGGCACATAGCGGGAATTCTATAAAAGTGCTTAAATACATATCAGTTGGATTTCTTGCCCCTCTAATCAGAGAGCTTGGATTTTCCAGGAGGAACTGTTGGCTGATTTTCTCAGGATGTCCCCTCCCTTGACCAGCCACAATGATAATATCCTGGGGAAATCAAAAGGAAAGCTTGAGAACCCCGCAGGAGCACCTGTCAAGGGCTGAAACAGGATGGCACAAAGGCTCCTGAAAATGTGGCACGGTTAGCTCACAACTCCTCATGCCAATAATGGCGCACAAGGCACAGAGAAACCAAAGTGATGGAGTGGGATTGATTTTTGGTAAAGTGGTTTATTTTTGATTTTTGAAAGCCCAAGATAATTTGTGATGCAGACATGTCTCCAAAATGTGGTTGGGCTTAGGCTGATGAAAACTTGAGTTACATGCCTCCTAGTCAGAAAATAGGTGAACAAGAAGGTAGCAGAGTATTAGAAAACCTGGCTGAGTTCACTCATCTTCTGTGAATAACTCACAAAATTGATTATTCCAAGGTAGACAAATGAGAGTTGTATGCACAAATGTGCTTTGGCTGAATGTGAAAGTTTTAGAAGGATTAATTACTTAGTTAATCACACATTTTCTAAGTCATTTTCTCTTCCTCCTCTTCCTCCATCTCCTTTCTTCCTTATTCACTTCCATGATTCTTTATTCCTGGAAGCATGTTTTATGCATTATCTCATTTAATCCTTATAACAAACCTCTGAGCTATGGTCTCTGTTTTACAGAAGAGAAACCCAACCCTTCAAGAGTCATCTAGAGGGAATGTGGCACACCTCGACTTCACTCCCTGGTTTCTCCAACTGTAACTCTGCTGCTTCCCCACTTTATGTATCTCTTGGGTTAACTTTTCTTTTCATCACTTATGGATGGTCACTTGTCCCTACTCTTTAAATCCTTTTGTCAACAACAACAAAAGATTCTTAAAGATTTTGAAAGTGCAAAGGAACCTAGAAACAGGATCCAGTGTCATTCTTTCATTTTACAACTCAGGAGACTGAGGCTTAGAGGGGAACAATTGTTTGTTGAAAGTCACATACTGAGTAAGTACTGAGCTATGTCTCCTGACTCCTAATACAGCATTCCTTCTTCCTATCAATAGTCAAGTACTTTTCCTCTGCATAATTGATTTCATACTATTCAAATTTCATATGAAGATGCACTAATGAGAAATGGCTTAAAATTAAAACTTGGGTTGCATTAAATATCATATTTACAAATAATAAAGGCCATCCTCCTCCCACTATCACACGATTATCCCACACACCTTTCAACCAATGCTGAATATTCAGTATTCATAAGATGCACATTCTTACACTGGGTAGCTTGTATGCATCAAGAGTTGGGTGCCTAGACATTCTTTAAGGCTCCTCACTGAGTTTTCAGACTTTTTTCACATTTATAAATGGCAATGGTGAAAGAGCGATTATCTCTATGCTCTAGGAATCTCACAGGTATAGCACATGGGATTATCTATTTATAAAAAGTTCTCCAAGATCCATCTTATGAATCCAATAGATAACACTTGCCATGAATCCAACAGACTGCCCTTAAATGCTTAGCATGAATCTTATTCAGTACAAAAATTCCAAATTTCAAGGTTATCAAGGGCACAGATCACTCACCTATAATATACCTAGACTCTTATTGGGTATTCAGCTAAAAACAAGGAAAATTCATTTAAAATGTCCCTGAAGTTCATTATCTGTGTGCATAGGTTTTTAAAACTTATTTATAATACTCATTATGTTTCCATATATAACATTCTTAAATTGATAGACACAGTCCACATATTCCCAGAAGGGGTCCACATAATGGATCAACCCCCTTGCTCAGTGAATATACATCATGTATCAAAATCAAGGTTGCCACTACACATGTAATATAATGGACAAATGAAAAGTTAATGGAGAACAGAAAGCAACGGAAAATTACAAGTTAAGAAAGAAAATGATCTAAAGGCCAGTGAAACTTCTTTGGTTGCCAATTTTCTGCCTTGGTGGAATTATTTCCGAGGGGCCTAAATTAGCAAGGGTGATTTCAGAGGCATTGAGCAAAAAGTTCAGAATGAAATGCGCGAGACGTGAGCTCCAAAAGCTAGTAAATACTGATACATTTGCATTTTAACTATTTCCCCCACCCCCAACCACCGAAGGTGTAATTCCTTCTATAAAGAAGCTCCTTGATAACAGCCCAAGATACTAAATGCTATCTGCTTGGGCACTGGAGGACACAGCTCAGGGCTTTAACTACTGGAGGAGGGGAACCATGTTTTCTCTGTTAAACAGGACAGAGAAGATGCTTTTTGATAGAAGCATCAATCTAATATTCAAAGAAATTATTTTCCCTGAGCAAGAAAACAAGGTGAAGCTAGCCACATAATACATATTAATAATAGTAACTGGGGAAATTATTCATTCTATTTGCCAAGGATTTCATTTCTCCCTCCTTCAGGCACATAGCAGAATTTTTTTTTTTTACTTGCTTCTTTTAAGGCTCCACTCAACTACTTAAGCATTTCTAGCCAAGTTCTCAGCAGACTGATGTTTCATCACTGCAGACAAACCAGGTCTATTCTAAGTGGGACAAGCATTTACTGAGTGCCAGATAATTTGTTAAGCGCTTTACTTGCATTAAGTCATTACTTTTCACAATAATCCTATGTGGTGAGTATTCTTATTTTGCCATTTTACAGATGAGGGAATTGAGGCCTAGAGTAAGTAAGTGGTTTACCCAAGGTCACAAAGCTACCAAGTGATAGAGCTCGGATTTGAACCTAGGGAGTCTGGATCCAGCACCTAGACTCTCGACTACTCCAAAGATGAGAAGCCGTTTTGCCTGTGCAAGAAAGAAGAATGAAGCTGTCTGTCTGGGGTTAAAGCATGTGTGCATATGATGGTCAAGGACTCAACCAGGAGCCAATAGTACCTTTTTTTATTTTAAAATGAACAGGAACTTTATTATAAGTTAACAGAGACTTTTACTCTATTCATAGAATTAAATTTGTCAGGATTCTCCAGAGAAATCAAATGCGCATGTGTGTGTGTGTGTGTGTGTGTGCGTGTGTGTGTGTATTTAAATAAATTTATTATAAAGAATTGGCTCATATGATTATTGAGGCTGGCAAGTCCAAGTCCCAGTGTGGACCAGCAGGCTGGAGACCAGGAGAGCCAATGGTGCAGATGAACTCTTGAAGGCAATTGCTGAAGAATTTCCTCTTGCTCGGGGAAGCTGGTCTTTTTGTTGTACTCAGGCCTTCAACTGATTAGATGAAGCCCATCCACATTATGAAGAGCAATGCACTTTACTTAGTGTATCAATTTAAACGTTAATTTCATCCCAAAATGTCTCCAAGTTGACACATAAAATCAACCATCCTGGAATAGGGGTTGATTCGACGGTTCAGAATACATGGCAAAGCCAACACCAGAGCTCAGATAGATCATCTGGCTCCCCAGTCAGCATGACCAAACACCACGCCAGTCCCCCACAGAGCCCTGAAAAACATCCACCACCCCCAAGGTAAAGAGCAGGGAAAGGATTAAGACTTTATGTTCTTCTAGCTCTGCTCTGCAGCCTGGCAAGGACTTAAAAGAACTTCCACTCCTTTTTGTCAATTCTTTTGTAAGTTGACACTACAACTAAAAGATTTTTTTATAGACAGCAATGTTCTCTTATTTACTGTTTAGAAGGTTGGTAACACAGGAAGCACAAAACAGCACCTAAAATTAGCTAAGGAATATGACTTTCCTAAGCAACATCACTTTTGTTGATAAGAACTTTAGCTTGACCCCTTCAATTAAGAAAGACTGGATCTGGCCCGTGATAAGGAAGAGGAGGCAGACTGCATTTGAGCCCATCCAAGGGTTGCATTTTAATTGCTTCTTTTATCCTGGGAGCTCCTGGCTTCTTCCTGAATGACTCCTCTTGTCTCCCCACCATCTGCCACACTTCCTGACATTACCAAAGCAGGAGTCAAACATTGTGCTTGGTAATACTGACAATAAACTCACTCAAATACATCATTTTGCTCAAGGCATTGTTTAAAGGCATTGCTTAAAGGCATTTGCTTAAAGGCACTGTTTCATCATCTGCACATATAAGATACTTGTACAAACATGAACTGGATAGAAAAAAACTCAGGATGCAGATTCCATATGTGCAGAAATTATATAAGCAGGATACTGTCAGAATTTAAAAGTTCAATAAGTTTATCCAAAGTCGATCGTTCTTTTCCTTAGGATTCCCCATCTCCACATGACTTGTGTGCCAATAGCTGCTATGTGGAGCACTTCCTAGGAGAATGGCACTGGCTTAATGCCTCCCCAATAGTGAGTGCTGGAGCCAGAAACTGAACCTCACACTACCTAGACCAGGAGTTAGCAATTTTTTTTTTGTTTTTTGGGGGTTTTTTTGGTAAAGAGTCAGAGAGTAAATATTTTAGATTTTGCAGGAAATACAGTCTCTGTCGCAACTACTCAACTCTGCTGTCATAGAACAAAACTGGTCTTTGAAAATAGGGACAACGAAGAAGCATGGCTATGTTTCAATAAAACTTTTGTGGACACTCACAGCTCGTACAAAACAAGCAGCTCACTGAGTTTGACCCATGAGCTGTAGTTTGCCAATCCCTGATCATGGTGATCACAGGTCACGGCTTGAGAAAGAACTGTAGAATGACACTAAGAATTAGGAGTGAAACCCAATTGCACTAACAGATTACTTCTGCTAGCCTTTCAGAAGATTTAACCATTAATTAAAGCTTGGGGAAAAAAGGCCAGATCTCCTGTTAAGTGAATTTAAGTATCAAGAGAACAAGTAGCAGATGTTGGGGTATGTATGTGGAACAAAGTGACTTTGACTTCGGCTCTAAAATTCTGTTTAAGGATATTTGTGCTAAGAGTAGAAAGGAAAGGAGTGATGGAAAGAATACTATCTTTCAGAATCTAAGTGTAGGAAGATGCCCTGGGAATGAGTCAATGTTCTTTTTTTTTTTTTTTTCCTTTTTCTGTTCTAGCCAGGTGGACACTGGAATGTCATCTTGCCTTTTCTTAAGAGAGTAGACCCCAGTGTCTATCGTTCCCTTCTTTGTGTCCCTGTGTACTTACTGTTTAGCTCCCACTTATAAGTGAGAGCATGAAGTATTTATTTAGTTTCTATTCCTGCATTAATTCACTTAGCATTATGACCTCCAACTCGATCTACGTTGCTGCAAAGGACATGATCTCATTTTGTAACAACTGTATAGTATTCCATGGTGTATATGTACCACATTTTCTTTATCCAGTCCACCGTTGAGAGTGGGAGGATGGTGAGGATTGAAAAACTATCTATCAGGTATTAGGCCGATCACCTGGGTGACAAAATTATCTGTACACAAAGCCCCCATGACACACAATTTACCCATGTAACAAACCTGTTACATGTGCCCTTTCAACCTAAAATAAGTTGAAAAGAAAATAAATAAATGAACAAATAAAAAGAAAGTAATGCAATCCATCCTATATATGAAGAAGAAAAATAGCATGACCCTATCAATAGAAAGGAAAGCACTTGAGAAAATCGAATACCCTTTCATGGTAAAAACCAGCTCAATAATACAGGAGAATTTCCTTAACTTGATAATGAATATTATTAAAAAATGTAGAGCTACCATCATAACCAACATGGTGAGAAACTAGAAATTACCCTGCTAACGTCGAGACCAAGGCAAGGATGTTCTCTATCAGCACCCCTTCTCAACATTTTACTGGGAGTCTTAATGCAGTAATATGAGAAAAGCGGATATATTGCTTGTGAAGAATGAAATAGGCTGCTCTTTTTCACAAATGACAGTGTTGTCTATGTAGAAAATCCAAAATAACCAAAAATAATTTCTGAAACTAGTGATTATAATAAGGTACAGGATATAAGGTTAACAAAATTAAACTGTTTTCCTATAAATTAAATTATAATTAAAAATGAATTTTAATTAAAAATAAATTGTTTTCCATTAAAATTAGCACTTTCTGAAATGAGATACTTATAAATCTAACAAAATAAGTACAAGACGAAAACAACAAAATTCTGATGAAAGAAATCAAACAGCTAAATAAATGGAGAAATATTTTATTTTTATTTCTATAAAGACTCAATATTGTCAAGATGCTACTTTTGTCCAAGTTGACCTATAGACTCAACACAATCCCAATCTAAACCCCAGGAAATTATTTTGTGGATTTTGATAAACTGCTTCTAAAGTTTATATGAGGATAAAAAGACTCAAAATAATCAATACAATATTAAAGAATAATAGAGTGAAAGGACTGATATTATTCACCTTCCATACTTATTACAATGCCATAATCATCAGGAGAGTGTTGTATTGGCAAAACAATAGGCAAATAGATCAAAGGAACAAAATACAGACCTCAGATATAGATCTACACAAATATAGTTAACTGATGATTTTTTACAAAGAATCAAAGGCAGTACAATGGAGAAAAGATAATCTGTTCAAGAAATGGTGCTGTAACAACTAAACATCCACATGCAGGAAAAAAAAAATGACTAT
This sequence comes from Homo sapiens, assembly GCF_000001405.40. Lineage (NCBI taxonomy): Eukaryota > Metazoa > Chordata > Mammalia > Primates > Hominidae > Homo > Homo sapiens. The sequence goes on along the minus strand of NC_000021.9, from coordinate 38,145,657 downwards.
AGGCCTAGCCCTTACACCCCTTTCAAAAATTAACTCATAATGGGTCACAGACCTAAATGTAAACACAAAACTATAAAACCCCTAGAAGAAGACAGGAGAAAATCTAATTCACCATGAATACAGTGGTAATATGCTGACCTTCATTGAAATTTAAAAACAAACAAAAAAGACCCAAAATTCTGTGAGAGACATTGTCAAGAGAATGAGAAGACAAGCCATGGACTGGAAGAAAAATATTTTCATAGTACATATCTGGAAAGAAATATTATTCAAGATATTCAAAGAATACTTGCAACTCAACAACAACAAAAAAATGAACAACCTATTAAAGAATGGGCAAAAGGCCTGAACAGACACTCTGTCAAAAAAGATATAAATATGGCAAATGAGCATATGAAAAAACTCTCAACATCATATGTCATCAGGAAACTGCAAGTCAAAGCAACAATGAGATGGCACTACACTTTTATTAGAACAGACAAGATATAAAACCCTGACAACACCAAATGCTGGTGAGGATGTGGGGCAGCAGGAACTCTCATTCATTGCTGGTGATTATGAAAAATATTACTAGCACTTCAGAAGACAATTTGGCTGTTACTTACAAAACTAAACAGATTCCTACCATACAATTCATCAAGGATACTTCTTGGTATTTTCACAAGCGAGTTGAAAACTTATATCCAATCAAAACCTTCTCAGGGACATGTAGAGCAGGTTTTTACATAATTTCCAAAACTCAGAAAGATGCCAATCTAAAAAGGCTCCATACTGTGTTGTTATAATGGTCTGGCATTCTGTAAAAGGGCACAACTATGGAAACAATGAAAAGAGGTTGGTGGGAGGGAGTGATTAATGGGAGGATCCCAGAGGATTTTCAGTGCAGTGAAACTGTTCTGCATGGCACTCTGTCATACAGGTATCTCTGTGGATACCTGTCATTACATATAGTCAAATCACATAAAATATATGGCACTGAGAGTGACCCTAACTTAGACTATGGGCTTTGGGTGATTATAAGTTGTCAGTGCGGATTCATCATTTGTAACAAATGTACCACTCTGGTGTGGACTGCTGACTAGGGTGATGCCATCATGTATGGAGACTGGGGGTGTGTGGAAACTTTCTGTACTTTCTTCTCAATTTTGCTGTGAACATAAACTGCTCTAAAAATAAAATATATTGAGAAACGAAAAAGAAAGAGAATCGAGCAATTTCAAGATACTGAAAGAGCTTGGAATCAGGTGTAGCTGCCTAAGGGTGAGCAGGTAGCAGCTTTACTTTCAGGGGAACGTCTAAGAAGACTGTCTGGCTCCCTGCTAGTAGCAAGGAGTCCACCCTTAGAAGGAGGGGGTAGGGAGAGACCTTTTGTTCTAGTGGTTGAGCTCTAAAGGCAGAGGCCCTCAGATCATGGCATCCTATTAGCTGAGTTTAGCTCCAAGTGAGTATCATTGGCCACTCTTAAAAAAACACAATGTCTTGGGAAAGAGCTTGGGTCAGCAGCTGCCCGGCAGTATCTTTCAGGTGGAAAGGACCAGCACTCAGCTCAAGCCATGTGGCAGCGAGCACCAACTGAAGCTTAGCTTTCATTGGGGAGACAGTTTGATTAAACCTGGGTCCATTTGGACCACATCAGCCCTCTAGGTTTGTGGACAATTTGAGGAGGAGAGAACATCAAAGGGGGGAGTACTGGACCTCCAAATAAGAGTGCCCTTAAAGGATAAACCCATTTTCATTGGGGGGAAAAATGAAAGAGATGGGATGTGTTTGCCCCTAAGGTTTTGGAAGACTTTTTCAGGTTGTATAAGGACTAAATGAGATTCTGGGTCTGGAGGCTCCATCACATGGCCTAACACTTTCAAAGGGTGAAAAACTGCTAATCTCCATGACCTCTTTACCCCACTTCCTCCAGGTATTCTCCTGCCCCTTGAGAGAGAGGAAGCCTCAGGGGCTGATGGAGACTCATTCATTGAGAACCTCTGGGTGTACAAAACCCAGCCACCCCAACTTTTTGTTCACAATACTCGTCCCTCTCCTCTCTTCCATTTCTACTTCTCAATGCTAGAGCTTAGTGCCCCTGCTTAGAACTCTAGAATCCTCCCCTCCAAGCCCAGATATCTTGGTGCCTTATGTCTTCAACCACCAAGACTCCCAGATTCCAAACAGAAATAAAAGAGCACTTGGAAGTCTGCTCCAGAACTCAGCCAAGAGAAGGTGGGCTGGGATCTGGGTACTGGTTGAAAGAGACCTCTAATGTGGAGCCCGAAGAACCCAGCTTGTCCTGTGTGCTGCAGGTGAGAGGCAACACTCAGTTCTCCAGGCAGCCTCCTCTGTGTTTTTGTTTATTTGCTGGGCCAGGGAGAAAGGACTGATGTTAGGTGTCATTGGCATGAATTCTACTTATTGACATTAGGAGACTAACAAAGAGAGGAGAGAAAATCAAAAGCAATAGGCATCTGAAACTTTTAAAAAATTACTTATCGTCTCTGCCTAATTACCAAGAAGTGTCATCTTGATTACTTACAATCACTAAGTGTCACATTTGCTTTCTGCTTCAAGTACCATTTACCCACAAGTCTACATCTTTGAGACATGTGGCTACAGCTCTGAAAAATGTGGCTGTCTCCCCAAGACACTTTGGCATCATCTTTTTATGATCACTCTTCAAGGACTCTTTGTCTTCTTTTAACAAAGGGGAGGACACTGGTCCTAAGAGGTGACTCTTTAGACCAGGCAGCAGTCCCTGTCCCTCTTGTCAGCCCAGGTCTTCCAGGTCAATGCATTAAGCATATCTTCTAATTCTGAAGCTTTGACATCTGGGGCCTTGCTGACCCTGGAGAGACTGCCCCTCCCAGGGATAGCCAATTTCTAAAGATAGTAAATTATTTGCCTACAAGGGTGTCTTCCAGATGCAAACCAACTAACCCAGAGCCCATGCCCCAAAGACCTTCTTTATCAGATTCTCACAAGCCTCCCCCACCATTCACCTGCCCAAATCATCCCATGGCCAGGTACCAGGCAATGAGAGACAGCCCCTGCAGCCCAGAGCCCTTTGGAATTATTAAACCAGACAATCCTAAGTCTGTCTATCCTGCCTCACCTGTTCCTTCTCACAGAAACTGTAATAAATGCTCTTGTCCATGTTTTCCTCCCAGCCCCTCTGCTTCCTGACCAATCCTGGCACTTCCCCAAAAGGCCCTGTATGGTGTGGCTGCCTCCTGCTCTTGGGAACTGTGAGTAATAAACCATCCTTTCAATGGCAGTCATCTCCTGATCTGCTGAACTCACTATGCCTGAATAATAATAAAACCTACAATTTAAAACAATCATATCCCCATAAATTCTGATCTTCATGCTCATGTGAAAGTGTGAAATCATGCAAACTTTCATGCATTTTCCAGCACAAGTGTGTAGAGAAATGAAATTGAGAGGGTAAAGCACTTGCTTTAGAGTCAGATTCTGGGGAATTAAATTTGACTTCTGCCTCCTGCTGCCTGGAGACGTGGGTGAGTTACTGAATCCTTCTTGCTTCATTTTTCTCATCTGCAAAATGGAGGATCAACAAGGACCTATCTCACAGGACTGGAAAAATACACCAAAAGTATCTGTCATGCTGTGAGTACTCAAAACTGTTGTTGTTGCTACATTATTATTCCTCAATATTTGGTTATTTGGAATTTTTTTTTAACCACTAGGCTAAATCTTATCTGAATGAAGATTGCCATTTTCTATCAATTCCTTCAAAGATTTGATTTGCATATGGCATTTGGACTTACATACCGTCATTAGAAGGGGCACAGAACTTATTAATCACTAAGACCTCAAAACCTTTGATTCGAACCTGACTTAGACCTAAAGCAGCGTTTTCCTAACTTGAGCACTGGAGCACCCCAAGAACACCTCTGCAGAACCTGGTTAGATAAATCCTACATTAAAAATTAAATATTGTCCGTTGAAATGATTGCTTCATGCTGACAGAATTACAAACCCTAATACAAATGGGGCCCCTATAACTATCATAGTATACATGGAGCTGTTACCCAAATAATCAATCACCTCAATATAAATGCACCTATGTAAAGGTAGATAGACTCTAAGTGAAGCCACAAGAGAAAAATCTTCTCAAAGAGAGATTCACATGGATCCCTAGAGAATACATTCATCAAGCAATTTGGATCAACTTACAGATTCCAAGAAATCTAAGGTAAAGCCATGTATTAGTCCATTCTCGCATTGCTATAAAGAACTAACAGGGACTAGGTAATTTATAAAGAAAAGAGGTTTAGTTGATTCACAGTTCCACAGGCTGTATAAGAAGCATGGCTGGGGAGGCCTCAGGGAACTTACAATCATAGTGGAAGGTGAAGGAGAAGCAGATATGTCTTGCATGGCCGGAGAAGGAGAAAGAGAGAGTAGGGGAGGTGCCACACACTTCTGAAGAACCAGATCTTGTGAGAACTCATTATTGAGAGAAAAGCAAGGGGAAGTCCCTCCCTGTGATCCAATCACCTCTCACCAGGCCCCTCCTCCAACATTAGGGATGACAATTTGACATGATATTTGGGTAGGGACACAAATTCAAAACATATCAAGCCACCTCTACAAATAAACAGCTGTCTTCTAGGTACACTACTTTTATTAAAGTCAGCTTTCTGAGCTACAAAGTGTATCTGACTCCCAAGTTGTAAGCCTTCAGTCCCTGGCAAGACAGTTTATGTAATTGCTGTGGGAAAGGATTTGCTTATCCCATCACTGAGACCCCCAGGGTCAACTTCATGGGTGTGTGGCCTGAGGCCTGGACCCAGAAGCTCCCTGTTGCTCTGATGAAAGTCTTATTTTTTACAAGGTACCTTGCATTTTCATTTTGCACAGAACCCCCTCAAATTATGTATTCAGTCCTAGAGATCCTCATTTACTGCCCAGTGGCTAAAGGGCATGAGCAGGCTGACAGCAGCCCTGGAAAGCTGCCTCGAGGATTTGCGCAATACCATCATGACACCCTGACAGCCAGCAACAGGCTCGTTCTTCAGAGAACCACTCTGCAATAGAAATATAATGAGCAAATTTAAATCATAAAAAATTCAGCTCATATCAGGTTAGAAAAGATGAGCCATCATAATTCAATTGGAAATACAAGAACAAAAGGAAAATGAATGGCTTGCATTTTTTTTTTCAAACCCTACCAGCTGGCTGCTCTCTTTTGTTTATCTTGGCCTCTCATTCTCTATTTGGTAGCAAATTAATCTGGGTAGTGATCCCTATCGTAAGTCTTCCGAGTAGCTTAAAGGGCTGATTTCATTATGAGAGTCTAATCCTTTGATGCCTGCAGAATCCAGAGTTGGCAGACAACAAATGCTGCCTGTTCTCTATGAGGTCAATGGCCCAGGGTACCTAATGTCTTGTATATAAACAAACAACATAGATCACTCTCAGCCCCAAATCTTTCCTCTGTCTTCAGCATTGGAAATTGTGGACTGGATCATTTTGGTAATCACGGATCAGCCTGGGAGTAGACACAAAGATGAGTTTTGTCGTTAGCACCTTCCTGTCTCTTTTTGGGATCACTGCTTTCTTGTGGGCTGCCTCTAACCTCCAGGACCTCATGTCCTGGGATAATGCTGTTGTGTCTCTGATACTTTTTTTCTCATGGGATACCTACCTGCCCTCAAATCTCTTGCTGGTCAAACCCTACATCCTGTAGCCTCAGGGCTCTGACGTAAGCCACTTATCCTTGGGAAACATTTAGGTAAATATCACAGCTGATGTTGCAATTGTGCTCAAAGAATGTTTGCATTTCATAAAAGAGGAGACTCCTAGACACTAACACCCTAATCCACAAGGAATGCTCCCACATGCAGACATTTGGATACCTGCAAATAACAAGGACATGATTTGGGAGTAAGACAGGCTGGGAGGAAGGCTGTAGATATTTACTTGGGGAAAAAACATGTTGTCTTTTGTTTAAATATTGCTTTGAAAACTTATGTTATCAGAAAAAAAGCAAGATGGTTTCTGTAGCTTAGGCTGTCTCCACATTTTCCTTGCAAGCATTTTGCTAGCAATTGAGGTAAGCCAGCTGGGGCCCAACAGGAGTGTGGTCTGACTTTCCATAGACATATCTAACTGACACTGGCATATGGCTCCACTGATTTCACGTTTTAAAGAGAAATAAGAAAATAAAAACTCTTTATTAAGCCAAGCGTCAGCAACATCAGAGAATAAAGAAAATTATTCCCTAATCAAGTATTTAAAAGAGATCAACATCAAAATATAATTTAAACTGTTAACAGAAATTGTGAAAGATGTTAAAATGGGCAAGCGGATGGTGGGGTGGTACCTTCTGCATGGGCTCTGCCTTTTGTTGTCTTTGAGCTACTTCACACCTCCACAAAAACTGTCATCCAACTGGTTCCTGCCGATAAAAACTCAAACAAATTGTACCCAGTGGAGATGTAGTTCACAATTGCCCTGGAAATATTGACTAATTTTGCATTTATTTATAAATTTATTTCAGCATTTCTTATTTCGTATGTGTGTGCCTATGTGTTTTGAATTCTTCTTTGAATTGACTGTAAGATCTTGGTTCCCTCATTAACGAATGGGCTAAATCTTTAATATGTGTTTATTTAAACATTATATGAGTTGTTGTTTTATCTTTTTAAAAAAATTATCTTGTATAGGATTCCTGCTCAGTAATCCAAGATGGTTGTGATGAAGGCTCAGCTTTGTTTTTTTTTTTTTTTTGCCCAAGCTGGTGCCTATTTGTTCCGTCAAACTTATTTGGAACTTTTGTACTTAAAGTTCTAAGTCCTATAAAAGGACAAGGGCTCCTCCAGATCTATTAGCTGCCAAAGACCCTGCACTTACTCATCTGTAGCCACAGAGGGAGAAATTCACAGTAGATTTGTAGGTGTTTACTTGTTTTATGTTTGTTTTTATTTTTGTTTTTGGTGGATATCCTTTATCAGATGAAAAAGTCTCCATCTGTTTTTAGTTTACTTCCGGTTTTTACAAGCCATAACTATTGAATTTTATTGCCTTTTTGGCACTTTTTGAGGTGATCATATGGTGTCTCTACATTTCTCTATTAATGTAGTGAATTGCATTAGTAGATTCTTCTGTGTCAAGTCAAGCCTCATCCCTGAGTCATGATGTATCTGGGGTTTTAAAATATTCAATTTATGAATGCTTTATTTAGAATTTTTCATAAAATTCATATAATTCAAAAAAAGAGATTTAAACTTTGGTATCTAGGTTATATTAACCATATAGAATAAGTTGAGGACTTCTCCCAGTTTTTTTTCTAGGCTTAGAACGAGTTTGTATATAATATTTTGACAATTAGTAGTTTATTCACATTTTTATTTCTTCTTGAGTTAGTTTTGTAAAATTATAATTGCTAGAAAATTGTCTAAACTAAGATTTAAATTTATCAAAATTATGTTCTCTTGTGATATTAAAAATCTTTACTAATCCTGTATTAGATAACTTTTTTCATTCTTAATATTATTTCTTTATGTCCTATTTTTTTTCTGGGATAATCACACCAAGGGCTTGTGCATTTTGTTAATCTTTTAAAAAAAACAGCTTTTTCTTGATCTTTCATTTTTTTATTTTTGTTTCTTGGATTAATCTGAGTTTATCTATTGTGTCTTGTTTGTAACACAGAATATGAAAAAATATCTCTTTGCACCTTAAAGTATGTTCTACTTAAATCTCATTATGCAAACATGATATAAGCTCAAGGTCAACAAATATTTAGAAGAGGATTCTTTTCATTTTGATTAATATTAAAGTACAGTTTGATGAAAATTACACATTCAGCAAATGATGGTTTCAGTAGGGCAAGGCTTGCATTGGAAATGTCATATCTCACAAGATAAATAATAAAAGCAAGTGGGTATTAACTGAAATTGTGAATACATATTCAACTTAGAAACATAAATGCCCATTTTCTGAATTTATTTACTTGACATTCATTCTACATGTATTTATGGAGTGTTATCAGTCCACCAGAGGCTCACTGGTAAGCAAGACCAAATGAGTCCCCACCCTCCTCAGGTATGCATTTTAGGAAGGGATGATAAACCAGAAAATTTTAAATGTGTAATATAATCTCAGATTGAGATAGGTGGCTTAGCAGAAAATACAGCTGGGTAAAAGAATGGGGGATAAGTTGCTTTAGATTCTCTCCCAATGTTGATGGATATCTAGTAATGAATATACTTTTACATGTTTATGGAATTTTTTTTTTTTTTTTTGAGACGGAGTCTCACTCTGTCGCCCAAGCTGGAGTGCAGTGGCGCGATCTCGGCTCACTGCAAGCTCCGCCTCCTGGATTCACACCATTCTCCTGCCTCAGCCTCCTGAGTAGCTGAAACTACAGGTGCCTGCCACCACGCCTGGCTTATTTTTGTATTTTTAGTAGAGACGCAGTTTCACCGTGGTCTCGATCTCCTGACCTCGTGATCCGCCCACCTCGGCCTCCCAAAATGCTGGGATTACAGGCGTGAGCTGTTTATGGAATTTTTAAAGCATGCCTAGGCAGAGTCAACAAATATAGCAGTGGTAGAAAAGGCAGTTTAAATAATAATAAAATTCTATGAATTTTTATAGAGTTGGTTAACTTGCATTAATCTGAGTTTGTCTTTTGTATCTTGTCTATAACATAGAATATGGACCAATAGTTTTCTCCATTTGATTTTTTTTAGAGATAGGGTCTTGCTATATTGCCCAGGCTAACCTCAAATTCCTGGGCTCAAACTATCCTCCTACCTCAGCCTCCTGAATAGCTGGACCACTGCACTCGGGTCCCTTTGATTTGAGGACAAGAAAACAAAGTAGATATCATTATTAAATGGAGCATTCTACTGTATCCATTTAGTAAAATATGCTGCATTCCAGCTAAATACCCAAAGGTATTATGAGTTAAAAGGAAAAATAATGGAAATGTAATTATCATTGATGTGATGGTCATGTAATAGTCCCATTCACTGTACACATGTGAACAACAGTTATCATTTCTCTTGCTTACTATGCACTGAGCACTTCTTCAGAAGTGGCTCATCTAGTCCTTCTAACCACTTTGCCAAGTAAGGACTGTTATTACTCTATTTTACAAGTGGGAATGTGGAAGCTTAGAGGAGCAGCTTAGCCAAGGTAAACCAACCCCCAACCACCACCTCTTCACATCCTCCCCCTTCCTGCTTAGTAGATAGGAGGGAGGCCTGGGCCAGGTTTTTGCACTCTGGCAGTCTGACACCAGAATTTCAACTCCTACCATCATCCTAGACTACTTCCCCATTTTCTCAATTTGGATTAAAAAATAGACTCTTTTTAGTGGAATTTCTTCTTGGAAAATTGCCACAAGTGTGAATAAGCAAGAGGAGAGCCTCTAAAGGTTTGCCTAGGGCAGATGAAGAATTCTGAAAGATCTTTTTCTTGCCAAGAGCACTATAAATTGAATGATATCTAATTGCTCCATTTACATCTTTGGGACTGCTCTATCAACTATGCAGAGGCCTCAGCAAAAGGATGCTGGCTCGAGGCTCCAGTGGTTTCTGCCAATGCTAGTCCTAGGCACCCCACTCCTAGGGGCCCCATTTTTATTTGGCATAGCCTAAATTTACCCACCTAACCCCTCTCCTCCCTACCCACTATGTCTCCTTTATTCTAATTTTGTCAGAAAGGTACTTTCTGAAGGCAGTTGTACGGTTGGTGCATGTGTTAATTAAATAATACATAAATATACACTTCTTCTTTAAACTTTGTTTGTTTGTTTATTTATTTATTTTTTGAGACAGAGTCTCACACTGTTGCCCGGGCTGGAGTACAATGGTGCTATCTCAGCTCACTGTAACTCCGCCTCTTGGGTTCACGTGATTCTCCTGCTTCAGCCTCCCGAGTAGCTGGGATTACAGGTGCACACCACCACACCCAGCTAATTTTTTGTATTTTTAGTAGAGGTGGGGTTTCACTATGTTGGCCAGATTGGTCTTGAACTCCTGACCTCGTGAACTGCCTGACTCAGCCTCCCAAAGTGCTGGGATTACAGGCGTGAGCCACTGTGCCCTGCCTAAACTTTATCTTTATAAATACTTTTTGCCTAAATTGTCCATCTTTTCCATGAGGGATATTAAGCCAGATCTCAACTGACAAAAACCAAAGTTGGAAACATAAGGTATTACTGGTAGTTTAGTTAAATAAATGAAACCAGACTTTCCAAAATCATGTAGCTTTAGTAATTTAAGATGTCTCCTATTGTGACCCAGTTATTCAGTTAGTTGTCCCAACTATATCACAAACTTTGGTTGCAAATGGCCAATTCCCAATGAGCTGTTATCACCGCTTTCTGATCTCAACTGAGACTCAGAGGCAGGAGAACCAATCTGATATCAATATTAGAAGTAAGTAAAATGAGAATATGTTGTCCGGAATCATGTATTTTTATTGCAGTTACTAAATTTTAGCAACTATATAAATGACTTGTGGGAAACGAGAGAATAAAACATTCTAATTTTCCACAAGTCATTTAAACTCCATACCTCTTAGTTTAGGTCATACACCTCTCAAAAGAAGGAAAACAGTAAATATTTATTGAATTAATAATCGATGGATGGACGGATGGATGAAAAGAAGGAAGGAAGGAAGGAAGGAAGGAAAAAGGATGTAGGATGTACTAAAAGTAGATGAATGGATGATTTAATCACTTAAAATGAATGATTAGGCAGAGTGTTGTGGCTCAGGCCTGTAATCCCGGCACTTTTGGAGGCCAAGGTGAGTGGATCACTTGAGGTCAGGAGTTCAAGACCAGCCTGGCCAACATGGCAAACCCCATCTCTACTACAAATACAAAAATTGGTCAAGCGTGGTGGCAGGCACCCATAATCCCAGCTACTCAGGAGGCTGAGGCAGGAGAATCACTTGAACCTGGGAGGCGGAGGGTGCAGTGAGTGGAGATCATGCTACTGCACTCCAGCCTGGGTGACAAAGTGAGGCTCTGTGTCAAAAGAATGATTAATATTTTGCTAGTTTCACAACTCCATACATCTCTAAAATTCTGAATGTATTTTCTGAATATCACCTGAAACCTAACTATGAACTCTATACACAGAAAATAAGATTCTCTACCTTCCAGGAATCTGTATTCCCAATGGAGAGGCAAGTTAAACCTCATTACCCAAAGCATAGAAATGGAAATCAAGTGGAAAATCATGAGACATAAGACTCTGAGTTCTGTCAGCATTCAAGGAATAGTGAAATCTGTCTTATGACTCAACATACTTGCTACTTCACTCCTGCTCCAGGAGGATAAAGAGAAAATAGAGCAGGTCAGAACCAGAATACGTGGGTTACAACCTGAAAACAGAAAGAGAGTCAACATGGGTATGGAGGTGGCAGCATGCTGAGTGGGGAAGCTCAGGGCTTTTGTCCCTTCTGGGTGTCATCTAGGTACTTAAGTATGCATTAGTCCACTGCAAACCCTAACATTTGAGCTTGATGCCTGTGATGATGAGTTTTATGTATTAACTTGGCTAGGCTATACAATACACAGTTATGTCATCAAACTCATCTAGGTGCTGTGGAGGTATTTTTTAGACAATTTACTCAGCTGACTTTAAGTAAAGAGATTCTCCTTGATAACTGGATCATGTGCATGGCCCTCATTCAGTCAGCTGAAGGCCTTCAGAGCAAAAACTGAGGTTTCCTGAAAAAAAAAACAAAACAAACAAACAAAAAAAACAAATTCTGCCTCAAGACAGTAGCATTAACTTCTGCCTAAGTTTTCAGCCTGCTGACCTGACTTACAGATTTTGAACTTGCCGGCCCCTACAATCACACAAGACAATTTCTTAAAATAAATATATTTAAAATTTTTAATAAAATTTAAAACGTGTATATATACATATATGTATACATACATATATATATGCGTGTGTGGTAATACATACATATATATATATATATATATTCTGTTTCTCTGGAGAACCTTGTCTTATTTCAATATAAAAGCGATCCTCACAGGTGTGAGATACAGGTGCAAACCTGGATGTCTGTTGTGACTTAATTTTAATGCATTTTTTTAGGACAATGTGGGAAGTCTGGTAATGATCTGACTGGGCTCTGAAATGAGGCAGAGCAGGTAAAATGATTGGAAATGAGCTCAAGTGTATCCACCCCCCAGGGATACTTTCTGGCCTTTAATGAACATAATGTTTGGCAAGTTGACAAATGCACTGGACCTCCCTGAGTTCCCAGTGTGATCATGTTCACGGGAAATGAAGGGACACATCCCCCCGCCCCAGCTCTTTCCACTCTTCTTTTTCTATGCTGTAATTAAAGCTTTCCAATATCAGGGACTTAAACACTTGAAAGATTTTCTTAAGGGAACGCAAGAAATGTGAAGCATCTCAATTTTAATTAAAAGGAAGGACCTTATGACAAAAGTGAATAAAGTATGGTGCTGATAATTATCAATTTAAAAGCACAAAAATGGTAATTTCTAGTTAGGAAATAAGTACCGGTTCACCCTCTTATTTAATCCATCACATTTTAATTTCCTTCTTCTTTCTATAATTGAGGAATAGCTGCCAGATTTGGGAACAGAGAACTGTATCCTTCTGCTGTGAAAGAAGGGGGCTCTTTTCTTAATAGTCACCTAAGCAATTAAAGCCTTGGAACTGGGCTCCCTTTGATAGGTTTTTCTGCTTGCCACTTCCTCACCCTGCCAAAAATAAGGAGGTTCATTAACCTCACACTGTTAGGAAACGGGGCTCATCACCGAGAAGTTCGGAATGTGGTTTCTTCTGTGTGCTGCAGATGAAGGATTGCTTTTCCTAAGGTGTTCTCTAGTCAGGAGCCAACAGAATCCGAAGTCATCTGACTTCTTCCTTCTTTTAATCATCCCCTGTGGCTCAGTTTCCCCACCCCATATGAAAGATCTTTAATGAAGCAGCATAGAGCATCTCCAAATAATAATGCTCAATGCATAGCAGTAAAATAAGTGCAACATTTGGGTTTATTTTAGAGTGGTGTGGTATTAGAGGTGTTAGGGCTTCTTTCCAGAGCAGGGGGTGGGAGTAGAAAGGGAAGCAGTTGGGACATTTGTTCATGTCTTTCCGGTTTATTATGCTTAAGCAGAGTAGAATTGTCCTAAAATATCATGTTAAGTAACCAACCACTAGGGCTCCCAGATGCCATAACATTTGACAGCCGTGATTTTTAACACTTGCAGTCCCTTCTTAGCTGTTGAATTAATTAATGATACCTTATTAAAGCCAATCAAGCTTTGAAGATGTTTAGAATGAAAACTTAACTTTTTTCCCTCCTTCTTTTTTTCCCCCCACTTCCAGGGGGTAGTATCACTCAGAGTAAAATCTGGCCATCGTTTAAGCATTCTTAGGCAAACATTAGTCTCTCGAAAATGTCAGATGGGTATACTAAGAGAGGGCATTTCAGACTATGAAGCATGAAATGTCAAATAACCTACCACAGAGTACTAAAGTGACAAATCACACGTAGGCTGCACACAATTTCTCTATTCTGCACTGATAAGAATGAGAGATTCTTTTGAGATATACCTTTAGGTCACGACACCATGCTGTTGTGGACAAAATGGGGCTCAGAGATTAACTATGGATTATTGTAAGAAGGAAATAAAATTTCTTTCTTTTTTTTTTTTTGAGCAGGGTTTCTCCATTTCAGTACTCCTGACATTTTGGACTGGATTATTCTTTGTAGATGGGAACCGTCCTGTGTGTTTTAGGCTGTCTAGCAGCAGCTCTGGCCTTTACCTACTAGAATCCTGTACTAGGGGACCCTCCCTATTGTGATAATCAAAATGCCCCCAGACACTGCCAGATGTGCCCTGGAGGGGTGGGGAAAAGAGACTAAAATCTGTGGATTAGGACCACTGCCCTAGAATAATGTGGCCTCAAGTGGAACGTATGAGAAAACAAAGATCAGAGATCCCCTTTAAATTCTAAATACAGTATGCAGTTAAAGTTGAAAACATGCTATTTAAATCCCCAAGTATTCCTTTTTTGTCACTTTAAATGTATTTGCAAATAAATGAGAACATCTATAACTATGATAAAAGTCATTCTGAAATAGCAACATTTACAGCATTTGCTTCTGAAACAAAGACAATGTTTGAATTTCCTTTGCAAATGCACAATAGGCATGTTCACATTTACTTCTTAGAATAAGAAGAAATTAGCCTCAGTAAAATGAGCATAAAATAAAATTATTCCCTCATAAAAATAAATAAATGATCTCATGTTGCCTGTTTTCTATATAATTATACCTAGAGTTGTACATGATTGCCAATTAATTGATCCCTCTTTAAGCACAAAATCTCCATTGCTCCACTCCCTTGAAATTTCCTTGGCTGTTATATTTTATGGATACTACCAGACATTGCTACCTACAAACAAGATTGATTCTTTTCTCTCCATGTCTAGATGGTTCTCTCTGAAGTGTATAGTCGGTTGTTGCTATTTTAATGCTGTTCAGTAAAGAGAAATGCTACACCAACCAAAGGAATATTCTTGCTTCTTAAGCCAGCACAAACCACCAGCATTTGGGTGTACATGATTATGCTTTAAATTTCTTAAAATTTCTCTGCTTGTGTAAAAAAATTCAGTTGCCCATACATCTAATCTGCAGAGCCTGGGGTTTACAAACTTATAAACTTGCACTGGGGAAGCCATCCACAAGTTTATACTTAGGCGAGGGGTGTTACTTCAATAAGGAACGGTACTACAGAGCTTCAAATATCCTTCCCCCCATGTTTCCATTCCAGCCCTACTTCAACACACACACACGCACATGCACACTCACACAGAACCTTATTTCACCCATTTTCCCAAAAAGGCACTGTAAACAAGAATAAGAACACTTATTTCCGTCACCATTCAGAATATCATACCCCAGCCCCCTATGGACCACAGCTCCTAAGTGAATGTGATGTCGCCAAAAGCCTTTCTGGGCACATGTGGCTTGATCTGTCGGATTGAGATCTGGCATCTCCCGACATGTAGTTCAGACGGAACATCAGAGAGACTCCTGAGACACACAGACACACTGCCAGCATCACACCTGGCCTTTGTTTCCTGCAAGGAACACCAAGGTCATGCCTACAGTCCAACCATCTGATGAATCTGACAAGGTAAGCTTGCTGGGGCCCCAGGTGCCTGGAAATTGGGCCAGAGGAGTCCCACATTCCCTCTTCCCGGCATGTGTCCCTAAGCTAAAGGAGCAGTGCCCCAGTCCAACAGAGCTGAAGGAAACTGACATTCGCTGGTTCAAACCCCTACTGTCAAAGAAGAGGAGACAGAGACCAGGAAGTTTAAGAAAAGCATTCGATATCCTACACTTAACAACTCCAGAACAGATGACTGTATTGAGAACCAAGACATCTGACTTCATTTTGCCTCATTTTTTGTGTGTGCAAGGAACTGTTCTGAGACCCACTAGGTATACAAAGATGTATAAATTATGGACTCTGCCCAAGGAGCTTACAACAGTGTGAAAAAAATAACTCAGAACAAAAGATGCAAAGAGACCAAGCCCATAATTGAAGAAACAACACAGCAGGTGTTCAATTGTGCAAATTAAATTATATGCATGTCAGTTAGTCTTGTTCAGTGGGACTGATTCATGTCTCTTCAGGCTAAGGTGCTCAGGAACATTTATATAGAGACAATTAAATTTAAACTGGACTTTGAAGGATGAGCAGCTTTTGACCAGGTGCAGAGGGAAAGAGAAGGAAATCCAGATAGGTAAATAGCAAGTCAGGGCCAAGAGAAACAAATAACCCAGTTTGTTGATTTAGAGATATAAGGGTGGTAAGGAAGAATACTCATTATAGAGCAGGATATCTTGGGCTCTAATTCTATGGCTGAACTTTGTCAGTCCAGTCGGTCATTCTTAAGCAAGAGATAACCCCACAGAGCCTCAGCTTCCTAACTGTATGTGCAGGTAGTAGTTCCAGCCCATGCAGTGGCAGAGAGGATTCAATGAGATTTCTTATACATCATGCAGAAGGCAACAGAAGCCTCTCTGTCCTTTGAATTCCCCCATCCCATGCTCTGGGGGAAGTTCAGCGACCACCCCAAGATTTCTGCAAGTATCCAATGGCTTATATGATTACTTTCCAGTCTCAAAACCTCTCTCTCCAGGGTCTTCTTCTCTCTTATGTCTCTCCTTTCCTGAGTTCTCTTGGCTCACATTGACCCAGCTTTGAGTGCCATGTGCAGAATGCCACAGTAATCAAGGATGGGAACACATGGAGTGTGAGTGTTGGAGGCAAGCAGAACTATTTGAAAGTTATTGCACTGACTGGGTGTACCAGTTTCCTAGGGCTGCCTTAACAAATCACCACTAACTGGGTGGCTTGAAACAGGAGAAAGTCCTTCACAGTTCTGGAGAGGCCTTCTATATGAAAGCATTTGCAGGGTTGGTTCCTTCTGGGGGGTGTGAGGGAGAGTCTGTTGGGTGCCTCCCGCCTAGCTTCTGGTGATTGCTGGCATTGCTTGACTTGTAGACACTCCAACTCTGCTTCAATCATCACATGGCCTTCTCCCCCTGTGTGTCTGTGTCTAAATCTTCCTCTTCTTATAAATATACCAGTCATTGCATTAGGGCTCACCCTACTCCAGTAAGACCTCATTACTTGATGATATCTACAAAGACCCTATTTCCAAATAAGGTCCCATTCCCAGGGTTAGGACTTGAACATATCTTTTGGAAGATGCATTTCAACCCACAACACTGAAGATAATCTAATAAAAGTCTGGAGTAACAACCATCAGTTATATAGGAAAGTTGGGAGACATGACAAGGTGTCCTGAGGACAAAATCAATTCATCCTCTTGATGTGACTTTGAGTGACAAGAAGGAGAATATGATGATGGTAGATTTTGAGCTTTGTTGTGTTTATAAGTGACAAAAATCCTGTGTATTACTTGGCAAGTGCATAATACTTTCTCCAGTAGCTGGTGCAGTAGTATCTAAGTTCCATGAACAGAGAAACAATTTTGCCTTGTGTCTACCCTTAATACATAGGCTTTCCACAAAATGTATGCAGGAGAGAGAGGAAAGGATAGAGGTAAGGGAGGACAAGGTGAGGTTAGAGAAGAAGGGATGGGGCAAGGATGGAAGAAAGGTGGGAACTTAGAAGCTATGATGGTTAAAGAGATTCACATTTGAATCAGAAGATCCACCATCACCAGTGTGGACAGGCATCATCTAATTGATTGAGGGTCTGAATAGACCAAAAAAGTGGAGGGAGGAGGACTTCTCTGTCTCTCTCTTTTTGAACTGGTCCATTCATCTTCCTCGGCCCCCAGACATCAGAGCTACTGGTTCTGGGCCTTTGGACTCCGGGACTTAGACCAGCAGCTCCCTTGGTTGCCAAGCCTTCAGACTCAGACTAAATTGAACCCTCAGCTTTCCTGGTTCTCCAGCTTGCAGATAGCAGATGGTGGGACTCCTTGCTCTCTGTAATCAAATAAGCCAGTCTCCTCCTACATGTATTTCTGTCCTGTCTGTTTGTGCTGCTCTAACAAAACACCTAAGACGAGGTAGTTTATAAAGACCAGAATGTTTATTTCCCACAGGTCTGGAGTCCGGAAAGTCCAAGATCAAGGCTGGCTGGTTCCATATCTAGTGAGGGAATGCTCCATCAGTGGTGTTTTTTGATGGTATCCTTATGTGACAGAAGGCTGAAGGGCAAAAGGGCCTAATCCATTTCTTTCCAGCCCTTTTATAAGGCACTCATCTATTCATGATGGTGGAGCCATCATGGCTTAATCACTTCCCAAAAGGCTCCACTTTTTAATATCACCTCAATACGGATTAAGTTTCAACATGAAATTTGGAGGGGACACATTCAAACCACAGCACTATGTATATCCCATTGGTTCTGTTTCTCTGCAGAACCCTGACTCACACAGAAGGGGAAACCATCTTCAGAGTAAATAAACATTTGTTGTCAACAATGCTTTGTATATATTCTTGATTCCCAAGAGCCAGCTGGAAATATGCTACTAGATCTCAGGCAGATCTTTCATATCCTTTTGGAATCTGGAATACAAATGACATAAACAATGACAGAGCTCAGAAGTGGAGACAGGATGGTAACAAGAGGTTTGGGAGTCATTTTTTCTCACCCCTCTCCTCCCTGGAAGAAGGATGAAATGAGATCCTCGCACACAAAGAATTGCTGGACGTTGCTGCCTTAAGTCTTGCCCATAGACAGTGTTGACAGTACAGGTGAAATGCACTTGAGTTATGGGACTTTCAAGCCCCTGCGAATCCTACCTGTCCTGTGGATGTGTGAAGAGACCCACTTCACTATTCTGCTTCCCCAAATCTGAGAAACAGAAGTAATAAAGTCACTGTGAGTTATTTATTTTTCATTGCCTCAGATGAAATTGGACTGTGAAAATACTTAGAGACTTCAGATTTTAATTGTGGCTAATTACATACAGACTCATAAAAATAGCAAAACAACCCCTAAGGCCAAATTAGAGGAAGGTGGAGCTGCATTTCACAAGGTGAATTTACTAATCGTATTCACGCTTTGTGTCTGCAAGCCGCATCTGCTTATTACCTAGCAAAGACAGGTGTGTGGGGATAAAGGGGTGCTGTAGGAGAGTGAGTGGGCTTCTATTCTAGCTTCTGAGGCATTCCAAAACAGAGGTCAGCTTGCTAATTTTTTCCTATGAAAAGTACAAACTGCAGCAATGAGACCAGAATGGCCTATGCAGTGTTCTCACCTAGAGGGCGCCAAAGGGCAGACCAACAACCCTCTCACCCACCGAGGGAGCCGACCGAGTCAGGAGCAGGTGGGGAGGTGACTTGCATTACCTATTTCACCATCATTCTGGAGTTCAGGATGTCTAGAATCACCATTCTCCCTAGCATGAAGTTGTCACGTGTGTGTGTGTGTGTGTGTGTGTGTACACACAAACACAATATATATGTGTATTATTTTGTATATATGTGTGTATGATATTGTACACATATATATTTTTTAAATTTTCATTTTTTAAAATTTCTGCCTTAACCATTCCAGAGCTGGGTACTAGACAACTAGGGCCATCCCTAGAGCTTAGAGCCCACCAGGATGATTCAAACTAGCCCATCCTAAGCTGCTCACCTGCCTTTCCCGCGAAACCTCAGTAAAGGTTGAATGATTTCCTGAGCTCCTGCCTCCTGCCTCCTGACCACTCTGGTGTTTTTTCCCGTGTGGTCCTGCGTGGCATGGCGTGCCTCCTCTTTGTAGGACCTGTGAGTATAATACTCTGTCTTCCTGAGCCTCCCCTGTGTCTCCTCCGTGGCTGCATGTGACTGACCATCTCATAAAAAGAATACAAAACAGCCATGTTCATTATTATTCAGCAAATGAAATAAATCTTTTTAATGCTTATATGCAAAATGCTGCAGATAATTGTAGAAAATCAAATACAGATGAAATCCTGTCAAGAAACTCAAAGTCTTGTAAGAAAATAAAACAAGCACACGAATGACAAGGTCGAAAGTGGTGAGTGCCAGAAACAAGCACAAAGTAAGGGCTGTAGAAGGAGCACCTCTCACTTATGTTTCTTCTGAGCCATGAACTAATCGCTTGAGACATAACAGTGAGTTTGGAAAGAAGCACATTTCCTAGGTAGCATATTGGAAAACAGTATCATCCCTGAAGAAGCCACTGTAATAGTGGATTTCCAAATGATTTGTAATTTTTTTAAGGTTTTGTTCACTGATGGGTCCATTCACCTGTAACAGAACCTGGTACATAGCGGCCTTCAGAAAATATCAGTTGGGATGAACTAAATTGTTCTTTAAAATGTTCAATAGAAAAGAAATCTGTCATCTTCAAGTGTAATAAGCACTTATAAAATCCAGTAGTTACGCCCTCCCACACACAAAGTTTAAGACATTTAGCAGTGTTATTGAATTTGATATTTTACAAATGCCTTTAACCCTAGAAGAATGAATGATATGGATGCTTTGCAGCCTCTAACTTGATGAAGACCACCATAATGGATGTGTAACCATGTATAAGAATGTTCCATGTCAAAAGATAAATCAGAACAAAACAAAAAACAGAAAATAACAAGTGCTATCAAGGATGTGGAAAAACTTCTGCGCACTGCTATTGGGAATATAAAATGGTGCAGCCACCACAGAAAAGAATATGGTGGTTCCACAGAATTAAACATAGAATTGCTGTATAATCCAGGATCCCATTTTTTGCATATATAGCTCAAAGAACTGCAAGCAAAGATTGAATAAATACTTGTACACCTATATTCACAGCAGTATTATTCACAACAGCCAAAAGGTAGAAGCAACCCAAGTTTGCATCAACAGATGAACAGAAAAACAATATGTGGTCTGTTCATACAATGGAATATTATTCAGCCTTAGAAATTTCGGAAAGGAATTCCAAGACATGCTATTAATACAACATGGATGAACCTTGAAGACATTATGGTAAGTGGAATAAGCCAGTCACAAAAGGACAAATACCGCATGATTCTACCTATGTGAAGTACCTAGAGTAGTCAAATTCCTAGAGGCAAAGCAGAATGGTGGGTGCCAGGGGCTTACAGGAAAAGAGAACGGGGCATTATTGTGTAATGGGTACACAGTTCCAATTTTGGAGGATAAAAAAAGGTTCTGGAGGTGGATGGTAGGGATAGCTGCACAACAATGCAAATGTACTTAATGCCATTAGGCTGTACACTTAAAAAATGGTTAAAATGATACACTTTATGTTATGTATATTTTAACATAAGTATGTTATGTAATTTTTTAAAAACCAATTTTTTTTTGAAAATTACATATGTTTAAAACATATGTTTTAAAAATTACATATGTTATGTAATTTTTTAAAAACCAATTTTTTTTCCTTTTTTTTTTGAGACGGAGTCTCGCTCTGTCTCCCAGGCTGGAGTGTAGTGGTGCGATCTTGGCTCACTGCAAGCTCCGCCTCCTGAGTTCACGCCATTCTCCTGCCTCAGCCTCCTGAGTAGCTGAAACCAATTTTTGTAAGTTCCAGGTACACAAGAAGACTTATATTCTCATGTGTATTAACAATGGAAGTAAAATAATCAGTAGTTTGGTATCTGTTCCCCTCCTCCTGTGCAGTAAAATGGAAGATAAAAGCAACATTAATGTTCATACTTGGAATTATTAAGTAAATCCAAATTTTTAAGATTAAAAACAAGGGTAGACAAAAGTAGCAAATCTTGGCGAGCTCTGAGACAGAAATCTCTAAATCTTATATTAAGTGAAAAACTTCAATTTAAACAAAAGCAAAAGGAAACCCGAGTTGATGCAGAGACATTAACAGCTCATGTTCAGTTTCCAAAAACTGCCAAGTTGGAACTCATTGCTCTAATCAGCACCTACTAGGAACAAGAGACAACCTGCGGTTACACTGGTTTTCAAAAAGCACATACATATGTTTATTAGCTTGACGGGGGGAACACATATGTGAATACTTGTATTTAATATTTCCTAACCTTCTGTATAATGTCCACTTTAAGGAATTGAGACTAGCTCTGATTTTGCCCCCTTTGACTTTTAGGGTCAATAAGCTTTATTAAGGGCAATTTAGTGTCACAGGAAGAGAAAATTTATAACCCTGATCAATGAGGAATACAGAGGACACAAAGGTACATACATGTGATGGAGACCTATATCAAAAATGCTGTTATCAGTCAGAGTGCTGGCAGGAAACAGATGGTACACTCAAACCAGGCAACTGAGCTAAGGTTAATGAAGGCCTATTTACACAGGTGTGGGTGGGGCTATGGGAACCAACAAGTGATACTGAGACACCCATGGGCAGCACTCCCTGGAGAGCCATTACCTCCCCTAGGGCTAATGGGACTGTAAGGAGAGAGGTCACCGGACCCCACAGAGAGCTAGAGGAGACGACTGAGGGGTAGTGAGCTTCACACAGGAATGTAGCCCCTGCCGACTTGTGGCCTTGAGAGCTCGAGCATCCGTACCTCAACCATTCTGTCCTCCTGCCCCAACTTCCTCTGTGCCTCCATGGGCCAATGGGAAGCCAGAGGGTAACAGAGCCCATGTGGGGCTGTTCGTAGAGGTCAGTGTTCTGGGGTTCAGAACATGGTGGGGAGGAGGGCAGGGAGTCTGAAGGGTCAGACACAGAATGTCAAAAACATCCTTATATGTGGTTTCATCTAGTGCTCTTAAACCAGACTCACTAACCTACTGTGTTTTAAAATACAGCTTGCCAAAGTCTGTGTTAATATTATTTAACTTTGATGTGTATCTGTGATGGTTAGTTTTGTGTGTCAACTTGACTGAGCCATGGGATACTCCTAACAGGTTGAATGTTATTTCTGGGTGTATCTGTGAAGGTGTTTCTGGAAGAGATCAGGATCTGAGTTGGTGGACTGATTAAAGCAGATGGCTCTCCTCAATGTGGCTGGGCCTCATCCAGTCCATCCAGGGTCAGAATAGAAGAAAAACGGAGAGGAAGGGAGGACTTTTTCTCTTTGCCTGATTGAGCTGGAATATTGATCTTCTGCCCTCTGTGCTTCTGGTTCTCAGGCCTTTAGACCTGGGCTGCAATCTATACCATCGGCCCTCCAGCTCTTAGGCCTTTGACTTTCATCAGCTTTCCTGGGTCTCCAGCTTGCAGAGAGCAGATCATGGGGCTTCTCAGCCTCCACAATCACATGAACCAGTACCTGATAATAAATTGGTTCTGGTTTTTCCAGAGAACCCTGATTAATATACTATCTGTGCATTCACTTAGGAGAAACAAAGTCATTAAATGTGAAAAAAAAAAAAGAACTGAGTCACTCAGAAGAATCATACTATAGTTGCCCATCATATATTATAAAGAACAAAGTATTCTAAATTATTTACGAATAAGAATTCTATAAAGAAAATGACTGATTATCTGCGCTTACACAAAATATTTCATGGAAATTTTATTACCGTGCTCTTTTTTTTTTTTAATTTAACCATCATTATGTTGTGCATTCATCATCTGGAGTTTTTAGTTGTTTAGAATTCCCTGTTGGCAGCCAAATTCCTGTCTGGGAAAATGTATGAGCCAGCCTTCATTTTCCACGATGACTTTCCAAGGAACCATTACAATTAAGAGAATGTAAGTTACTCATCTCCAATAACTGTACATGAAGCAATATTCCGAGGATTTGTTAACTGTCTTTGACAGGAGATCATCTACTCACAGTAGGTGCTTAACAAATGCCATCTTGAATGAATGAAGACCCTTTCTCACAGTAACAAAGTTGGGTCCAGGCTCCTTCATTTTTGCTCAGCAAGATGAAGCTAAGGAAACAGGAAATAAGTCATCAACCAAATCATAGTAACAAATCGTTCTATTCCATTCTCCATAATTCACCCTTCAGTCCAGGGGAACACTAACAATTGCCCCTCCAGATACAAAGAAATTGCCTCCTCTGAAGACAGCTGCCTCACCTAAGGCCACATTTCCTTCCAGGTTGCCCCACTTCCAATGAGTCACTGATTGGCAATCCATAAAGGTCAGCTCTCTTGCCTCAACTCAGCATACCTCTGACAGATCGTCCCATCTTCCCGTCTCCCTTGAGGTTTGACTGGGGTTGCTGCTGACCCAGTGATATAGGAGTTAAGAAGAAAGTACTTAGGCAGATAGTGAAGGTATGGGAGTCCTCAGTAAGGTCTTCCTTTTAATGAAAAGCAGCCCCCAAATCATTTTCTTTTCTAACAAAAAGCAACCTGGAAAATCGAGCTGCAGACACAGACAAGCAAGCTGAAAGCTTGCACAGGCAAATACCGGCAGTTGTGCCAATAAAAATATACTACCTGGGGCCGGCGCTGTGGCTCACGCCTGTAATCCCAGCTACTCAGGAGGCTGAGGCAGGAGAATCGCCTGAACTTAGGAGGCGGAGGCTGTGGTGAGCCAAGATGGCGCCATTGCACTCCAGCCTGGGCAACAAGAGCGAAACTCCGACTCAAAAAGCGACAACAGCAGCAACAACAACAACAAAAAACACTACCTGGGATTAGGCATGTTCTAAATGGCAGCTCCATCTTCTCTTTTTGCCACCCATGTTTACAGAAACGAGTGGACAAGACGGCCCCTGCCAAGTGGGAAGCCTATTTGCATAACAAGATTAGGGTGGGGTGACCAGCCTTCCCTGCGCGCTACGTAAACGTCACCCCTGGTCGAACCAATCTCTGGGCTCCACGTAAATCAGACACCGCCTCCTCAAGCCTGCCCGTAAAACCTGCTGCCGTCAGTCACGGGCCAGCCTTTCCCTTAAGGATGTCTGAGAGCTGGTCTCCTCACTCTTTTCTTCCGCCTATTAAACTTTCCGCTTCTTAACTCACCCATGTGTGTCCATGTCGTTAATCATCTTGACGAGAGATGATGAACCCCGGATATTTACCCCAGACAGTGATGCCGCTTCACCAGCATTGCACTCTACTTCCCCGCTTCCTGATCCTGCCTCAGCTTCTCCTCTCCACAGGTATTGATCCCAAGAACAACCCGTAAGAAATGTCCTGCACGCTAATCTCCATCTCAGAGTCAGCTTCCCAGGGAATCCAGCAATTACGAAGCATTCAGCTTAATTTTGTTGATTGCTTTATGATTTTGTGTGTGTGTGTGTGTTTTAATGTTGAAATGTAACATATATTCAAAAGTGTGGATAAAGTCTCCATGACGATTAGTTTCCTGTGTCATCATGGGGGCCAGGCTTTAGTGCCTTTTTTTTTTTTTTTTTTTTTTTTTTTTTGTGGTGAGACAGAGTTTTGCTCTTGTCACCCAGACTGGAATGCAGTGGCGCGATCTCGGTTCACTACAACCTCCTGGGTTCAAGTGATTCTCCTGCTTCAGCCTCCCAAGTAGCTGGGATTACAGGTGCCCGCCACCAAGCCAGGCTAATTTTTGTATTTTTAGTACGGATGGGGTTTCACCATGTTGGCCAGGCTGGTCTTGAACTCCTGACCTCAAGTGATCTTCCTGCCTCGGCCTCCCAAAGTGCTGGGATTACAGGCGTGAGCCACTGCACCCGGCCTTTACTGCCCATTTATTTAATCAAACACTAATCTAGGTAGTGCTGCAAAGGTATTTTGTAGATGTAGTTAACATCTACAATCAGTTGGCTTTACATAAATCTTACTTTTCATACTGTGAATGGGCCTTATACAATCAGAAGCCTTAAGAGCAAAAACTGAATTTTCCTAGAGAAGAAAAAATTCTGCCTAAAGTCTGCAACATCGTTTCCTGCCTGAGTTTCAGCCTGCCAGCTTCTCCTACGGATTCTGGACTTGCCAGCCCCACAATCATGTAAGCCAATATGCTAAAATAAATTTCTTAATATAATTCTTAATGTATATATCCTTTTGATTCTGTTTTTCTGGAGAAATCTGGCTTATACAGGCTCTTAACATGATTGTTTATCTGTCAATTTTTATTTTATGGCTATGTTATTAGGTATAAACAAATTTACGATTATTTCATATTAAACCTGAAACGTTGATTATTCTGAAACGAGCCAGTCTTTGCTTTGGTTTTGTAACTTTTGCTTTGCATAGTAGTTTTACCATCCCTTACTTACTTTCAACCTGTCGATATCTTTA
Source organism: Homo sapiens (assembly GCF_000001405.40). Lineage (NCBI taxonomy): Eukaryota > Metazoa > Chordata > Mammalia > Primates > Hominidae > Homo > Homo sapiens. The sequence continues at coordinate 38,120,013 of NC_000021.9, read as the reverse complement.
TATTTAAAGTAAGCAGCTTGTTTAGCTTTGCTTGATATTATTACCTTCTCTGATGAGCTTTATATTTCAATTTCAATATTTAGTCTGTTTATATTTACTGTAATTCAAGGTTAAATCTACCATCTTACCATTGATTCCTATTTTCTCTGTTCTATGATTTTTTTTGTCCTTCCTTAAAGTTTTTGGGCTTATTTAAATTTTTCTAATTACATTTCTTCTTCTATTAGCTTGTTATTTATATGTTTTTTTAAAAAATTGGTGTTTTCTCTAATTGGTGCAACATGCATTCTTGACTTACTAAAGTGCTATCGGTGTGTGTTTTAAAGGCGCTACTGTAAATGTGTATACAAGTAATTTTTATCTAGATTTACCACATAGACATTCTTATGACTGCTCTTTGTTACTTCCTGAATTTCCATGCTTTGCTCTACTACATGTTATTTACCATAATAAATGCATAACATTTATTACCTATAGCTCTAAAGGCAAACAGGCAGTGCGGTTCCAGTTTTATAGATAAGGAAACCAAAGCTCAGGGAAATATAGTGAGAAAGAGTATAGCTTGATAGCTAAAAGCATAAACTCTGGAATCCAATTGAATATTCCGCTTACTGGCCGGGCAGGGTGGCTCACACCTGTAATCTCAGCACTTTGGGAGGCCGAGGCGGGCGGATCACGAGGTCAGGAAATCCAGATCATCCTGGCTAACACGGTGAAATCCCATCTCTACTAAAAATACAAAAAATTAGCCGGGAGTGGTGGCAGGTGCCTGTAGTTCCAGCTACTGGGGAGGCTGAGGCAGGAGAATGGCGTGAACCCGGGAGGCAGATCTTGCAGTGAGCCGAGATCGGGCCACTGCACCCCAGCCTGGGCAACAGAGCGAGACACCGTCTCAAAAAAAAAAACAAAAAAGAATATTCCGCTTACTGATCTTATCATTTTGAGAAAGTTATTTCATGCTGTAAGCTTCTCTTTATCTATAAAATATCAAATAATAAGAATAAGAACAACACTTACCTCATTCTGGTTGTGAGGGTGAATTAAGAAACGTTGAATGTTTCATGAGACGTCTGGCGCATTGTAAGAACAAGCCACAAGTTCATGTTGGTTATGATGATACCCAGCAGTGCCGTAATACGCACGTCATCCACTGTTGCTGCCCAGCCCACTGTGCTCCTCTAAGGGAAACGCTGCCTTCTAAAGCATGTTGAAGGAGGGAGAAATAAGCAATCATTGAGAAAGTGGTGGCACCACTTTGGCCAGGGATGAGATCTGACCCAAGGGCAGCCAGAATATCAGGCAGCCTGTGTCCTTCAAAGTGGCCTGGCTTCTACAACAAATCTCTGCTCTAAAGGGATTATGGTGACTATCTAAGACCATCAACTCTCTCCCATTAGCATCTGAACAGAGAAAGACTGGAAGAATGGGCTGGTTGGTAGCTATGGGAGAAATATCAGAACATATAAAGGGAAAGGGAACAGTACCCTGAGAGCAGTGGCTGGAACACAGCTGGCACTGTATTCTTGCAACAAATCCTGACTACTGGGTAAGCCAACAAGACTGAAAGGGCTTGCCCAGCACATCTTCCCAGAGTTGTACAGTTGTTAAGTGGTGGAGATGATACTTACTCTCAATAGTTCAGACCCTGAAGACATGGTTTTTCTGCTCTGCCATTCAGCCTTCCCATTGATTATCTAGGTTGTCTAGAAAATTATCTAGACAACTATCTAGACTGAGATATGGGACAGAGATATGCATAAAGTGCATTTATGTTGCCTAAACTTTGTAAATGGCATGAAATAAAAGCTAAATGGACTATTAGGAAATCAGGTTTTTGTTGTTGTTGCTGTTTAGGAAAAACATTTGAATGGAAAGCATAACAGGATTGACGAGTCTAATTTTAATTTTTAGACCTAAGTCACTAATATCCTTATTGAAATATGGATTCATCTAGATTGAATTTAATTTTACTATTTTGCATATAATTACAGAGTCTTGGAAACTGTGGGGGAAAGTGTGCCCAGTCAATCTCTGCTGTCTATAAATAAGAAACCAGTAACATTTAATTCAGAGAAAGTAAATGTTGGCTCATAAAGGAGCAGAATATTCCTCCTCTGTAAAATAAGGATAATAATAGTGACTGTTAACATTCACTGGACCATCTCACTCCCATTCCCATCCAGAACTCAGGCCTCCCTGAATTCCAAAGCAATGCCCTGGTGATAGAGAAAGTTCTCCAGATTGGAGTTTTGGGAAATGTTATAAATGACTTAATGTATCAATGCACAATGAAAGTAGAACTATGGTATCTTAAGTCTCATTCCAAGAAGAAATCATCCTAGAGGGTGATGACACAGTCACCCAATGTATAGTATAATTCCTTTTCTAATCCTGTTCCAATACAAGCCTGGAAACTTAGACCCCAAGGTTATAAACAATGGCTGTTACTGGGAAAAACTGAAAGCTGACTTTTGAAATATAAAAGGTTTTCTTTCATGTTGTCATATCAATTTTCTGTTCTATTTTGTATTACCTTTATACTTGTAAAACCCTCTTTTCACTGTGAGATACACAAATATTCTGCTGCATATTCTTCTAAGATTTTTATGGTGGCTTATTTTTGACATTTAAATATTTAATCCACCTGGTATTTCTTTGGGGGTAATGTGTCAGAATACATGTCTGGGTTTACTTCATTATATTAATGTAGGTATTCTTTTCCCAGAGTTTCTGTTTCATTTCATTGTTCCAATAATCTATTCTTGTGCCAAAACCACATATTTTGTCTATATTAGTGTTATGTTTCTATATATAACAGGGCAAATCTCACTGGTTAATCTTTTCTGTTTTGCATTTAAAAAATTTTTTCTGAGCTCTACTTATAAATTCATTCTTCTAGATGAATCTTAGTTTTACTTGAACACATTTAATAATAAATCTCAGTGGAAGTTTAAGTGCAATTGTGTTAATCCTATAAATGAATTTGGAAAAAATCGACATTTTTCCAATGTCATTTTTGCTACTACTACCATGACTACTACTACCATTACTGTAGTCTAGCTACCTGTAGCCTCCCAAGTAAACAGACTACAGGCACATGCCTCTATGCGTGCCTATTTTTTTTTTTTTTTTGTAAAAATGTGATCTTGCAATGATGCCCAGGCTAGTCTCCAACTCCTGGCCTCAAACGATCCTCCTGCCTCAGCCTCCCAAAGTTCTGAGATTACCAGCATGAGCCACTGTGCCCAGTTTTCTTAATGTAGTTATAAGTTTTTTGTTTTTATTTTTTACTAGCCTTTATATTGTTTGCAAAATTATATATAAAGCTATGTAGGCACTTAATAGTTTGTGTTGCTATTGTAAGTGGAAAATTATCTTCATTAAATATTATGAATAGTTTTATCCTAGTTTTCAGAACAACCGTTAAATTTTATACATTCATTTTGTGTTTAGCCACTTAATTTTTAAATTGGGGAGTGATTTTCTTGGCAGAGAACCATCATATTTTGTAAATGTTAACCAAAAAAGGTAAACTTTTTCTCTTTCCTAATGTTGCATATCTTAATATGTTGGCTAAAATTTCTAGAACATTCAATGATAATGATGGTAGCAATCCTCTGGTTATTTGGTTCTTGGTTTCAGTGAGAACATGTAAATATTTCATTCCTGGGTATGGCTTTGGCTATTAATTTAATATAGAGATTCTGTCTCATATTGAGAAATAATACTTATGTTCTTGGTTATGCTGCCTGCTTCTCCTCGCCTCTGATAATAATGACTAAACTAATAGTAGTAATAGTAATGATGGCAGTAGTAATAGTAGCAATGATAGTAGTAGTAATGGTGGTGGTGGTAGTAGTAGTAACGGTAGGAGTAAATAGTAGCAGTAGTAGTAATGACAGCAGTAGTAGTAATGGTGGTGGTAGTAGTAGTAATGATAGTAGTAATGGTGGTGGTAATAGTAATGATAGTAGTAGTAGTAATGGTGATACTACTAGTAGTAGTAATGGTAGGAGTAGGAGTAGTAATTATAGAAGCAGTAGTAGTAATGATAGCATTAGTAGTAGTAATGGTGGAGGTGGTAGTAGTAGTAATGATAGTCGTGGTAATGGTAATAGTAGTGGTAATGATAGTATTAGTAGTGATGGTAGTGATGATAGTGGTGGTAGTACTAATGGTAGTGGTAATAGTAGTGACAATAGTAGTTATGTTATTAGTAGTAGTAATGGTAGTAGTTTTGATAGTAGTGGCAGCAGTAGTGATAGCAGCTAGCATTTACTAAGCACTCATTAATACTTCACAAACATTTAATATAAATAGTCATCTTAATATCTATAATGTAGCACTGTTATTAATCCTAATTACACATAAAATGCAGAGGCTTAAAGACATCAACTTTCCAATGAGTGCTAGAGCTCAGCTTCAACCCTTGGTCTGCAAGAGTCTAGAGTGTGGAACACTAATTTTTGGTTACACAAAGAGCTGTGGTCCTCATGCTCCATGTGCCCTCTCTCACAGGGATAGCCTACTCATGTTGGCTCTGCCTGTGCCCCAGGATGATCACCCATGCAGACAGCAGCCCCCAGGCTCCCTTGCTGGCTGCCCTCTGATTGTGTTTGGCCAGCAAGGATCACTGGCATGCTATTGAGGGTGAGGAGAGAGAAGTAAAGGTACTTCATCCTCTCCATCTGTCACAGGTGTGATAGGCTGGGGCTGGTGTTACAGGCAGTAAAGGAATTTACCAAGACAGTTGTGGGTTAAGAAAGTCAGATTTGTTAGAGAAAGTACAAAGATACAAGAGAGCAACAGGCAGCACAGCAGAGAAGTTTGATAAGGTTATGCTGGAGAGGCTATGTACAGATAGGGTCATGCTGCTGGGGCTACCTGTGGAACAAGGTATTTGGGAACAGGATGTTGTGCAAGTAGGTTGTTTGTGGTTAGGTGTTTCTCAGAAAAATGGCTTGTCAGCCATCTCTTAGAACAGTGGCTCTCCCCAATCCTCATTCCTGTTCCTGCCAGCTAGAGCCCTTTTCTTGTATCTATTAACTTACCAGGACTCCATGTTCCCCGCTGACAGAACAACAATGACAAATCTTTGGCATTGGTATGGAGGTCTTATCTTCCAACTGCTTCCTGCTGACTGTGGGCACAGTGTGGGCCCTACCTGTGATTATTGGTCTGTTAGGGGACCCTGTGGGTTATTGTCCTGAGTTATGGGACTTAGTCTATTAAATGCTGCTGGAGGATAGAACTCAGGAAGAAAGAGCGTGTTAATATGGAATTGATATCTAGTGAGTCTAGAGGAGATTCATGGGGTTTTCTGAGGGTGATTGGCTGATATCCTTGCATCATTAGGAGTTTGCTGTGGAATTGCTACATTCTGGAAGAAACAAATTTAACCAGTAAATTAAAGAGACAAAGGACTGAAGAGGAGAAGTAGAAGTATAAATGCAGCTGTCCTAGTAAAGGAAGGAACCATGTAAGGGAGAGGAGAGCAAACTTAGAAAGAGTTACACAACCTCAGATATAAGGAATCTCAAGCCGTTTAGAAGAATTATGACCAAAGAGGTCAACCTATAAAATACTACTGGGGGCAGAGGTCCCATTTGGAAGCCAGTAGGATTCCTGATCTGGAAGTTTATAAAGTGGCCATGCTGTATTACACAAGAAAATTCGATGTTTCCTTTTGAGAGTCTGGGAGTCAAGTTTATCCCAATGTTTTAGAATGCAGCCCATCGGTGAGTCTGAGAGAATGGAAGGGCTTTGTCCCATGGGGGGATTGGAAAATAATGTCTACTGGGGACACAAACCACAATTTCTCTTGGGGCCTCCAGCCAAGGAAAGGGGGTTCCACTTATGTCCACTGAGGAGCCTTGAGAGGCACTTTCCAAAGGGGCATCCCACCTATTAGAAAGGACCTCCCAGCATGAGAGCCTTACACTGGATGGATGAACACAGGGTGAGCAGCCCCAGGTCAGTCCACGTATGAATTATACTGGGTGCTGAATCCAGGTATAAGGGGCAAAGGTTGAGGGAAGGCTCACTGTTCTGGTGCTATTTGGGATCATGTTGCTTAAAATGTCCAGAAAAGGATGGCTGGCTTTCTTCACAGGAGAAATTTAGAGTGAGAAGGACGGGGTCTGAGTTCCCCAAAATGTGTGTGCGTTTGCCCTGGTCAAGCTGCCGCTGCCTATTGTGCTGCATGTAGGGACTGGGGACTTTTGACCAGAAGGGTTAGGAGAGAGCCATCCTCCCTTCCAAGCAAGGCAGCCAAACCTGGTTCACTCCTTGGCCTTTAGGCCACACCAGGGAATGGCCCTGGCCAGTGGCCATCAGCTGCTAGAGGGATACTAGAGTTTGTCCACCAGAAGACGGGAAAGGAAAGTAAACTCTAAACTCTCACTCGATCGGGCAGTGACGGTCAAACTTCTTTCCACTGGGACCTTCTGATCCACCAGGGAGTAGCTGCAGTGGGGGGCCATCAGATGTCTCCAGGCTTGGATGCTGTCCACTAAGAGGTTGGAGTTGGAGAAGAGAAAAAACAGTGAACAGGGGAGAGGTCTCCATATGGACCACCAAAATGCTGCTGGTGTGACTGGCTGGGTCCAGCATTGCAGGCAGTGAAAGAATTTACCAAGACAGTCATGGATAAAGAAAGGCAGATTTATTGTAGAAAGTACGAAGATACACTGCAAGAGAACAATGAGGTGCACAGCAGAGAGGAGGTTGTCTCGAAGAGTCAGGGGCTGGAGGGAAGTTTTATAGGCTTGTGCTGGAGAGGGTACGTGCTGATAAGGTCATGCTGCTGGGTCTATGTGCAAAACAAGGTATTTGGGAACAGGGTGTTGTGCAAGTGGGTTGTTGTTGGTTAACCAGTTCTCAGAACGATGGCTTGTCAGCCATTTCTTAGAATGATGGCTCTCCCCCATCCTTGCTCCTGTTCCTGCCAGTTAGGGCTCCTTTTTTTTTTTTTCGTTTTGAGACGGAGTCTTGCTCTCACTGCCCAGGCTGGAGGGCAGTGGCGCGATCTCGACCCACTGCAAGCTCCGCCTCCCGGGTTCACGCCATTCTCCTGCCTCAGCCTCCCGAGTAGCTGGGACTACAGGTGCCTGCCACCACGCCTGGCTATTTTTTTTTTTTTTGTATTTTTAGTAGAGACGGGGTTTCACCGTGTTAGCCAGGATGGTCTCGATCTCCTGACCTCATGATCCGCTAGCCTCAGCCTCCCATAGTGCTGGGATTACAGGCGTGAGCCACCGCGCCCAGCCCCCTTTCTTATATCTATCAACTTATGAGGACTACATGCTCTTCTTGCCTAGGTATGAAACCTATAGTAGTAGTGGAGTTCACAATAATAGCTTCTTCACCATAGCCTCCACACTGGGTCCCAGCACTAGCTCCTCCCTTTTTTCCTTTTGACCTGGGTGATGACAGCTTATCATGGTTGCAAGCATTATCCCTTATATATTTCCTTAACCTTACCAAGCCCATTGTAAGTTGTCTTTTCCTTACAGTTTCTATTAAAAATCCTTGTGGGGACCATGACTGATTCAGAGCATCTATTTGTTTTTAATTAAAAATATATCTTGTAAAATGCTGAGAAGGTAAAATAGGAGAATATTTCAATGACCTTGAATTTGGCAATGACTTCTTAAATCCAAAAGCACAATCCATAAAAAAATTGATAAGTTGGACTTTGTTAAAATTTCAAACTTCTGTTCTGTAAATGACACTGTTCAGAGAATGAAAAAATAAGCCATAGACTGGGAGGATTTTGTGAAACACATGTCAGATGCAGGCTAGTATTTAAGATATACAAAGAACTCTTAAAACTCAATAGTAAGAAACAAACAGTCCAATTAAAAAATAGGCAAAAGATCTCAACAGATACCTTACCAAAGAAGATATACAGATGGAAAATAAGCTTGTGGAAAGATGCTCAACATCATTAGAGACTTTCAAATTAAAACGAGATATTACTACACACCCATTAGAATGACCAAAATCCCAAACATAAACACCACCAAATGCTGATGAGAATGTTGTGCAGCAGATCCTCTTACTCATTGCTAGTGGGAATGCAAAATGGTATGGCCACTTGGAAAGTGATTTTGGCAGTTTCTTACAAAATTAGGCATACTCCTACTCAGTAGTAACACTCCCTCATATTTACCCATATGAATTAGAAACTTACATACAGAAAAAAAAACCTGGACATGAATGTTTACAGCAGCTTTCCTCTTAACTACCGACATTTAGAAGCAACCCAGATGTGTTTTAATAGGTGACTGGACAAATAAACTATGGTACATCCACATCCATACAATGGAATACTATTTAGTAATGAAAAGAAATGAGTTGTCAAGCCACAAAAAGACATGGAGGAGCCTTAAACACATGTTGTTAAGTGAAAGAAGCCAATCTGAAAAGGCTACATATTGTATGATTCCTACTCTATGACGTTTTGGAAAAGGCAAAACTTTGGAGACAGTAAAAAGATGAGTGGTTGCTGGGGACTGGAGGACAGGGAGAGATGAATAGGTAGTACAAGGGGGATTTTTAAGGCAGTGAAACTATTATTACATAAGATACTTTAGTGGTGGGTACTCATCACTATACACTTGTCAAAATCCCTAGAATGTACAATACCAAGAGTGAAACCTAAAGTAACCTATTGATTTTAGTTAATAATAGTGTATCAATATTGGCTCATCAATTATAATAAATGTGCCACATCAATGCAAGATATTGATAATAGAGGAAACTGTGGTAGGGAGAGGGAGTATATGGGAACTTTGTATTTTCTACTCAATATATCTGTAAAGCTAAAACTACTCTAAAACATAAAGCTTATTAATTTTTAAATGTATCTTAATTATTAATGTGTTTTCAGCATGGGTAGAAATAATTGTGTAGTTTTCCCTTTGAACTGTAGCTATATCAATTCAACTGATAGATTGCCTAGTGTGAAGTAAGTCTGCATACCTAGAATAATTCTACTTAAAATGGTATGGCCTTATTTTTATTTAGCATTGAAATTGATTTGTTAGAATTTCCTTTAGAATTTTTGCACCTATATTCATAAGTGAGAGTGTCGCATGTGCTATTTTTTTAGTTGCATGGTTGTAGTGCTTTCTCAAGCTTGGTAACAAGTTAATTTAATGTCAAAAATAAATTGAGATTCAAATATAGCCAATTATTATGCATATGTACTCTATTATATATAGCATAAAGTAATTTTATGTGATACAACCTAATCTTGTAAAATCTTGTAGTAAATTTTAAAATTTCTGAATAATCCTTTTAGTAATATGCATAGTAATAGGCCTATTCAGATATTCTACTTCTTAAGTAAAATATTATAATTTATATTTGGCCAGAAATTATACTTTTCATTAAAACTATCAAATTTATTTATGGAAGGCATATTTTTGCAGTTTCTCTTATTTTTGTAGTTTCCTTTGAATCTGTAGTCATGTCATTTTTTCACTCTCACATTTGTGCTTTTTAATTTGAATCAAATTTATTTAATTAAAATAATAAACATTGAAAGTAAATACACGTCTTTTGTTGGGTTTTTATTATTAAAATAACCACCTTTAAGATTTATTAATTTATCAATTTAACTGTTTTCCCTTTTTTTGATAATTTAATTTCAGCATTTATTTTTGGTAACCCAATCTCCTGTGAATCTTAGATTTTATTATTTTCTTAATTTCTTATGATGAATAAGTAGTTTTAAAATTTTTAAATATTTATTATTTAATAAGGCTATTTAAGGATATGAATTTGCTTCAGAAAAGAAACTTGAGCTCATCTGCTAAGTTTTAGCAGTTTAACTGTAATGTACCTTAGTATGATTTTCTTTTTTCTTAAACCCTACTTGGGGTTTGCTGAGCTACTTAGGGTTTCTTGAATTTTTGAATTGATGTATTAATATTTTATCCATTTTGGCAAATGCTTTGCCATTATATCTTCAGTTGTTGCTTTTGGCCCATTGTCTCTCTCCCGCTTCCCCTCTTAGTTCTATTACACATATGCAGTTTTCCTAAGACTCATCCATCTTTGGTCCTTCCCTGTTTCTCAAGGAAGACCCTTCAAGGATTTGGGCTGAGAGACTAGTGGGTCACTCTCCCTCAAACATGGAAGACTGTGGCAAATCCACTATCTAGATTTGAGCTTGGATCTTTAGCTCCCATATCCTGCAGCTTTAAATGTGGCAAACATCTTGGAGGACTAGTTGGTAGGCCCAGTCCCTCTGGGGAAATACAGTCTCTCAAGCACTTGGAGAATAAAGCAGATTTTACTCTGTCTTTTAGGAACCCTTAGCCTAGCTCTCGAGTCCTCCATGTTCATCTCCAGCACACAGAGAATTTCTTGGGGAAAACACCTATTAAGTCTGTGCTTCTCAAGTTATATAATCTTTTGCGCCCATACCAGCCCTGAGTGACCAACAAAAACATCTCCGGTTTCTCTCCCTGGTGTGGGCCAAATCTGATCATGAGGCCTTACTAAACATTAGCAAAATTCCTACTGTTCTAGATTTGAGCTTGGATCTTTAGCTCCCATATCCTGCAGCTTTAAATGTGGCAAACATCTTGGAGGACTAGTTGGTAGGCCCAGTCCCTCTGGGGAAATACAGTCTCTCAAGCACTTGGAGAATAAAGCAGATTTTACTCTGTCTTTTAGGAACCCTTAGCCTAGCTCTCGAGTCCTCCATGTTCATCTCCAGCACACAGAGAATTTCTTGGGGAAAACACCTATTAAGTCTGTGCTTCTCAAGTTATATAATCTTTTGCGCCCATACCAGCCCTGAGTGACCAACAAAAACATCTCCGGTTTCTCTCCCTGGTGTGGGCCAAATCTGATCATGAGGCCTTACTAAACATTAGCAAAATTCCTACTGTTCTAGAAGTCTCCTCCTGTGAAATTCCAGTTCATCTAATTATTGTTTCTACAACTGTATGGCGACTTGAAACAAGATTTTGGTCATTTGTCTGGCTTTTTGTCCAGTAATTGTGTTGGGAACATTGGGCAATCACAACATCTACATTCCACTTGGAAGTTGAAGTCATAGTACAAGTTGTTTTTTTTTTTTTTTTTTTTTTTTTTTTTTTTGAGAGGGAGTCTCACTCTGTAGCCCAGGCTGGACTGCAGTGGCGCAATCTTGGCTCACTGCAAGCTCCGCCTCCTGGGTTCATGTCATTCTCCTGCCTTAGCCTCCTGAGTAGCTGGGACTACAGGCGCCTGCCACAACGCCTGGCTATTTTTTATTTTTTTTTTTGTATTTTTAGTAGAGATGGTGTTTCACCGTGTTAGCCAAGATGGTCTCGATCTTCTGACCTCGTGATCCGCCCGCCTTGGCCTCCCAAAGTGCTAGGATTACAGGTGTGAGCCACTGCGCCCGGCCAACAAGTTGTTTTTTTTTTTTTAAACAGCTCTATTGAGAAATAATTCATATGTGACACAATCCACCCATTTAAAGTATATGATTCAATGACTTTTAGTATATTCACAGAGTTCTGCAATTACAACAATCAATTTTAGAACATTTTCATGACAATACAAATAAACCTTGCACCCCTTAAAAATCACCCTCAATTGCTCCAGCCCCTGTAGCCCAAGGCAAGCATTAATCTACTTCATTTTATATAAATTCCTTTATTTTGGAAATTTAATATAAACAGAATCATACCATATGGGGTTCTTTGTGACTGGCTTCTTTCACTTAGCTTCATGTCTTCAAGATTTGTCTCAGCTGTAGCACATGTCAGCACTTCATTTCTTTTTTTTTTTTTTTTATCACGGAAGCATGTTTCATTATAAGAATATACCACATTTTTAAATCCATTCATCAGTTCATGAATATTTGGGTAGTTTCCACTTTTTGGCTATTATGAACAATGCTACTATGGCCATTTGTATACAAGGTTTCGTGTGGATGTATGTTTTCATTTCTCTTGGTATATACCTGGGAGTGGAATTGCCACCCTGTTTTCCAAAGTGGCTGCACCATTTTACATTCATAGCAGCAGTGTATGAGGATTCCAGTTTCTCCATCCGTATTCTTGCCAACACCTGTTTTTATCCATCTTTTTTGTTATAGGCATCGTCACAGGTGTGAAGTGGTATCTCATTGTGGATTTGATTTCGATTTTGCAGATGGCTGATGATGTCAAGCAATCCTTGATGTGCTTATTGGCCATTTGTATATCTCCTTAAAAGAACTGTCTATTCAAATCCTTTGCTAATTTTTAAAAGTGAGTTATTTACCCTTCTATTATTGAGTTGTAATAATTCTTTACATATTCTAGGTACGAGTCCCTTGTAACAGTGGTCGCCAACATTTTTGACACCAGAGACCAGTTTCATGAAAGATATTTTTCACAAAATTGGAACAGGGGGTGGGAAGCGCAGGGGGAGGGGCACGGTTTAGGGATGAAACCGTTGCACCTCAGATCATCAAACATTGGGGTCTCATAAAGAGTGTGCAACCTTGATTCCTCATGATATGGTTTGGCTGTGCCCCCACCCAAAATCTCATCTGGAATTATAATTCACATAATCTCTGTAATCCCCATGTGTCAAGGGTAAGACCCGGTGGAGGTAATTGGATCATGGGGGTGGTTTCCCCCAAGCTGTTCTTGTGATAGTAAGTGAGTTCTCATGAGATCTGATGGTTTTATAAGTGTCTGGCATTTCCCCTGCTTGCACTCACTCCATCCTGCTGCCCTGTGAAGAAGGTGCCTGCTTCTCCTTTGCCTTCCACCATGATTGTAAGTTTCCTGAGACCTCCCCAGCCATTGATTGTAAGTTTCCTGAGACCTCCCCAGCCATGCCGAACTGTGAGTCAATTAAACCTCTTTACTTTATAAATTACCCAGTCTCAGGTATTTTTTCATAGCAGCATGAGAATGGACTAATACACCTTGCAGGCACAGTTCGCAATAGGGTTTGCACTTCCATGAGAATCTAATGCCGCTGCTGATCTGACAGGAGGCAGAGCCCAGGCAGTAATGCTCACTTCCCTCAACTCATCTCCTGCTGTGCAGCCTGGTTCCTAACAGGCCAGGGACTGGTACAGTCTGTGGTCTGGGGCTTGGGGACCCCTGCTTTATAAGATACATGATTTGTAAAAATTTTCTCCCATTATGTGGATTTTCCTTTCACTTTCTTGATGGCATTCTTTGAAACACATAAGTTTTTAATTTTGATGATGTCCAATTTTTGTATTTTTTTCTTTTGCAGCTTATACTTTCGATGTCTTATCTAGGAAACCATTGTCTATTCTAAGATCATGAGGATTTATGCTTATTTTCTTCTAACAGTTTTAGAGTTTTAGCTCCTCCATTTTGCTAATTTTTGTATGTGAGATAGGACTTCAACTCATTCTTTCTTGTGTGGCTATCTAGTTCTTCCAGCTCCACTTGCTGAAAGGCCTTTTCTTTTCCCATTTAATTGTCTTGGTACAGAAATTTTAACATATAGTTTTACATGGTCATTACTTTCTAAATGGTTTGTAGTAGTAACTTTCATTTTCTTTTTCTTTTTAGCTAATATTTACAATGTTTTCTTTTTATTCTAAAATTACTGGATTTTTTGAAATGTTTTATTCCCATTAGTTTTTATTTTTATTACATAGTCATGATAGAGTGTGTCATATACAAATAAAATTTTTTTAAATCCTGTAGACTACATAAGATATAGTTTTTGTTAAGGTTTTCCAAAACCTTGGAAAGGTATATTGTTTAATATACACTAATTAAATCTAATTAATTACATTATTAAAGTCCTCTACCATCTTAGGTATATTTTTGGTCATCTTGATTTATATTATTTCTTCTTCTTCTTCTTTTTTTTTTTTTTTTTTTTTGAGGTTGGAGCAAGAGTTTAATGAACAATTGAAGAAAGCTCTCCACCACGGACAGGGGGCCCAAAAGAGGGTTGCCCTATTTTTGGTCTTCTTGATTTATAAATACTGAGAGCAAAGCATTAAAAATTATTTCTTATCCCTTGTATTTCCAAATACTTTTATTTATTGTAAAGATAAATGTTTAATTAATTAAATTTTATGACAATTTTATCATCACTGTGATTTTTAAAAATGTATCCATATAAAATGACCATCTTTGCATCATCTAATGCTTTTTTACTTGGAATTCTACACTGTTACTTTCTTTTGATTTGTGTTGTTTGAGATACCTTTTCACAAGCCTAAATTTTTAATTCTCTTTGTTATTTTATTTATTGTATTAATTTTTCCCTTTAATAAGAAAGGTTTAATATTTTATTTAAATTTTAACTATGAAAATTTACTTTCATAATTGATAACTGTCATATTTTATTATAAATAGTAATAATAAACATTATTTGAGCTTCGATTGTGAGCCAGACACTGAGAAATACTTTTTGAACATTATCTTATTAATCTTCAAAATTAACCTATGGTTAGGTTTGTTATAACCCACATTTTATAGATGAGAAAATAATAGACTTTAGGGAGTTAGCATTTCATACCTTTATTTTCCTGCTTGTGTGCTTTTATTTTCTTGTTTCCGCTTTTTGTAAGTTGATTATTTTTAATGTCTTTGTACTTCTAATAACTAGAAAGAGGTATATTTTGTTTTTAATTATCTGATAAGTTTCTTCAAATCTGAGAACATGCACTTGAACCAATATTTATCTAATTAGTATTGCCAACATAAAACAGTTTCTATTGATGCTTCTTTATAGAAAATTAGGAAACTGGCTGCTTTTTATTCCTTGGCCTTCTTCTCCAGCTAATTTTTAACTTTGGTTGTAATAATCTAATATTTTAAAAGTGCGTAAGTGTGTTTGTGGCTGTGTGTTGTGAGAGACAGAGGGAAAGACTGGAGACTCTTCTTTTTCAGGAGCATTTTCAAAATATTTACCCTATGGTTTCAAGAGTATTTTCAATAATTGCAACTTTTAAAAATGAACCTGAATGTTCTTTATTTACCACAATTTTCATATTACCAAGTTTTTTACTTTGCTCTGATGTACTACATATTCAATTATTATTTTTTTATTTTTCTCCAAAATGGCATGGAAGTGAACTACTTCCTAAAGACTTGACTATTTACTTTGACCTTTACAGATGAGTGAAAATTTGTTTAGTTTATATTCTTGGGTTACAATCTTTCTTTTTTAAATCTCTGTAAATGTTACTTTTATTTATATCTGATGTTCATTGCTATGGAAAAGTCTGAGACAAATATTATTTTTATTAAATTGTAGGTAGATTGACTTTTCTGCTGAAATACTTGGGGAGTGAGCTTTTATAAATTTTACAAAACTGTGTCCAGGTCTATGGTTTTAGTCAACTGATAATAGATGAAGTATTTTGATTCACAGATTTAAATTCTTCAGGTGAAAACATGTTCTTTTATTTTAGCTTTGATTATTTTTCCTGTTCTATTTGTTATATTAAAACATACAGACACACACACACAGAGAATATAATTTATTAATTCTTTCTTTTATTTTTATTGTCTCTGGATTTTGAGTATTTTCTTCCCTTCAAAGTTTTGTTTCATCTGAGTACTATGTGGTTTCAATTTTACATTTATATATTAGATCTTTTAGAATTTCCTCTTAAGTATAATGTGAAGTATGGGTCCACGTTTTTCTCTTACAAATGAAACCAATTGTTTCAACATTATTTACAAGAAAGTTCATAATTTCCCCAATAAATAATGAAAGTTCATAATTTCTACAGTAATTAATGAAAGCTCATTATTCCCCCAAATTTATACATTCCCAAATGAAAGTCTGTGTATAACAAAGGATGCATTCATCCTTTATCAAACACAAATTTTTTATATACTTGGATCTACTTTCTATTCTGTTTCATTGGTCTGTCTATTCATGGAACATTTCCAGAATCGTTTAAATGCAGCAGCTCAATGCTATATTTTAATACCTGATAGGGTTAGGGCTGCCCCCCACCCAGTTTATCTTCCTTTTCAGGAGTTTCTTAGCTATTATCCCATCTTTATATTTCATGTGAATTTTAGAATCGAATGTCTAGCTCGAGGGGGAAAAAACAAACTTCTTGCTATTTTCATTGTGATTGTATTGTTTATTCATTCTTTTTGGGAAAATTGGCAAGTTTATAATGTTGACTTGTTCTGTCCATGAACAAGGGGCATTTTCCTTATGGTTCAAGTTGATCATGGGTCTTCCAGGAGAGTTTTCAAGGCTTATTCATGAGTTTTTTTTCCACATTTCTTGCAACTTTTTTTTTTTTTAAAGACAGAGTCTTGCTCTGTCGCCCAGACTGAGCACACTGGCGCGATCTCGGCTCACCGGAACTTCACCTCTTGGGGTCAAGCGATTCTTCTGCCTCAGCCTCCCGATTAGCTGGGATTACAAGCTTGCACCACCATGCCTGACTAATATTTTTATTATTAGTAGAGACAGGATGTCACCATATTGGCTAGGCTGGTCTCAATCTCCTGACTTCGTGATCCGCCCACCTTGGCCTCCCAAAGTGCTAGGATTACAGGCATGAGCCACCGCACCTGGCCACAACATTTATTTTAAGTATTTTATATTTTTTTGTTGCCCTTGTAAGTGGGGTATATTTTTTCGTTGCTTTCTTCTACCGTGTGGAGGTGGCCACAGTGCTTCCTGATGTATAACACTTCTTCCTATAACTTCTAGCTTTTGCTATCTTTTCCCCTTTACCAGCAAGCCTCCACATTGCCTGCTTCTTTACTAGAAGACTTACACCTATGGTCCTTTGAAACATCAAGCCTCTTTCTTTCAATTCCACAGTAGCCAGTGGATCCCTGAGGCCTCATGTCCCTGTTCTCTATGTCCCATCTCAGTACACTCCTGAGATCCACCCCTATTCTTCTTGGGGGGGTGCTTTTTCTTTTCCTCCCTGCTACATCCTCAAATGCAGTCACACCTCTTCCATCCTTGTCCATCAGAGAGACTTTAGTCAGGAGTCTGAAACTGATTCTGCTGGTTTGAGAGGTTCTTCCCATTACACTTAGAGTCTAAACTATTCTTTGTCTTCCAGTTTTGTTGTACATGAGGGTTAGGGGTGATATTTCTTAATATCCTCATTGAACGGTTTGATTTCAAAGGTTATATGGAGAGACACAGATTCAGGCAGCTACTATTGAAGGTGGGGAATGCTACCTGCAGCTTTTCAGTTTGAAGAGCATGTCATCATTGTTTGTTTTTGTTTATGGTGATAGCAAGTTAAGTAAGTACTATATCAATACTAAGCAAGAGAACGCCAATAAGCCTCAAATAATTTGGTCAACTAGCTTAGAAATTAGATATTAATTTAATGCCATTTTTCCTTTGTAATTTAAGTTCTCTTGCAAATTCCATCTTGTAAGAACCAAGAGTGGTTCCTTTCCCTTGTCCCCTTTTCCACCCCCAGAACTCTTTAATTAATTGATATTTAGCTTTGCATTACCATTGAAAATTCACTAAGAAATTGCATACCTAGTTTATTAGAGATTATAAACATATTTATGAGATAAAACACTCAGTACAACTCTCACTGAAATTAGTGTGGTACATCAAATGATCATCAGTCAGTAATTCTGGCTATGAGGTTGACAAAGAAACAAAGTGATAGATGTATATATATATACAATAAGATAAAATATGCAGAGAACTCTTTTCCTTACATATTTGAAATCAAGAAATTTTCCCTCAGAGTAAGGCATCAAAAACTTTCCTTTTTTGTCAGCCTGTGGAGGAGATAAATTGCTTTTGAAAATTCGAAGATGGAGAAATCCCATTTTCAAAACAGCTTGGTGGAATTCAGTTAGCTTTTGATATATTATTGCCTCTGATGTTTCTAGATGCCTATTTATTAAAGTAAATGCATAGACAAAGAAAGACTATTTTTACTTTGTTCAATCAAAGGTGAGCTTAAGGGAGCAAAATAGGGTTACCTCAAATAAGTTTCTACAAAGATGAAGGATTTTATGTGTGGGTGGATCATTTTTTTCCTGAGAAATTAATTACTATCTTTAGTCATATAATCATTATTTCCTTTGAATATGACCTTTTTCAGCATTCTTTTTGACAAATAAAATTTTGATTTTGAATAATCACTAAGATACCATTATTTGAATTACATTTAATATTTTAAACAAATGAACTCAACATTCTAGTTTTAAAAATTAATAAACTCAAAAAGTCTGGGATCTACTACAGTAGGATCCCTCTTGCCCCTCCCTAATTCTTTTAATTAGTGATGTCACATTGTAAATTTGCCTTTTTTTCTTATCCCTTCTGCGTATAGATGTGTAATTTCTTGGTGCTCAATTTGTATTTGCATTTTCTTGTATATACACAGAGCTCAGGTACTAAAACTTTCCCCTCATGGCTCCCTGCTGATCCCTGGAGCTTAGAGCTCACTTTTTCTCACTGGGGCTATCTCTTCTCATAGTTGGCCCCAATCAAAAGAGATGGAGAACTTCTGCCTTGTTTCCTCTTTGGTCCATTTTCCGTAAGCCTTTCTCTCTTCCACATTCCTCCTGCTATCTGCTTGCTGCCTCCCCGGTGGGGCCGGAGTTTGGCTGAGGTTAGAACAAACAGCCTGTCTGAAATCATGTTTGACATCAATAATGTCTCCATACCTTGTAACTTTTTCCAGGTTTTTCTAATGCAAGGTCCAGTATCTTTCTGAAAAAGAGAATGTTCAGATAACTAATTTCAGTCTCACCTATCACCATTTAACGTGACACTCGCGTTCTCTAACGTCTAGTGCAACATGGTGTCTCTAAATATACTCACAACTGCCCATTTCCATGTGTATCTGAAGAGTTGGAACTGGAAATGCCTCTTTTAATATAATTCACCACTTTCTCCAATTAATATAATTTACCACTCTAGATGAGAAAGTGATCCTTCATCTCCACAAATTGGGGGCATATTCCTGCCCTGAGTACCCCACAGGGACCTGTGATCATTCACTACTTGGGGAGAAGTAAAGACATTTCTATGTCCTATATTTCAAACTACTTTGGCCTCCGTTTTTTTTATAGGTCAATTTGCTGAACCCCTTAAATCACTCAGGCTAGCCATTTTGGTTCATATTGTTTGGAGATCCATGAAAATAAAAGAATAGACTGTCAAGTTTTGTCCAAGATTTCTCCTCAGAAAGACTTCATCTAAGTAATACAAAATGTATACTTTGCTTAATAGCTGAATTGTCAAGCATATTTATTTTATGATGTAATTAAGACCAATTCATGGATTTACAAGGAAATCATATTCAGTTCTACAAGAGAAAGGACTTTCTAACACCCAAACCCCTGGAATGTAAAGTAAGTGGGTTGAGGACTGGGGGTGGGTGTGGATGGGGTTGGGTTCAGCAGAAGTCAGCTGGTCCCTGGTGATTGAATGGATTCCAGTGCAGCACGAGGAACTTTAAACAAAGCAGGCTCTCAGGTCCCTTCCTTCTCTGACAGCTAAGACTCTGAGATAACCAAGCACAGGACAAAAGCTACATAATGTTTCAGACAAACCAAATAAAAATACCATTTTCAAAGGTATCCTCAGATGACTCACATTGAAGGATTTAGATTTAGTCTTGCATATTTTCCCACTGCACACTTGGTTTTATCATTGCACTTGGGTTTATTATTCTTGCTTTGCCTCATTCTTCTTTCTGTCTGTCTCATCAAAGTCTTTCTCATCATTTGAAACAATGAGCAAGAAGAACACAAACGTCTTCCTCATTTCTTTTCCTAACACGATCTCAGGTGGAATGGAAGGGTGATGGAGGTGACAGCAGATATATCAGATGTATACTGTTGTGATATGCTTGCAAAATGCCTAGATGACAAGGTGGAAGGGAAATAAATAAGTGTAGCCTACCTTTTTTTCCCCATCTTCAGCACTGCTATATTTTTCTTTTTCTTTTTCTTTTTTTTTGACATTTTTCATCGTTATAAATGCCTAGGGGAATTTAGTAATAACATAAAGGGCCAGTTTATACCCTCCTTAGGGAGCCAACATACTAATGAGAAAAGTATATATACAAGTACATAGAAATCTTATGCTCCAAAGGGTAGAATAAAATGAAAATAAAAGTAATTTAGAGTGAAAGCAAAAGGCATTGATAAAAGTGTAGACTGCCCCCACTCCCCCGCCACCCACCCCACAATCTGTCAAGAGCTAACTGTATGGCTTTGAACCAGACTCTCTGGGACTTAGTTTCCTCATTTGTTAAAAAAAAAAAAAAAAGAAAGAAAGAAAAAGAAAAAAGCCCTGAGAATCTTCCAGTTCCAACATGCAAATTTTTGTGATTTTATGAGTTGCCATGATTTTGTGGACAGCATATCAATAACTAGCCAGAAGTGGGAAATATCTGGAGGTTGTTCTAATCTGTGGAGGCCTGGATCCCTCCTAAGACACCCCTGATGGCCACAGTCAGACTGAGCCTTCTGCTGGACAGATTGCTAGACTCCTGCATCATGGTATGTCTTAGCTTTTTATGCCTCAAAGATATTTCAGCACTTTTCTGCTGGCTTTCCTCCTCCATAGAGAATGGGCAGATAGAGAAGTCAATACATCAGCATTTCCTTCCTCTTTACTAATAACACAAAAATGGTTTTACTAATAGCAACAAGTAGATGGTGGCTTATTTATAGATTTTTCTTTTTCTTGCTTAGAAGCTGGTGAAGGCTCTCAGGTAAAGGAAATGACTTGGGACATCTGGCTCCTGTTCTGACATGTAAATACTTTGGAAATCATAATTTTATTCTTACAACAAAAAAGCTGGACTTTTTCTTGGAAAATCAATTATATTTCTTGGAACCACGAGAGAATTGTGGCTTTAGGGCAAACTGCCACCCCCAAATCTGGGGAAATATAGCCAAGATCTGCTCACCTGGAGCAGAAGCCACATGAGGCATAAACTCATAGGAACACTCAAATGGAAATTTTGATAAACCAGGAGTGTAGACTAGCATGAGAGTCAGAAACTTCCAGGGGTCCCCAGTCCTCAGGGACCCCATACCATCATTGGCTTTACCTTTAGGAAATTCACAGGTTCTCAAGATGAAGATCTGCAAGATCTCTTCAAGGTTTTGGCAAGAGAAGGGGGAGAGTAATCTTTGTGAAATGTGTCTGCAACAAAGGCCTATGCTCCAAGAGAAAATACTTTGCCAGAGTCATATTCCAGTGGAAAGCACCCCCCAAACTTTCTGTCTACTTTATAGGGGGCAAAAGATCCCCATAGTCAACAAGGACCATGGCTTCCAGGAAATGGGTTGGGGAGGCTGCAGACAGGAAAGGGAGTAGGAGGCAGGGGGAAGGGACGGTACCAAAGGAGAAAGCTTGTAACGGTTATAGCCCCAAGACACAGCCCCATTAAAAGACTGAGATTTATTAATAAAATTAGAGAATGCTTCTCCTCCCCTGCACCTTACCATCACATCAGCGGGAATACAGCACAGCTGAAAGAGGTGACACAAACTCTCTCTAAGAAGGAGTACTTAGGGAAGCCCAAAGGTAAGAGATGAGACAAAGAAAAAGACACTAGAGAAATCTGAAACCTCTGGCTATATTTATATTTGTAACATACAACTATAGCAAACACTAAAGACAAACGAACTTCTCTGCCAGACGACCATTAATTCTTATACTAAATGCCTATTTACTTCACTTCCTAGTACTCGATACATTGTATCTGACTTTCAACAAAAAATTATAAGACATGTCAAATGACAAGAAAAAAACATTCTGAAGAGACAAAACAATATTAAGAACTAGACTCAGATATGAAACATATGTTGTAATTATTATGGAATTTAAAGTAACTGATTAATATATTAAGGTAATTAATGGAAAAAATAGACATGAAAGAACAGGTGGATAATGAAGTAGAGAGATGGAAACTCTAGAAAAGTATCAAAAGGAAATGCTAGAAATGAAAAACACTAACAGAAATGAAGAATGCCTCTGATAGGCTCATTAGTGGATTAGACACAGCCAAAGAAAGAATCAGTGAGCTTGAAGATAGATCAATGAAAACTTTCCAAACTGAAATTCAAAGAGAAAAAAGAATGATAAAAGCAGAACAGAACAATTAAGAACTGTGGGACAATTTCAAAAGATGCAATATATATGTAATTAGAATACTAGTAGGAGAAGAAACATAGGATGGAGCAGAAGAAATATGTAAAGAAACAATGACTGAGAACTTTCCAAAAGTAATGCAAAACACCAAGCCACAGAGTACACCAAACAGGATAAGTGACAAACAAACAAAATACACATGTAGGCATATCATATTCAAACTTCAGAAAACCAAAAACAAAGAAAAAATCCTGAAAGAAAAAAAACTTAGATGTAGACAGAAAAAATGCAAACTTCACTGTTTTACTTATCATCTGAGAGATTTTGGACTTTATTGGATTTAAACATTGTTGGTTTTCTCACTTTGCACAATGGATGGAATAATGTTAAATAATTATAGGTACTATGTTTTTCTTTATAGAAGTGAAGATCAAACAAGGTCACATGTTTATGAGGAAGCACCTTTTAATTGCTGCATTCTCTAAATATGAAGAGTTACAATGATTAACGAATTGCATCCTTGTCACCCCTCCAAGCACATTGAGATAAGCTTTCTCAACAAGGAGAATCTTGAGATGTAGTTTGAATCACAAGGCATTACCTAATGGATATAAAATTGGATAGTGTTTTTGGCTTAGATGGGAGCAGATCTGACGTTTCCAAGGTAAAGGTTAATGGAGAAGGTGAGAAGAGAGTGAGATGCAAGCTCATGAAATAAATGGTTGGCGTAGGAGCTACCCAGTTGAGATGTGCTGGAATCAAGCAGGCAATGCAGATCTATATAGAAAAAAAACTCTCAGAATTCCTAGGGAGGTATCTGAAGCCAAGAATTACGACTTTTTAATTTTTTTGAACTTACTAGGGCAAAAATATACCAGCAGCAAAAAGATCAGAAAAACAGACTTTAGTAAGAGAGAAACTGAAATAAATAAATGACATTTGCATTGAGCATTAAAGTTTACAAAACACTTTCACATGCATTGTTATTATTTGGGTTTCATAACCAACAGTGCTTAGACTCTGATAAGTTAAGAGATTTTACAACATTGCTTGACATCAATTATGGTTGAATAATTATTCTCCCTGCTTTTAAACTCTGAACCAAATGGCTCATGAAAATACGTTTCTATAAGGACAGGAGGTAGTGGTGACAAGCAGAGAAAATTTTCATATAGACATTTAAAATTTCAAGATTGTGCCAAAATAAATTATTTATATAACAGTTTATAAAACACTTGTGTGCAATGATCTCAGGTAGGCAGTAGTGGTTGTGCTCTTTCTTGTTTAGATTAAAAGTCAGGAAACAAATCTGTAAAGTGCCATGCCCATCATGCCACCCACAGCTATTGAATGTCAGGGCTGAGATTCGGAGAATTTGAGAGTTCTAACTCCCAGCTTGCCTTAGTCAGGTCAGGCTGCCATAGCAAAGTGTCATAGAGATGGTGGCTTATAAACAACAGGCATGTGTCCAAGATCAGGGAGCCAGCAGGGTTGGGTTCTGGTGAGGACTCCCTTCCAAGTTTGCAGACAGCTGCCTTCTATTTGTGTCCTCACAGTGGGGAGACAGGGTGAGAGAGAGCTCTCGGGGGTCCCTTTTAAAAAGGCACTAATCTAATTTATGAGGGCCCCCTCTCATGACCTAATCTCTTCCTAAAGGCCCCACCTCCTATTCCCATCACATTGGTGTTAAGATTCCAATATATGAATTTTAAGGGAACACATTTAGTCCATTGCACAACCTGATGTTGGTTTTAATTTGCTTTCCTTGCTGTTGTCTTTTTCCTTTCTCACAAGCACACCCCTCATTTGACCTTCACAAGAAAAAAGTGATGTTCTACTTTCAATCATCCTAACATTTTAATTTCATGAGTTCATTTCTAATCAAATCTATTTCTTTAATAACTCATTTAAGAAAGGGATTCTTTTTGATTTTCCTTCCTACCATGTGCCTAAACCCGCCTTTAGAAAAAAATTTGTTAAGGAATCTTTGGTGGATAATTTTCTTAAATGACCCATGGCTATTTTAGACACCTGGATTAGAGGGTTCTTCCTTATCCCTCATCTCAGAAGTCTAAATGCAGAGAACCCACTCCCATCAACAATTCTTGATATGTGGCTCCATCAGCTCTATGATCAATTCTATGGCTCAAAACCCTGTTCTTGCAATCTGACTGCATTTTACTTCAAATGGGAATCTGGGCTATAAATAGCATGCCAAAATTTCTCACATCGGCTACAATGGTGACAATTTTTTTTTTAATTTATAGTATATATTGACTCTTTTCTGTTCTGAAACAAATCTTAATAGAGCTTTTTGCTACCATCGCTCTCTGCACACAGGGCTTCCTTCTGGTTTAGATTTAGCACAGTGATGTTGAGACATAATCGTGCCGCCACACCATGGCTAATTCAACATCATTTAAGCTGCACTGAAAAGTTAGATGTTGTTTCTATCTGACTGCATCGCTGCACAGTACTGCTGGGTTGCATTCCACTTTCCACCTCTGAGTCATTGGCCATCCATCTGTGTTGTCTCAGGCCCATCCTACCCAGCCCTGAATTAGGAGGAAGGCATCGATGTGTACTGATAGCATATCTTAGTGTCTGAGGTGTGTGAACTTTACATGCTCACTTATTAATAAAAAGATTAGTGAATGTAGCATCAACAGGCATTTTGAATGTCACAGATATTTTCCATGGAGATGGGCAGAACTAATAAAAGCTTAAATGGAGTTGCCATATTTCATTTCATCTTTTAAATGATAACTAAACACTTGCAGAGCATTTCAGAGTTTACAAGCTCTCTATGTTATTTCCTTTGATTCATATGAAGTACATATGGGGAGAGATTAGAGATGGGGACAGTCAGATGGAGCTGAGAAGAGTGACACTGAGTGCTCAGCTTAAGGGGGAAGGGGCCTCAAGGCTGCCGGGACCTTCTCTCCTCTCCATTGCTCACTGGGTTACTCTCACTTCCGTTTAACACCCTGTAGATAGATCCTCATTTAAGATAGTGTTTTTTGGTGCTGTTCTATATTCCATTTTCCAACCATTTGAGAAACTGATGAAGGCTATTGACTTATTCCCTAGGAAATGTATACACATGCACCTTCCATTTTACATAAATTTCAGGAAATTCAAGACCTCCAGAAGCTCAGTCATCACTCTCTGAGGTAAGACCCTTAGGGGGAGTCAGGACCCCAGACCCTGAGCTATATCCCTATCCATGATCTGTCTTATGAGCTCCAGACCCACATTTCCAACCAACCAAGATGAATAATGTCTTTCTTCTGCCAAGATAACCTCCCTCTTTGGCCCCTTCTTTTCTGATGGTTTCCTTTCATCTCCATCCCCATGCCCCCTACCTTTGTTCAGGTCCGTGTATCTCCCTTGAACCATCCCTTAATCCCTGAGCCTGTCTCCACCTTTAATTCTCACTCCAATCCATGCTTTGTCTTTCCACCCACCAGAGTCTCTTCAGGGTAGTCATTTGCTTAAAACCTTTCAGAGGCCCTGTAACCCAGGAGCTAAATGCCAAGCTCTTTAGCACAGCTTATCAGAAGCGTCTCGGGGAGACAGCCAGCTCTTCCTGCCTTAAAAACCTTTCTTAAGTCCCTTCCTTTCCATCCATACAAGTGGCCTGAGTCCCCTGCCTTGTGAAAAAACTCTCTACTGCTCGTATGCATCGAGCTCTTCCTCTCAGCCACATGTGCATTGTTGGGAATGCTCTTTCAGTCTCATATCCCATTTCTCTATATGTTGAACTCATACCCATTCTTCAAGATCCACCTCTTCAGTGGAACCTTCCCAACTCCTCCAGGCAGAGATAGCTGCTCTCTCCTCTGTGTTCCTGTGGAAACTGTATACACGTTGATAGGGGCCCTTGGTACATTCTGATGATGCACATTCAGACCGAATCTGCATTTGATTAGAATCTGAGGTTTTTGAGAGCTGGACCAGGCGTCACTTTGATTTTTATTCTCCTACTTTCTACCCCACTCAAAGAAAATTTTACAACACCTGGAATGTAGTAGAAACTCAGTGTATGCAAGGATGACTGGCGCTGCTGAAACGCTCCAGAAAGCTGGCTATGGGGAAACAGATTTCAGTCATTTCATTTCACTTCAGTTTCTTATTTTGGTCCATTTTTCCATTTCACAGCCTCCCACTGCCTCTAAACCACAGATAGAAATGAAATTTAAAGAAGGAACTTAAGTCAAGAGTTAATTATACTCAGTCCTTTTAGAAAGCTCTAGTTTTAATATCCTGAACACCTACATTTAGGCCCTGTTTCAACACATGTGGAAATGCTATAAAGAGAAACAAAGTCCCACAAAGCAATAGAGGCGATGAACCTGATTCACCGCTGTCAGTTATCCAAACAAGCCTGGTTGACATGTCTGATTGCTGGATAATTACCTTCCCCATTCCTTTGCCTATATCAATGTGCCTAGTGTATAAAATACAATCCTGGGAACATTTCAGGCTAAAGGGAGGGATGTTGTTTGAATACCTATGAGTAAATACGATGCACATTAAACATTAAAACATACTTAGTTTCCATAGCATTGTTTTCTTTTAGGAGATCAACTTCATGAGCCTTCTCTACCTGAGAGAGGACTACAAATACTGTTTTATTCCATGATCAATCAGCTGAGTGTAGAAAGAAATATATTACCTCTTCCTCAGGTAAATCATATTTCCTCTTCTAAAGGATGGTTCAGTTTTCCTTTCTTAAGGGGGAGATCCTGAGGAAAGATACCCAATCATGTCAACCTCAGTCTAAGTTTACCTTGTTTTCAATGAGTGGAGGCTCACCCAAAAAGAAAAAAAGTGAAGGCTTAACATGGATTATTCAACGACTGGATTAACTGAGTCCATTACAGTGAATCTCCATTACGGTGAATGGAGATTCACTGTAACACTGGCCACCAGGCTTTGAATCAACCATTCATATAAAGTTAGATTTTAAAACATTGTTTACAAAAGAACAACCTTATTAAGAAGGCGGATTGTCATACCAGTGTTTTCACCCTGACACTTTCAATCCCTAACTACCATGTCTTTTATTAACTTAATATGTGGCATTTATTTGGGGTTTGTTGACAAGCAAGTACATGGGAAGAGAATAGAAGACAAAAATAAATAAATAAATAGATGTGGAAGACAATGATAGCAGCTAATGTACGAAATTAGCCCACAGACTCTGATCTTATAGTCTCACCTGCTAAGTGTAATGTACGGCTCTTAATGTGGACCAAGAAACATGTTATTTAAACGCTGCCCTAACCATCACCCCCGCCAACCAAAAAAAGTCTAAATATGGACGGTGCACTTTCTACCTTGTTTTGAACACCTAAGACAACAAAATAGATAATGAGACTCAAATCAACTGTTGTATTCCAGCTATAAAGAATGACAAAAATAAGCGATCGATCCTTTGGGCACACTGAGTTTAGCTCCCTCCGCTCTGAAAACTGCTTTAATTTTTCACAACACATTTAGCAGGCAATCATCTATCCCCTAGTCTAATAACATTGGGTACATTTTATAATTAGCCATAAAATACTTCTTTTTGCCAAGCCCAGAAATTAAGTTTGAGCCTCAAGAGTGCAAAAACTCTTAGCAGCCAGAAACGGCCTTTTCTTGGTAGTTCACAGTGTGCATTTTCCGTTGCCTTGACAACTGTCTGGCTGGGGCTTCCTTGCTTGGAGAACGAGGACGCCTTTGCCTGATAGAACCGTTCAGAAATGATAATGAACACTAAGCAAAATGATGCCGGCAACAGCAAGTTTGATACATGAATGTCAGAATTCTGCCTGAATTACATCTGCAAGAAGGATAGAAGGGAGGGAGGGACAGAAGACAGAAGGGCTAGGAAAGGGTTGCAATATTGACCAATTTTAATTTTTAAAAAGTTGGGGCTAAGTTCAGCACTCAGCCATGCTATAAAGAAGGGACTGACTGTGAAGCAATAAGATACACAAAATTTGTAAGACTCACTCTGGCCTCTGATAGTTTTGTCAGAATACAATCAGCATAGATGCTCTGATGTTTCATCCAGTAAAGACCAGAAAAGCACAAGAGAACGTGAAAAATCCATGTTCTGTTGGGTCACAAACATCTCTGGCTCAACTCGTGATTTTTGTTTAGGTTTTTTCCCACTTTTATCCTTCAGGGCAGTGAGTCTTTGTCATTTGGGGTTGGGACAACCCTATCCTGTTGCAATTCATCAGCCCCTGGCTGTTCCTGATAGACAGGGATGATCGCAGTTTCACTTTTCTTTTTTTTTTTTTTTTCCTTATATGGATCGTGCTTTTATTAAAAAAAATTTTTAATATCTTCATGACTTTTTATTTTATTTTATTTTATTATGCTTTAAGTTTTAGGGTACATGTGCACAATGTGCAGGTTAGTTACATATGTATACATGTGCCATGCTGGTGTGCTGCACCCATTAACTCATCATTTAACATTTGGTGTATCTCCTAATGCTATCCCTCCCCTCTCCCCTGACCCCACAACAGCCCCCAGAGTGTGATGTTCCCCTTCCTGTGTCCATGTGTTCTCATTGTTCAATTCCCACCTATGAGTGAGAATATGTGGTGTTTGGTTTTTTGTTCTTGCGATAGTTTACTGAGAAGGATGATTTCCAATTTCATCCATGTCACTACAAAGGACATGAACTCATCATTTTTTATGGCTGCATAGTATTCCATGGGGTATATGTGCCACATTTTCTTAATCCAGTCTATCATTGTTGGACATTTGGGTTGGTTCCAAGTCTTTGCTATTGTGAATAGTGCCGCAATAAACATATGTGTGCATGTGTCTTTATAGCAGCATGATTTATAGTCCTTTGGGTATATACCCAGTAATGGGATGGCTGGGTCAAATGGTATTTCTAGTTCTAGATCCCTGAGGACTCGCCACACTTTTCAATTTAAAGTGCAGATGGTGGAGTTTTGCTTTGAGGAGTTTCTGACAGCATTTGGAATCACGAAAAGGCTTTGGGGTTTCCTGACGTCTCACTTAAAAATTACTCGTTTTTAGTAGCAAGTACAAATTCTAGATTTCAAAGTTTGCCAACTTTCCTTGAATCTTAATTTAAAATACATAATGCCAACTTCACATACGCACATCACTTAACAGTTAACAAAATCATTTTATCCTCATAATCTTTTTCCAAGCTACACAAAAAAAATCCTATGAGTATTACCATCCTCATTGTAGGGGTAATTGAAGTGTGGCTGACAACTGGACAGTCTTGGGAGCACCTGTTTGACTAACTTTAAGGCCCATAAAGAGGCTTCTTTCTGGGGATGAGGCTCTGACCCATAGAGCTAGACCCCATGGGTTATGTGTACCACAAGATGTGATGTTCAATTTTATGGGTCAACTTGCCTAGTCCACATTACCCAGAAATTTGATCAAACACCAGGCTGCATGTTGCTGTGAAGATGTTTTTTTAATGGACTCTAAGTAAAACAGGTTACCCTTGCTATAGTTTGGATATTTATCCCCTCTAAACCTCATGTCGAAATTTGATTACTAGTCTTTAAGGTGGGGCCTAATGGGAGGTGTTTGGGCTGGGGAGGGTTGGATCCTTCATGAATAGATTGATGCCGTCCTTGAAGAGGACCAATCTAAGCCTTGTCTTTTTCCCTCTTATAATTTTAAATTTGGAAAGGATAAATTAAGGCCAAGAACTGTGGGTTCAGAGTTAAAGAACCAGCAGAAAGTCTACAAACTTCTATGACTAAGGTTCCTGGGAATGTACTGGTCGTCCTTTCCCCAAATCTGACATGTTTGAAGTTTCCTTCAAACTAGAAGATTCAAACTAGAATCTTCCAGTATCTTTGCTCTCAAAATTAAAAGCACATAGTCTCTCTTTTTTTTTCTTTTGTTATTTAAAGTTAGCCAGAATTGCTTTTTATTCTTTGCAACCAAGATAAGCTTTGCTTTTACGGCACATATACGGAATACCTCCATGTTTTGTTTGGTGTTATAGTCTCCCTCTGGTTGGTGCGCCCCTTAGATAAAGAGGTCGTTTTTCTTCCCAGTCTCCTTATCTTCAGCACCTGGCAGTCCCTGACACATAGAAGGTCTTCCGTATATGTTTGCTAAGCCAAAGCATTCGTTTTTTATTGCTGCCTTAACAAATTGCCACAAATTTAGCATCTTAAAACAGTGTCTATCTATTATCTCACAGTTTTGTAGGTTAGAAGTCCACACATAGTGGGGTTCAGCTTGTTCTCTGCTCTGGGTCTCATAGGCCAAAATCAAGGTATTAGTGGGGCTGTGTTCCTTCCTGGAGGTTTGGGGAATAAATCTGCTTCCAAAGTCGTTCCGGGTGCATTCCCTTGCTTGCTTCCTTGCGGGCATCGTTCTCGGCTTCTAAAGCCCACCCACATTCCTCGGTGGTCCCTTCCTCCATCTTCATCTTCAAAACTAGCAATGGCAGACAAAGTTCTCATGTTTCCAGTCCCACCAGCCCTTCTGCTGCATCTCTCTGGCTTCCTCTTCTGCTTTTAAGAGCTAATGTGATTACATTGGACCTACTCAGTAACCCAAGATAATTGCCATATTTTCAGGTCAGGTGATTAGCCTCCTTAATTTGGGTTGCAAAGTCCCTTCACAGCATTACCTGGATTAGCGCTTGATTATATAACCAGGGGACGACATCTTAGAAAGACAGCTTTAGAATTCTGTCCACCATAGTGAAAGAATGAGGTCAGTTCCAGATACGTCCAAGCCAGGCAGGAACGGGGCGCAGCAGCGGCACCCTGGCTTCCTCTCTTCCAGAGCCCTTTGCTTCCAGTTAACCTTATCTGTGTGGCTCCCAGGGAGGAGATTAGCTTCCAGCAGTACTCTGGCCCTGGTCTTTGGCTTTTAAAGAACATGGAGGTCTTTACTGCCAACAATAAATGCATTCTACCAATATTTTTTTTCAGCAAACGATATATTAAAAATATAATACATCATGTCCAAGTGGAGTTTATTCCAAAAACTACCAGACTGATTTAACATTCAAAAAGCAGCCAGTGTAATTAACATATTAACAGACTAAAAAGGAAAAAAAAATGTATATATTCAATAGATAACAGAAAAAGCATTTGACAAAAGTCAAGATCTATTCGTGAAAAAAAAAACTTGTGATCACCTAGGAACCTGCCTTTAACCAATAAAGGATATTGAAATAATTAATTATAATTATACCTATTAGTGAAAGACTTTCCATCTTTTCCCCTAAGATCTTCAACAAGTCAAGGAGGTTCTCTCACTCCTGGTATCCAGCATTGTTCTGGGTTCCTAGTCTGTGCAATATGGCAGAAAAAAAAAAAAAAGCATACAGACTAGAAAAGAAGAAATAAAACTGTCTCTAGTTATAGATATTATTCTCTACAGATATTATTCTCTACATACAAAAATCTAAAAAAGAAACTAGGGAATAAAAGAAAGCTTCTAGATTTGGTAAGCAAGTTGATCCAAGTCACAGGACACAAGGTCAACATACAAATATTAATTTATATACACTAGAAACGAACCACTGGAAACCAATTTTTTTAAAATAAATTTACAGTGGCTCCTAAAGTGAAATACTTAGGTATAAATCTTTTTTTTTGTTTAGTGTGTAGAATCTGCATGCTGACAACTATAAAAATTCTGATAAATCAAACAAGATCTAACTAAATGGAAAGATATGCCATGGTCAAAATTAGAATACTTAATATTGTTAAGATGTCAGTTCTCCTTAATTTGATCTATAGGTTCAATGCAATCCCAATCAAAATCCAAGAAAGCTTTTTTGGTAGCTACTGAAAAACTCATTCTAAATATATATGGAAAAGCACAGTATCTAGAATAACCAAAACAATTTTGAAAAAGAAGAAAAATGTTGGAAGACTCATAGCACCAAATTTCAAGACTTATGATGACTCTACAATAATTAAGATAATATAATATTTTTAAAAGGCCAGACATACATATCAATGAAACAGAAATGAGAACCCAGAAATAGATCCACGTAAGAATAGCCAATTAATTTTGGACAAAGGTACAAAATTAATTCAATGTAGAGAGAATAGTATTTTCAACAAATGGTGCTGGAATTATGAAAAAATTTCATATTCATGTGAATATTTCATTTATATTTTTAAAAAGAATATTAAACTATGCTTCATATTTTATACAAAAAAAGTAACTCAAAGTTGATAATAGACTTATTTAAATTGTAGAACTATAAAACTTATAGAAGAGAACATGGAAGCAAATTGTAATGACCTTTGGTTAGACAAAAAGTATTTAAATATAATACCAAAGCACAATTTATAAAAGAAAAAATAATGGCCAGGCACAGTGGCTCATGCCTGTAATCCCAGCACTTTGGGAGGCTGAGGCAGGCAGACCACTTAAGGTCAGGAGTTCAAGACCGGACTGGCCAACATGGTGAAACCCCGTGTCTACTAAAAGTACAAAAATTAGCTGGGCATGGTGGTGGGTGCCTGTAATCCCAGCTACTCAGGAGACTAAGGTAGGAGAATTGCTTGAACCCAGGAGGTAGAGATTGTAGTGAGCCAAGATCATACCATTGCACTCCAGCCTGGGTGACAGAGTGAGACTCTATCTCAAGGAAAAGAAAAAGAAAAAAAAGGAAAGAAAAGGAAGAAAGAAAGAGTTGGACTTTATAAAAGTTAAAAATGTTTTCTCTGAAAAGGACACGCTTAAAAAATTAGAAAGACAATCCACAAACTGGGAGAAGATATTTGCAAATCACATTTCTAACAAAGGACATGTGTCCAGAATACAATAAAGAACTCTCAAAACTCAAAAATAAGAAAATGAACAACCCAATATTTTTTAAATAGGCAAGTAATCTAAACAGGCATGTAAATAAAGATGGTGCATAAGCATATGAAAAATGATTAACATCATCAGTCATTTGGGAAATGTAAATAACACCACAAGGTAATACCACTGCCTGCCTATTAGAATGGCTAAGCCCCATAAATCTTGATAATACTATATGCCAGCAAGGAGGCAGAGCAAATGGAACTCTCATATGTTGCTATTCGCTCAAAGCAAAAATGGCCAACCACATTGATAAACAGTTGAGCATTTTCTTATAGTGTTCAACTTGCACCTACCATATGACTCAGCAATCCCAATCCTAGTTATTTACCCAAGAAAAGGAAAATATATGTTCACATAAAGACCTGTATGTGGATCTATATAGAATCTTTATTCATAGTGGCCAAAAGCTGGACACAACCCATGTGACCTTCAAACAAGGATGGATAAACTATGGTACACCTGTATCATGGAATACTACTGAGGAATAAATAGAAACAAATTGTTAATTTAAACAACAACATGGATTAATCTTAAATTCTTTTCAGTATGTGAAAGAAGTTCATCCCAAAGGCTGCATATTGTTTGATTCTATTTATACAACATTCTGGAAGAGGTGAAGCTTACAGCTTCCATCTTTATAAGATGGAAAACAGATCAGTGGTTGCCATGAGTTGAGTGATGGTGGGGAGGACAAACTACAAGCAGGGATCATGAGGAAATTAGGGGAGTGGGAATGGAATTGTGCTCTAAGAAACTATAGCAGTAAATAGATGACTATCACTTTGTCAAAATGCATAAAACTATATGTCACAAAGAGTGACATACAAATTTGATGTACAGAATTACAATTTTGTTATATGTAAGTTAAATTTTTAAAATCAACCAGCATGTTGGCTGAATGGAAGGGGGGGCAGTTGAGAAGAAACACAGACAGTAAGAAAGAAACCCAACTGTGTCAGAAATTAATCAATCACCAAGGCTCACTGAGACAGGTGGGGGACAAAAGAGCTGACCTAGGTATCTTTGGAAACCCTGTTTTGACTCGATACTGGAAGGCTAAAGACAACAAGAACTATACTCCATGCTGTATTTTATTTGGTAAATTTGTTTGTCTCTGGGTTATGAGTTAGCAAAACAAGAAATGTATGGTAGATGCTGTGAGTCAGGCTCTCACAGTCAGGGAAAGGCATTACAAATAAGGAAGAAGGCTAGAGTGAACCATGTGGTGCTGAATTGGAGTCCAAAGTATCAATACAAACTTGTGTTTACTTAAAATATATAAACAGATAAATATATGCAGAAATAAACATAGATACATATATACATATGGGTTGGTACATATGACATGCATTTCCTAGTTCTGTCTGCTGAGATGACCTAGTGGAAATGACATTCTAGTAGCAATGAGCACATCTATTGCCCAGATCTTGGTTCTAAATTTGACTTTGCAATAAAAGGAAACAGGACTTTTGAAGTATTGGTTAATTCCAAAGCTGGAGCAAAGAATATATAAGACGAGCATAGAGGATTTGTGGTACCAGAGAGTAAAGAAGCAGTCAAACAAAAGAAATAGAAGCTTGCAATAGGGGGCACGAGCCAGCCTGTAAGAGCTCCCAGCGGCCAAAGCTGAAACAATTTGATCAGGAAAATAAATTGTTATAGTATTGCATTATTGCATTCTTATCCAAAGAATAAAATAAATAATGCTGAGTTCATACTGATATAAATAAGTAACTGAATAAATAAATAGATGGGGGAGAAGGAATAACACTTCCTTCTAGAGAAATTGCAATTAATAAATGTAGAAAGAATGTGGAAAATACAACCAGTAACAAAAATTTCTCCAGTCAAGATCTACACATGGATACCAAAATTAGTGAGCAAAATTTAAAAAAAAAGAAGTTATTTTTATAGCCTCAAAGGACCCCCTTCAACATAAATGTCTATTAATCACAAAAAGAAAAATAGGAACTTTCCAGTGGATAATTTTGACAGGCACACACCACCCTAGCCTAGTAATCGAGGTTAACTCCATCCACCTTAGCCTAAAAATTGAGGTTAACACCACCAATAGTAAAACAGATAGTCATCACGTACTCTCTGACCTGATGCCCTGAGAAGGGCCCATCACCTCTGTTATTCAACCCCAAAATGTACAAGCTCAATCTCATCGTGAGAAAACATAAGACACACCAAAACTGAAGGACGTTCTATGAAATAACCGACCAATGCTCTTTAAAAGTAAGAAGGTCATGAAAGTAAAGGGAACACCAAGGAGCTGTCACAGATCCAATCCAGGATATCACCCTGTTTTTAATTGTCATGTCTCCTTGGAAAAAACCAATAAATAAATGGGGGAGAAGGAATAACACTTCCTTCTAGAGAAACAGCAATTAATAAGTGTAGAAAGAATGCAGAAAATGGCCAGGCAGGATGGCTCACGCCTGTAATCCCAGGAGTTTGGGAGGCCGAGAAGGGCGGATCACCTGAGGTCAGGAGTTCAAGACCAGCCTGGCCCACATGGCAAAACCCCATATCTACTAAAAATACAGAATTACCTGGGCGTGGTGGTGCACACCTGTAATCCCAGCTACTTGGGAGGCTGAGGCAGGAGAATCGCTTGAACCTGGGAGGCAGAGCTTGCAGTGAGCTGAGATCGCACCGTTGCACTCCAGCCTGGGCAAAAGGGGCAAAACTCTGTCTCAAAGAACAAAAAAGTGCAGAAAATACAACCAGTAATAAAAATGTGGACCAAACCAAGTAGATGTGACAATTAAATACAGGGTGATATCCTGGATTGGCTCTGGATCAGAAAAAGGACCGTGGCAGAAACACTGGAGAAAACTGAATAAAGTCTGCAGTTTAGTTAGTAGCATTGTATCAATGTTAATTTCTTAGTCGTCATCTTGGTTGTATGGTTTTGTTAGATGCTAACATTAGGATAAGCTGGATTAGGGGGATACGGAACTCTGTACTATTTTTGCAACTTTACTGTAAGTCTAAAAGTATCTCAAAATTAAAAGTTTTTTTTTTTTTTAAAGGAAATGGGTTAATTTTCACTGTGAATGTTCTAATACTTGCAAGCTATTTATCTCTGGGTGAGGTGTCTTCTCTCCACAGAAGCTACTTTGATTCTCTCCTGCCAGCCTGATACTGATTAATGTTTTGGGCAAATGTGTTCTTCCCTTTTTGAGATTCTGTTGTTCACCAGCTCAGTGCCCATACTATTCATGTCCATTACCACATAGGCAAACACACTAAATGTGCTGTCAGTTTCTGCCTCCTATTTATAGTCCTCATGTTTCAAACAATGGAACTGTTGATCCAATAGATGCTGCTATGTCTCCTGAAATCAGACAGCTTGTGCAGGAGTCATTTAATTAAAACTTTCAGACAGAAGTACAATTGTCTGTTGGGAAGGGGTGCACAAAGGAGGTTCAAGGCCTAATCTTAGAGGGATCAACACAAAACCCAGTTGCTTTTGTGGTTGCTGAGTGATAAGTGCTTATGGCCTTGGCCCTAACAAACTCAGTCTCCTTCCCCAGTCAGGCATCAGTGGGAACAGGCTGCTTGGCTGGTGGGGGGTGTCTGTAGGGAGGTGGGGAGGAAGGGGCAGCGAAACTATTCCCTGAGCCTAGACCACAGCTTGGCATCTTCTCCTAGGCTTGTACAGCCCAAGGCATTTTGTGTTATGAGGAACTCCCAGGGATTTTCCCAAAGTCTTAGAAACTGCCTAAGTTGTGGGATGTAGAGGGGGGTGTGTATGCCTGGGGGTGGAGTGAGGGTCATTGCTCACACTGTAGGAGGTTGACTAGAAAGGAAAAAACAGGATCAAGCCGAATTGATCTCCTGGATCCTTTCGCTCTATTCCAAAAATAGAAATAGCAAATGTCACTGAGGTTGGGCAACATGCTCCACCCAGATTACCCAGGATTTGTGATCTGAGTCAATGAGCAGTGCCAGCTTGGCGGGGAGGTATTGAGGAAGGGCTTAGTTTCTTCCCAAGACATGCTGCTGGGTCAGAACCTGGTCAGCACCACCTCCTTTGCTGATTCAGTTTGTCCTCATCTCTGATTGGGTTTGCCAAAGTCTCCCAACCATGGAGGGGTAGATTCTTGCACAGAGCAGAGTGACTTGAACATTAGAAGTTGGGTTATAAATTAGAAGACGGAAAGACTGAAAACTATCAGTAATAAGCTTTACAAATCTGGGATGAAGGAGCCAGTGTTTGATTTCCTCATTAGCATCCAGCTCAGAATTTGCAACAATCAATGAGTTGAATATTTGGTGAGGGAACCCCTTTCTCAATTGAGCTCATGCAGAGACACACGATCTGACTCTTTCCTTTTCTGTCCTGAAAACAGGTGCCCAGGAGGCATGTGTACATCTGCATATTCTTCTAATTGTATGTACTTGCATATATATTCATACCTGAAGTTCTGCTTGTTTTCATTTGGGACACATGGGAAGTGCTCCCTCCCATTGCAAACCACAGAGGCATCTGCTAAAATCTGCTGTGTCCCCTGTGCGGGTGTTAGCGATGCATTCAGCCTAGCAGCACAGCCAGAAAAAGCAGCATGAACTGGAGTGAAAGGTGAACAGTTGACACTTTGAGAGATGCTGCTTGAGCTAGTGAAAAATCTTACAAGAGTTACCAAAATAGTCAGTAGACCTCTCCAGATGAAGTAAGCTCAAGAGAGTAAATTTGACTATTATAATACAGTGTATTATTCTTGCTGTTAAAGGATGATTAGAAACACGCAAATAAAGTTATGCATTTCACTTTGTTTTTCATTTCACCCTGGACCATGTCCTCCCAGCACACGGGACAAAAGATAAAGGGAGATAGCATCCTGACTGATGATGACATAAAGCAGGGAAGCCTTTTTCAGGTTCAGGCCTAAGACATCCTAAGATATGACTGAGTCTTCGTTCTCTGCAAAACAAAAGGCGGTGGGTGGGCGGGGGGCGCGTTAAATCAAACTTATTTTCTGAACTCAAGGCATGTAGTCCTCAAAGCAGTATTCCCGCATGAACATCTACCTCCTGAAAATAGGGAACAGCCCACCATGGGCGCTCAGAGTGAAAGCAATGTGTTTCTACTGTCACTTCCACTTTCTAATTGTGAGTCAGGAACCCATGGTCTGAACAAATTAACAACAGTAGTGTGTGTTGTGGGGAGGAAGGTGACATCAGAGGACAAGCACAAAAGGAAAATCAAAATCAATTTCTTTTTATAGACATGGAGTCTCGCCCTGTCACCCAGGCTGGAGTGCAGAGGTGCGACCTCAGCTTACTGCCAACCTCCGCTGCCCGGGTTCAAGTGATTCTCTTGCCTCAGCCTCCCGAGTAGCTGGGACTACAGACATCCACCACCATGTCCGACTAATTTTTTTTGTATTTTTAGTAGAGACAGGGTTTCATCATGTTGGCCAGCTGTTCTCGATCTCCTGACCTCAGGCAATCCACCTGCCTCGGCCTCCCAAAGTGCTGGGATTACAGGCGTGAGACACCGCGCCTGACCTCAAAATCTACTTTTTAATATTAAAAACTTGAAACAGTAACATTTAAGTCTAATATGTGGTTACGTGACATAGATAGTTACATCTGATACACATATGCACAGTGTCTCTCTCTCATACACACATACAATTACACAAATACACTGTCACATGCACACACTCTGCTTGCAGCTGTGCACATTCTGCGGTTGCTGGGTAAGAAACATTACATTTATTCTTACTGCTCATAAGACTGCACATCGTGCTACAGGCTGATGCATGGAAAAGAAGCTGCCCCAGCCAGGGACATCCACGGAGAGGAGACAGCCCCGTGTCTGTGGAGCAGCTTTGAGAACAGGACAAGGCCAAGTGTGCATGAACAGATTCAGCTCCCCAAAACCCGGCCGCTTAAGGACATGCAAGGTGCTGTTCTGGTTCCTGCTAATGCAGAACCTCGCCCCCACTAAGGACAGTGAGTGACAGTCTGGCATGCAGTAGAGGACGGGCATGTAAACCCGTGTGTGCTTTGGAAGTACAGTGTGTTAGGGACAAAGGGTCATATCATAATAGCCTTAAGTAGGAAAGGACTCGTTCCAACTGGAGTCAGGGAAGGAAACCTCAGAGAGGGTGGCTCGGTGGGGGAGGCAGGATTCGAGTTCAGTTGTGACAAGTGAATCAAATTTCTATAGGTGAGGAGGAGGGGAAGAGCATTTCCAAGAGAGGAAACAGCGCAATCAGATGTCACTGGTACATTTGATGTAAGGGTTTACTGGGAAAATGGTTTCTTCAACTCTCCAAAGGCCTGGCCCTTATCATTCCATATTGAATATGTTGCTGGGACTCTCTGAGGATTCTTTTAAAATCCCCAACGTTTTGTTAATAATGATAGTGGCTCAGCAAGTTGGTTCTCTGCTGCATTCAGAAGCTCTAAGACGTGAGCTGCAGGCTGCAATCCCCTCTGAGAGTGGCTGCGACTCAGTTGTGTACAGTCACGCTGCCGAGGACAGAAATATGAAAGTCAGTCATTGTCACCCACATGTTTAAAACTGTGGCAAATTGTACTGATCACAGGAGCAATTTCCTCCAACTATTGGAATTAAATATTCTCAGAGTAATTCCTTTTAAATCCAGATGCAAATCCTTTAGTGTCTATAGATATTAAATAAGAACCTGCAGGCTCTGACTTAAGTTTCCTACTGTTATCACTCTCATATTCTCAGTAGATAAGAGCCAAATGTCACTGGGTGCCGAGTAAATATGGGAAGCTCAGATACATTGCTTTTATCAATGTTTGGCTGGCTTATTCGGTTTAAAGCCTGAACCAAAATAATAACACATTTAGAGGACCTGACTGTCCTTAAAATGAAATTATTATACTGAAGAAGGAAAATATCAGGCCATGCTTCTACCCAGTGGGACAAGAGGAAGAAGTCTAGAATGCAGCTTTTGGGTAGCCAACAACTTGAAATTTCTTAAAACAGGACAAAGAAAGCCCAGCAACATGAATGAGTTATTCCCTTTATTTGAGATAAGAAAAGCCACTAACCCTGAGCTGAGGATATTTTTACCTGTTTTCTTCTTCCATTAAAGTTGGGGTTCTCTTACAAGTCCAAGTGAATTTTAGACACATGGAACCGATCAACTTTGAATCCCTGGGAATATTTTCCTTAAGAGTGGTGGTATTACCTGTCTTTATATTGAACTCTTAGGGACTTCTGCCTTGCCATATCTCTCCCTTGTCTCTGAAGACCTAGACCTTTCTTTTTCCTTCCTTCCTATTTTACTTCCTGTGACTGTGTCTTGATGATCGTATTAGCTTCTTGTTCTCAACTTTTTTATCCTCACTACGTGGAGATAAATGTATGTCACTGAAGTTCTTAAATAAGTGGAGTCATAAGAAAAACATGGACTACTAATCTGAAACTACGATAGAGTTTGAACCTGTGGTTTGAAAAACAGAAAATTTTGAAAATGGTAAAGACCAAAATTATGGTACTGTGGTTCATAGTGAAGTCAGTGAGAGACAGTTTAGAGGATGCCCACTGTCCGATGGGGTATCTGCCTGGTCCCCTAGATCCTCTCAACCATGACATCTGCTACCACTCCCTAATCCAGGCCTTCCAGGTAGCTGCTCATAAGCCCTTTCTAGAGAGTGATTGGGACTACCAAGCGTAAGCTGCAAAGAGCAATCGGACATTTATATGAATGCTATGTAGAACAAATACCAGAGCCCTGCTTTTAATTCTTCAGATTATATTATTGAGGTTGTTATGATTTGATTAATTACGTATCCTCTGAAGAACCTGTATTGTACGCTAGTCATCTGTCCAAACAGAATGACAACAGGTGTGCACACAGGTATGCAAACAACTATCTAGATTGTCAGAAGCCACAGCCAAATGAAGGGAGGATGATTTACCCCATTCCCTTTAGTCTCAGTGGGGCAGCTTTCCAGCTACCTGTTTTATGAATAAAGCAGTATTTGGTCCTGCACACCCTGGAGACATGACCCACAGAGAAGGCCTGTTTTCTTCTTCCGAAGGCTGTCAGGGGTACCAGGCAGGGCCCTGCCTCAGTTTTTTGTTGTTTGTTTTTTAATAAAAGTTGAGGCCAGGTGCAGTGGCTCACGCCTGTAATCCCAGCACTTTGGGAGGCCAAGGCGGGTGGATCACGAGGTCAGGAGTTCGAGACCAGGCTGGCCAAAATGGTGAAACCCCATCTCTACTAAAAATACAAGAATTAGCCCGGCTTGGTGGCATGCACCTGTAGTCCCAGCTACTCAGGAAGCTGAGTCAGGAGAATTGCTTGAACCCGGGAGGCGGAGATTGCAGTGAGCCGAGATCATACCACTGCATTCCAGCCTGGGCGACAGAGCAAGACTCTGTCTCAAAAAAAAAAAAAAAGTTGAAGGAGCACAGAAAATGAGAATGTGTAGGAATGTAT
Source organism: Homo sapiens (assembly GCF_000001405.40). Classification (NCBI taxonomy): domain Eukaryota; kingdom Metazoa; phylum Chordata; class Mammalia; order Primates; family Hominidae; genus Homo; species Homo sapiens. The sequence continues at coordinate 38,078,632 of NC_000021.9, read as the reverse complement.
GACATGTTATGAGAGTGACTACAGATGGACCATGCCAGGTCAAACAGAGGGGCCAAGAGGGCAGTAGAAGTCTCCAAGCAAAACACCATTGCTGGGAGTCAGACGTGACCTCAGGCCCGGGCTGACCAGATTCACCTTGCGTAATCCACTCTGTGTTTCATCCTTGTCATGAAGAAAGGACTTCTGTTAAGTACTTACTGGTTGATTTGAAAGCTTTTGACTTAAAGTCAGCTCCTATTTAAAATATCACACCCAAGGGCCCATTATAATCTTTGAAAACTTTGTAAATCTTCATTCCTGTCTTTGTACTGGCTTAGTACCAAGACAGCAATCAAATAGAAGAAAAAAACACAGTGGGGCAACTGGAGCAAACCATCTAGTCGAATAAATGCACTTTACTTTAAGCTAACTCAATTGCAAATATTGAGTGCAACAATGTGAAACAAGAGATGAAACATATATCTTAACTTAAAAAAAAAACTGTTTGTAAATGTCTTATTTGGCTTCATGCTGCTACATGGAAATACTTCCAACAAAACGCTCCTACTGCAGATAAAAGGAGCAAATGTGCTCACTCGCTAACCTCCTTCCTTTGGCCATTAAGGCAAAAACAAAGGTAAAGCACCATGTTTATAACCTTTAACTATGTGACAGGATATTATTTCATAGAAATTACCTGAAAATATTGTGCACACGTGCAAAATAAAATGGAAAGTTGAGACACAGTCCCAATAATCCAAGTGAGCAGGATAATTTTTCCCAGACATCTGCAAATCCTTAAGTCATTATGTAAATGTGGATGTCTAAACTTGCGGGCCTTTGTAAATCTGGAATCATTGTGCCTGCAGCTGCAAGCAGCTGAGAGTGCAAGAGGCAAAAATCACCATGGTTCAGACTGCGGGCTTTGGAGACAGACTAGATGAAACCAAATTTCGGTCTGCCACTCCGTAGCTATGAGCAAATCCTGACCACATGGGCTTCTGTTTCCTTATCTTTACCATAAGTTTCTCTGCATTAGAGCACTAATGCAGAGTAGCACCTGGCACTGAGTAAACTCAGAATGGATATTGGCTATTTCCACTAAGAAATCATGGGGTTCGGGTGGGTGGGATATTGATTGCCTCAATTCACAAATGGCCTTGCTGAGGACCAGAAAGAATGCAGGGCCCTATAAATAGGTGATGTCCTCCTGAGGAACATAGCCATGCTCACCTGCCTTGAGCAGCTCCTGCAGAGAGGCCACCTCTCTAGGCCCATTAGTCACTGCAGAAAGGTGCACTGCAGGCATATATAACATTCTATATGCCAATTAATATATAGTATGACTATCGTAGGGTCATCATTTTAGCTCAAACATTATGCAGAGGTGCAAACGTTTCCTTCAGAAGCCAGCACCACGTGACAGCTCAGAAGCTGCAGCAAGTGCTTTACGATCCAAACCCACCAGGAGAGACTCTTGAAAGGACAACCACCAATAGGAATGTCAATGAAAATCCATTGCGTTACTATCTCACAACCGCCATGCATGGTCGTGTGTGTGAGTGTGTGTGTGTGTGTGTGTGTGTGTGTGTGTGTAGGCTTGTGAGACCACATTCTTCCTTCAGGATAAAGGTTTTGATCACACCACTGTATGATTGTATACAGACATAAATTGTATGCATATATTATTGTATTAATGCTTTTATATACTGCAACATACAGTTTTAAAAGAATGAGATAAAAGTTACTAGCATAAAAGTTTAAATATTTTCTTTCTCCTTGTGGACTCCTGAAGACCACGCATGATATGAATCATTGCAGATGGTCCAGTTAGCCTGTCTCAGGAATAATTCTAGAATCTGAGCCATCTCTGTTAACACTATCAGCTGAATAATGAGTATCTCTGCTTACAAGTTCACTTGGAAGTCAAATTGGAGGACATTGATTTGACTCAGAAAGACCTACTACCATTCCTGGGATAACACCTTCAAGAGCTGAGTCCCCTGATGTGGGGCAGCTGGTCAACCTTGCAGGTGTGGAACAACAAAAGAACTAGAAGGAGTGCAAGGCCTGGGGGAGGAGAGAGGCAAGCATGGGGGTTATTGTTGTCAGCAAAATGTTAATGTCCTTTCCCAAAGGCATCCTTTTGCTCAGCATTCTAGACTTTCTCCTTGTAAACATCATAAACATATTTAAAGCCATCATAAAAATGCCATTTGGATCAAAGTGATGCAGTGTCATCTCCCTCTCCACATCCGAATTTTTGGATTATTACTCCCAAGTCGTTATTACGGCCGTACTAATGTGGGAAGGCCGAGCTGGCGTGCTGCCAGGAATTTTTATTCTTTTCCATCCGCCTCCCACTGACAAATCTACAGATCCATCTCCCCAGCTTCCCTTCCTACTACAGTGAACGCCATGGGCTGATTCCTCCGCGTGTGCCTTGGGGTCCATCTCCTATATTCTCCCCAAATATTCTCTCCCCAAATATTATTTCTGTCTCTCCTCTGTCCTTTCATTCCCCCATTCCCCCTTAGCTGTCTCTCTCGCTCTCCCTTCTCTGTCTCTGTCATTCCTCCTCTCTCTCTCTCCTTTCTCTCTCTCATTCCTCCTCTCTCTCTCCCTTCTCTCTATCTCTCTGTCTCATTCCTCTTCTCTCTCTTCCTTCTCTCTCTCTTTCTATCTCTCTCTGTCTTTCTCATTTCTCCTCTCTCTCTCTCCCCTTCTCTCTATCTCTCTGTTCCTCTCTCTCTCTCTCTCTCTCTCTCCAGGTCCACTTATCCTCCCCGACCAGATCGTTCACATCAGTATACAAACTTGACTCATCTTTTTTAAAAATTTAGGTAAAATATACATATATAATTTACCATCTTTACATTTTCTTTTCTTTTTTTTTTTTTTTGAGACAGAGTCTCATCACTCTGTCGCCCAGGCAGGAGTGCAGTGGTGCGATCTTGGCTCACTGCAACCTCCGCCTCCCAGGTTCAAGTGATTCCCCTGCCTCAGCCTCCTGAGTAGCTGGGACTACAGGCACGTGACCACCATGTCCAGCTAATTTTTTGTATTTTTAGTAGAGAATGGGGTCTCAACATATTGGCCAGGCTGGTCTCGAACTCCTGACCTTGGCCTCCCAATATGCTGGGATTACAGGCATGAGCCACCAAGCCCAGCCCATCTTTACCATTTTTAAGTGTACAGTTTAAAGACATTTAATGATTTTTTCCCACTTTACCCCTTTGTACTCCTCCCATGCCCAGCCTCTGGTAACCGCCAATCTATTCTCTATCTTCATGAGATCCACTTTTTAGCTCCCACAGATAAGAACATGTGATATTTGTCTTTCTGTGCCTGGCTTATCTCACATAACATAATGGCCCCCAGTTCCATCCATGTGGCTGCAAATGACAGGGGTTTTATTTTGTTAAGGGCCTAATAATGTTACACTGTGTATATATACCACATTTTCTTTATCCATTCATCTGTTGTGGACACTTAGGTTGATTCCATATTTTGGCTATGGCTATTGTGAATAGTGCTGAGATAAACATGAGAGTGTAGATATCTATTCAATATATTGATTTCCTGTCTTATAGATATATATCCAGTACTGGAATTGCAGGGTCATAAGAAAGTTCTATTTTCTATTTTTTAAGGAACCTCCATACTCTTCTTCATAGTGGCTGTACTAATTTACATTCCCACCAGCAACGTATGAGAATTCCCCTTTCTTCATTCCCACCAGCATCCATCGTTGCCTTTTTTTTTTTTTTGAATAGTGCATATTGTTTTTTATCTTCATTTTTTTTTCTTTCAGTTTTTATTTTTAGTTCCAGGGTACATGTGCAGGGTATGCAGGTTTGTTACGTAGGTAAATGTGTGCCATGGTGGTATGCTGCATCTATCAGCCTATCACCTAGGTATTAAGCCCAGCATGCATTAGCTATTTTTCCTTAATGCTGTTGCCTGTCTTTTTTATACAAACCATTTCAACTTGAGTGAGATGATACTACATTATGGTTTTGATTTGCATTTATCTGATGATTAGCAATGTCAAACATTTAAAAAATATAACTGTAGGCCATTTGTATGTCTTCTTTTTGAAAAATGTTTGTCCCAATTTTTTGCCCATTTTTAAAAATGAAATTATTTGTTTCTTTGCTATTTAGTTGTTTGAGTTCTTTATATATTCAGGTTATTAGTCCCTTGTCAGTTAGATTGCAAAGATTTTCTCTCTATCTGTGGTTTGTCTATTCAGTTTGTTGTTTCCTGTGTGGTGCAGAAGCTTTTTAGCATTATGTAATTCCAATTGTCTATTTTTGCTCTGGTTGCCTGTGCTTTTGAGAACTTACACAAGAAATATTTGCTCAGACCAATGTCACGGGGTGGTTCCCCAGTGTTTTCTTCTAGTAGTTTCATAGTTTCAGATCTAAAATTCAAGTCTATAATCTATTTTGATTTGATTTCTGTGTATGATGAGAGATAGGGGGCTATTTTCATTCTTTTGTATATGGATATCTAGTTTTCCCAGCACCACTTATGGAAGAGACTGTCTTTTCCCCATTGTAAGTTCTTGGTGCCTTTGTTGAAGATGAGTTGGTTGCAATGGGTGGATTTATATCTGGGTTCTCTATTCTGCTCCACTGGTCCATGTGTCTGTTTTTGCACCAGCACCATACTGTTTTGGTTACTACCGCTTTGTAATAAATTTGAAAGGTAATGTGACACCCCAGCTTTGTTCTTTGATCCATCTTTAAAAGCCATCTCTTCACTCTCACCCATTCTAGATCCACTCTCCACTTCTGTTTCTAGTGAACAAGTTGTCTGAATTTAATCGCCTCACCCCTGCCTCCGCATCCTATTCCCATCTGGCTTCCATCCTTGCCACCCTACTAATGCAGACTTACCAAGGACCAGCATCCATTCAACATTGCCAAATTCGTGGCACCTGTCTGTCATTCTTCCACTAGTCCTCTCAGCTGCCCACATCCTCCGTTGCAGCCCATGCCTGGCTCCTGGCCCTTCTGATGCTGTGCTCTCATGGTTTTCTCCTTGCCCTACTGGGGGTCCTTATCTGACACCTTTGCCATGTCCTCCTCCTTTCCCACCCAACCTCACATACTGTGGTGTCTTTGATTTGGACTTAGTCTTGCTTCTCCAGCCACACTCACTTCTTACATCCACTCAGTTCCATGTTGCATGTTGTCACCTGTCTTCTTTCTTTCTTTTTTAGGGACAATCTCACTCTGTCACCCAGGAGTGCAGTGGTGCGATCACAGCTCACTGCAGCCTCAAACTCCTGAACTCAAGCGATCCTCCCACCTCAACCTCTTAAGGAACGGGGACTACAAGTGCACACCACTATACACGGCTTCTTCTTCTTCTTCCTTCTTTTTCTTTCTTCTTCTTCCTCTTCCTCTTCTTCTTCTTCTTCTCATTATTATTATTATTATTTTGGTAGAGATGGGGTCTCACCATGTTGCCCAGGCTGGTATTTAATTACGAGGACTACAAGTGCACACCACTATACACGGCTTCTTCTTCTTCCTTCTTCTTCTTCCTTCTTCTTCCTCTTCCTCTTCTTCTTCTTCTTCTTCTCATTATTATTATTATTATTTTGGTAGAGATGGGGTCTCACCATGTTGCCCAGGCTGGTATTGAATTCCTGGGCTCAAGTGATCCTCCTGCCTTGGATCTGTATTCTTCTAGTCCAGAAAGTCATCACTAGCTCAGTCTCCTCTTCTGAACCCTAGACTTACATAGTCAATTGCCTGCTAGTATCTCCACTTAAATGTCTTATAGACATTTCAAATTTAATATGACCAAAACGTCAGTCTGGTTTCCACCCTCCATAGTCCATTTCTCCCTGAGTTTTCTCACCTTGGTATGTGGACTCATTGCCCTCTGGCTGATCTAGGAGTCCACCCTGTGGTCCTCCCCCTCCTCCATATCCACTCAGCCACCAAGCCCAGTGTATTAGTTTCCTGTTGCTGCTGTAACAAATTGGCATAAACTTGCAGCTTAAACAACAGAAATGTGTTATAAGTCTGGCATGAGTCTCACTGGGTTAAAGCCAAGGCATTGGCAGTGCCGTGCTCCCTTCTGAAGGCTCTAAAGCAAAGTCCGTTTCCTTGCTCATTCAGGTTAGTGGGAGAATCATCTTCTGGAAGCTGTAGGACTGAGATCTCACTTCCTCAATGGCTGCCAGCTGAGATAATTTCCCAGTGTCCAGGGGTCACCCACATTCTGTGGCTCACAGCGTCTTTCCTTCATCTTCAAAGCCATGAAGGGCGGGGCAAGTTACTCTCACGCTTTGAATCTCTTCTTCTGTCTCATCTCTCTGATTCAGCTGGGAAAGATGATTCTCTACCTTTACGGGATTGTGTGTTTAGATTGGACCCACTAAAATAATCTAGGATAATCTCAAACCCATCACAGGACTTCACTTTTTTTCTGCCAATGATTATAATTTGTATTTATTTTGTCTTTCAAATTTACATTTGACTTGTTTATTATCTCTACCCCCAAGTTGAACAAAACTTGTTCAAATGAAAAATGGCAGCCAACTGTTTTGTCTAGAGCATGGACCTGTCTCACCTGTGAGAGCACAGTGCTAACAGAGTTGCAGCCATTGTTTGTTGACTGGCTAAGTGAACCACACACCAAATCCTGAGTCACAGCCGCACACTCTGTAGGAGAGGAAAATTCTCGCTGGATGGTTTGTACATGCTATTGCCTTATTAGATTAAGCAAAAGAAAAGGGGAAAATAAGTCTGCTAAGGGCCAGGAATGTCCTCCAGATTCTAGAAAGCAGAAAAACAAACCAAGTGGAGAACAAAAGGGAGAAAGGGGGAAAATATTACTCTACCTTTAAAACTAGGACCACCTGAATTTTTGCTCTGTGGAAGGCAGAGATGAGGTAGAGAACAAATTATATGACTCTGAGCTGGTATTGTCATCAACTACTGAAGACCAAAGGGCGTTATGGTCAGAGAGGTGGAGGGTCCTGCTAACCACATGCCCACAACAAACCGCCATCACCATTAGCCAATCTTGCTTCCTCATGTTTAGTTTATGAAGGTGTGTGTATGTGACTAGGAGCAATCTTTTATTATTGACTTTTACAGTCTTGTGTTGACCTTCTAGAGACAATTCCTTCATTGCTTCAGGGGAGATAAACTTTGCTTAAATAATTAAGGTCTGAGTTACTTGGTTATTTGGTTTTCATCACCATACGCACCTTTTCTTAGCCAGGTTTCTGGCTGAGACAGTTTCCATCTAAAATCTGCTTGTTCCGCACCTCTATCCTGATGAGCATTTCAAAATAAGCAGCTTGAGCTCCCTGGCTACATATCTAGAACAATGACTCTTGCCTGGGGCAGTTTTGACCCCCAGGGGACATTTGGCACTGCTGGAAGAAATTTTTGGATGTCACAACTTTGGGGCAGTAGTTTGGTGGTCCTGGCCCCCAAAGACTAGGGATGCAGCTAAACCTCCTACAATGCACAGGGCATACCCTACCACAAAGAAATATTGGGTCTCGAATGTCAACTGTGCCATGGTTGAGAAATCCTGTGCTCAGAAGGAAAAAAGAGCATATCTCAATCATACACTTAATTATATTTTGGCTGCATAACAGAGAGGTGAGGGAGCAGGAGGTGCTGCCATGGCAAAGGCACATTTGGCCACTCAGATGAGACACAGAGTTTTATTCCTTTTTCCAACCACTGACCTCAAGTTTGGCATCTTCAGCCCAAATAACTCATTATAGCTTACTCAGCCCTCCTTATTCCAAAGCAACAAATATAGCAATATAGCAACTGACTCTCACTTGACCCTCACTGTGGCATGTGATGCTTCTGACTGTTTCTTCCTTTGTGAACTCCCTCTTCCCTTGGTCTATAAGACCACACTTTCTCCTGTTGTCATTTTCCATCATTTCCTCCATCTTCTTTGTGAGCTGGTCTGCCCATCCAAAGACAGTGGTGTCTTCTCTTCATTCTACATTATCTCCCAAGACATGTTCATTCGCTTTACATTTCCAACTCGACCTACATGATAATAACTCCCAAATGTACTATATACCCTCTTGGATGGCAAACAGCCATGTGTACACAATATGCCAGGAACAAAACTAGCACATAATTATTTATTGAGTTAAATAATTGAATAAACATCTACTTTGCTCCAAACACCTTGGCAAGTTATGGCTCAGTCAACCTTTGGTCTTAAAAGAGCAACAACTCTTGTTTCCAGATCCAATTTGCCACAATCCTTTTTTGTGTCATTTAATGTTCACTAAGGATTTGGCAATTAAAAAATAAGTAATATATCAATATCCCTTCTGCATGGAAATCAAAGGCCTTAATAAAACATTTGTGTAAATCAATTTTCTTCTTAAATCACCTTTTTTTTCCAATTACATAGTGTCAGTGAAAGCCAAAACAAGTATTTTTTCAAATTTTTGACCATAAAGTAATTGTATATTCCTACTCATTTCTGCAAATCATCATTAGTTTTACAACATATAGCAAAGCTGAAAGCATCTAACGCCTGTTAGTGCTAACCTTATGCATAAGCATGCTCACATACCAAGGGCATGGGTCTGCCTGGATGGCCAGACATAAACAATTAAATTAGTGAGTGGACTAAGTGTTTGGGGTCATGATGCAATTATGGAAGACCAGGAAACATTGATATATTCAATTGGATTGAGTATAGGCATTTATAAAGCCAAGGATAATTTTAAAGAAAACAAAACCAGATGTATGCATAAATCTTTAAAAATGCAAGTTGTTGAACTAAGCATGATCATTCCCCCTTCCCTGAAAGATTTTTAGCATTTTTTCCCTCCTATTAGTAGTTTCCCTAACAGAGAAGCAATGACCAAGTACCAAAAGTTAAGGAAATATAAACGGGGGGCGGGGGAAGGGAGCAAAAACTGAACACTGACACGATTTTACATATTATGCTAATTAAGATTTCAGCTTGGTGGAAACCCAAACATATGGATTCCTTTCGGCAGCAGAGCACCAGGGCTTGAGCAAGCACCATCAGAGGGTCTTGGTGAGTGGGCTGACACTGCCAAGCACTCATTCTAGGTCAGGCTGCTTCTGGGTTTTTTTTGTTGTTGTTGCTGTTGTTTACAGGTACTCATTTACGACAGCCACATCGGCTCAATACTATTGCTATTCCCATTTTACAAATCCCTTATATGTGCAACATCGAATGGTTCCCTCTAGTAAAATCACACCCCACATAATAACAAGTATGTGCAGGTTGAAGGGTTGAAGGATGAGGAAGCCAGGATGGCCCAGGGGCCATGTGTCTCATTTACGGAAGACACAGCAGTGAATGGAACAGACAAGACCCTCTGCCCTTGTGGAGCTCACGTCCTAAGGAGAAGGAAGTAATCAACAAGATTCATGAGTAGATATATAGTATATTTGAAAATGATTATGTTTAGGAGGAAAATAAAGCACAGAAGTGGTATGGAGATTTCAGAGGCAGAGGAAGGTGGCAATCTTAAACAAGATAGACGACAGCAGCATTCTTGTTGAAAACTTACCTGTCAATATTTTACAAGGGCAAAAAAAGACCCAGGGAACCATCCCCCAAAAGACCACGTCCATGAACCTCCAGGTTTCATGGGAAACACTAATCTGGTGGAAAGCCTGAAGACAATCAGACCTCATCTTTCCCCTCCAAACACGCACTTGCACACACGGCAGGAATAATAATTGTCTTTCTGCCAGTCATTGCCTGGCTTGCCCAGGCTTACTGTCTAGACTCCTCTGTATACTTATGCCGCTTTCGTAGCTCCAACTAAAGCCCTTGGTTCCACCAATAGAACACAGCTCAAGAGTCCATCTTTGCTCTGGTATTGACATTCTGTATTTCTGCTTGAGCAGTGACACAGCAACATCAGGGTTACAACAAGATGGGGGTTTCAGGCTGTTGAACATTGACAGAGGGTGGGGACAATCCTATCCCTTCTGCCTCTTCCCACAGACCTCGACTACATTGTTTAATTAAAAGGTTTCCTGGGCTGGGTGTGGTGGCTCATGCCTGTAAACCCAACACTTTGAGAGGCTGAGGTGGGTGGATCATGAGGTCAGGAGTTCAAGACCAGCCTGGCCAACATGATGGAACCCTGTCTCTACTGAAAATACAAAAATTAGCCAGGCGTGGTGGTGTGCACCTGTAATCCCAGCTACTTGGGAGGCTGAGGCAGGAGAATCACTTGAACCCAGGAGGCAGAGGTTGCAGTGAGCTGAGATCATGCCATTGTACTCCAGCCTGGGCAACAGAGTAAGACTGTCTCAAATAAATAAATACATTTTAAAAAGGTTTTTGGGCCCTGCATTTTTCTTTCCTCAGTTGGTTTTTTCACTCCCTGCTCTTAGGTGATGCCCACAAGTTCTTACTATCTGTTACCCTCAGGTAAAAGACATGGCTTTTGCAGATATAATCAAAATGAGGTCAAACTAAATTAGGGTGAGCCCTAAATCCGATGAATTATGAGAGGGAGATCTGGAGACACACAGGGAAGAAGCCCATGTGATAATGCAGGCAGACGTTGAAGGATGCAGCTCCCCAAAGGATATTGTTCGCAAACAAATTAAAAGCCAAAATGATGGCATCTGAAAGATAAGCCATCCCAACTGCAGATCTCTAGAGCTATTAATGTAGCATGGCTTTGTCATCTGAAGTCCAGTTTTATGGAAGCCTCAGATTCCCCTAAGGACTGCCAGCATTTAAGCACTTAGAGGAAAATATCTTCTGCAATTACCAGGTGCTCCCAGGCAATGGGCAGCAAATGAATACCACCAAGAAGATCCAAAGAGTCGGATCCCATGCTCAGTGAATGGGGTGAGCATCTTTATCATAAAGGAAAGTGCATCATGATTAGCTTCTGGTGGTAAAATCAGGCAGACAAGGAGAATTGATGGGAAAATAAAGAAGAAAGAGGAGGAAAAGACACAGGAGGCTGAAATACATGATGAAGACAAGCAAATGACAACCCTGCCACCAGCAATCTGACTCAGCAACAACATTGCCACTGCCAGAGACAGACGGTGCGTGATTGACAGGGACAAAAGGACTTCTGTGGTGTGGGGAAGTAAAGTGCCTCATACATCCTGGCTACTGACTGCTGTGGGTGGAATGGTGTCACCCAGAAAGATATGTCCAAGTTCTAATCTCCATGGAGTACCTATAAATGTGAACTTATTTGGAAATATGGCCTTTGCAGATACAGTATGATGATGTCAGACTAAATGAGAATGAGTCCTAAATCCAATGACTTACAAGAGAGAGATTTGGAAATGCACAGGGAAGAAGTCCAAATAGTAACGCAGGCAGAGGCTGGAGTGATGCAACAACAAGCTGATGAATGCCCAGGATGGCTGGCAACACCAGCAGCTGAAGAGGCAAGAAAGGACTCTCCCTAGAGCATTCAGAGGGAGTATGGCCCTGATGACCCCTTGAATTTTTTACTTCTGGCCTCCAGAAGTGTGAGAGAGTACATTTCTATTGGTTTTATTTGTTTGCTTGTTTTGTTTTGTTTTGTTTTTGAGATGGAGTCTCACTCTGTCACCAGGCTGGAGTGCAGTGGCACTATCTCGGTGCACTGCAACCTCTGACTCCCTGGTTCAAGCGATTCTCCTGCCTCAGCCTCCCAAGTAGCTGGGATTATAGGCATGCACCACCACGCCCAGCTAATTTTTGTATTTTTAGTAGAGACGGGGTTTCACCATGTTGGCCAGGATGGTCTCGATCTCTTGACCTTGTGATCCACCCACCCCGGCCTCCCAAAGTGCTGGGATTACAGGCGTGAGCCACTGCGCCCAGCCTTTCTATTGTTTTTAGGCTGCTCAAGTTGTGTCCATGTTTACAGCAACCCTGGGAAACTAATGCAGATACCAGCCTGACACCTGAAAAAAGTTGTCTCAACCAGCGCAAGACAGTATCTGAGTTCTCCTTCCAGTTGCAGAGTTAACATTGCATGTATTTATTTTAACTGGCATCCTACCTTCACTTCCTGCCTTTACTAGATTCAACCTATGGATTATCATGCTTTACGAAGCGTGTGTTAGAGAAGAAACTATATGAAAAGGTTTATCCATCAGGGAGGCATTTTATAGGAACTTTAATATTAAGATGCAATTGCTAACAGAGGTTAATACTCTGAATTATCACAGATAAAGAGAGGTTGAAAGAGATTGTAGCTCAGTTTATGTTGCCAAAGTGTTATTTTCTTTAGAATAAGGTTTCTCAAGTGCAACTCTCTTGACACTTTGAACTGGATAATGCTTTGTTGTGGGGGCCTGTCTTGTGCATTGTAGGATGTTGAGCAGCATCCTGGACCTCCACTCACTCCCTAGGTGGGTTAGGGTTAGGGTTAGCACCTCACCCCCTCATCATGACAATCAAAATGTCTCCAGACATTGCTCAATATCCCCAAGGAAGAGGATAAAATCACCCCCAGTGAGAACCCCTGATCTAGAGTCAGTCTGTACCCTCTCCTAGCACAAATTACTGTAGAAGGGAGAAAAAAATCCTCGTGAACCTTTCATAAAGAACTAGAGATGGGAAAGTAGATCCAAGCCATAGATGGGTCCAAGATACCAAAGGTAACTGGGCTAATCAGAAGATGAGTCTCTTTTAGGAAGGTAAGAAAAACACTCCGTGGAAGATGGACTCAGGGCTTGATTCTCTAAGTCTGCAGAGAGGCTGGGGAATGACCTCAACCAAGTGGCCTTTGTGTGCCTCACTTCATCTTGATGAGAAGAAAAATGATCTGAAATTAATATCAACAGATTCCCATGAAAGCAAGCTCTATACAGATGTGCAACATGCTCTGTGCCCTCACACCTTCTACATGCAAGTTTGCATCTGTTAATACAACCGGAGCCACAAGGAAACATGACAAAATAACTGGAGTGCCCGGGGACCATGATAAACTATTAAGAAACTGGTTTGATTGATTGATGTCAGCTATTTTAAAAGAAAGCCCACACTTCCAGCAAAAACAAAATACGATACAAGTGAAACTTAGATTTTAATGTTCTGGGGAAGAATAAGTTTAGCCTTCAAGTGTTTGGTCAATTTGGTCATCCAGAAGATATCACTGATTTTCAGGAGACACTGAACAGTTGAGATTTCACCATAGCTAAATTCTGTATCTGGGCGCCTAGGTATTTATTTTAAGCAACCCTTCCTCAGAAATCATATGCCAAGATTAGTAAATGTCATAGCCACTGAAGTTGTAGAAGGAATTCTAAAATACTACTGCAGTAGGGGTGGTAGTCTAAATAATTCAGACCAAAGTCTTACATAGTCAAAAGTGACCCAAATTCTTTATAGAGCAGAGGTAAACATTTGAAAATACCACAGATGACTGTACAGGAGACCTTATAGAACTGCTACCTATGAAAACATCACACTTACCCACTAGCACCCTATGACTCCAGACAGAGAATAGGTAGATTCCAGTCCATGAGGCCCTAATCAAAAATTGTAGAAAAATACAAGACTCCACTGAGAACCTCCTGTCAAAAATCATACTTCGTTTAAACCTGCAAGGATTGGGTTTTAAATCCCTGGACACATCCCACCCATTTCCCACCCCAGAAACTCCTTTTGTCAGCTGGCATTGGCTTGGCTGTGTGATTGCATCTTCAATCAAAGCTCCTTGTCTGACAGGTTGGATATTTTAGACACCATTTTTTTCTAGGTGGTGTAAGATATTAATAGTGATCTCAGCAGAGAATTCCATTTCCTTACCTATCCTGGGCTCAAAAATGCCTTTAGGACAATGTGCTCACAAATAGGCCCCAAATCTTGTTCCAAAACACAGTTTCCCAGATGCCGTAAGCCCACCTGGCTGGGTTTCTGGGTCCCTTGTTCCTGCATCTTTCTTCAGGACTTGCTGTTCCTCCATGAGTCAAGAAGCAGGATAACAGTTTATTAAGGGGACAGAGACACTCCCTTACTGAATAAATGGGGGCTCCTCAGAGTCCGATCCCTGGTCTGGGATTTAGGCAGCCTGGGCTCTGAGCAGGAGAGGAGTCAAGGGAAGATTAGAAGGTAGCGTTCAGGGACAAAGCAGACAGCCCAACCAAAATGGCGGTGTGCGGGTGAGGCCGTGAGATGGAACAAGGCACAACAAAGCCAGGAGCAGGAGGTGGGATGAGGGACTGGGATGCAGGGCTGAGAGGGGGGTGCTCCCTGAGGTGCCCAAGCATCACTGTGGGGGGTAGGATCGGTTATATCAGATTCCCCCAAAATTCATTTGTTAAAGTCCCAATGCCCAGAAAATAACCTTATTTGAAAAGAGGGTCACTGAAGATGTAACTTAGGTAAGATGAGGTTCTACTGGAGTAGGATAGGCCCTTAATCCAGTGTGACTGGTGTCCTTATGAAAATGGGACATTTGGGCCCAGACGAACATACAGGGAAGAGGCCATGTGATGACAAGGCAGAGGTAGGATAGGCCCTTAATCCAGTGTGACTGGTGTCCTTATGAAAATGGGACATTTGGGCCCAGACGAACATACAGGGAAGAGGCCATGTGATGACAAGGCAGAGATAGGATAGGCCCTTAATCCAGTGTGACTGGTGTCCTTATGAAAATGGGACATTTGGGCCCAGACGAACATACAGGGAAGAGGCCATGTGATGACAAGGCAGAGATTGGAGTGATGTTGCTACAAGCCAAGGAACCCCCAGAAGCTGGAGGGGACCCTGGAGCAGATCCCCACTCACAGCCTCAAAAGGAACCAACCCTGCCAACACCTTCATCTAGGACTTCCAGCCTTCCGAGCTGTGGGACAATACATCTCAGATATTTCAACTATCCGATGTGGGGTACTTTGGAAAATTGCCTTAAGAAACTGACACTTATGGATATCTTATTGTGGTATCACTGTGATATGGTTTGGCTCTGTGTCCCCACCCAAATCTCATGTTGAATTGTAATCCCCATGTGTCGGGGAGGGACCTGGTGGGAGGTGACTGGGTCATAGGGATGGTTACCCCCATGCCGTTCTCATGATAGTGAATGAGTTCCCAGGAGATCTGATGGTTTAAAAGTGTGTGACAGTTCCCCCACCTTGCTCTCTCTCCTGACACCATGTAAGACGTGCCTTGCCTCCCCTTCACCTTCTGCCATGATTGTAAGTTTCCTGAGGCCTCCCTGGCCATGCAGAACTATGAGTCAATTAAACCTCTTTTCTTTATAAATTACCCAGTCTCAGGTAGTTCTTTATAGCAGTGTGAAAACAGGCTAATACACACTGTCACAAACCCCTTGGTATGATCAAAGGATAATTTTATTTTATTTATTATGCTTTCTGGAACAACACCAGAAAACATTACTTACCTAAGGCCCAAAAGGAACCTTATTGTAGTCAAGTGTTTTAATATTTGCAGTCCTTTTATGCAACTTAAAATTGTGATCACTTTATACCCAGTAGTTTAAAGAGCATAGAAATATATTTGTGTGCCTATTTAACTTATAGGTTTTTAACAGAAGAAAACTTTGCAGCCAGAAACTGATATTATCCTGTTCTCATCTTTGAAATCCGCTTTAAAATCACATTGTAACTTCTCTTCATTTTACAAGTTTTTCCAGCAGCTTTTAGGCCAAAACCAATAAAATTTTGACCTGAATTGGCCCAACTATCTGTATAGATTGGAGCCTGGTGGTGCTCAGCCTTCTGCTGTTTGATAGGTTAATAGTATGTGTCAGGGTGATATAGAAGGCAAGATAATCGCTGTGCTGAGAGTGTGGAGAAATTTAGATGAACTAAATTAAAGCACATTTTCCCCCACTGAAAGCTTTTACTCTGACAAGGTGCATCACTTATTAAAACTTCCACCTTGTAGAGAACTCAGTTTGTATTTTAAATAACAGCGCTGGACAGTCATGAAGTCTCAGTCCTGTAATCCCAGCACTTTGGGAGGCTGAAGCATTCAGACCGCTTGAGCCTAGGAATTTGAGACCAGCCTAGGCAATATGGTGAAACCCCATCTCTACAAATAATATAAAAATTAATCGAGCGTGGTGGTGAGTGCCTGTAGTCCCAGCTACCCAGGAGGCTCAGGTGGGAGGATTGCTTGAGTCTAAGAGTTTGAGACCAGGCTGGGCAACATAGCTAGACCCTGTAACTACCAAAAAAACAGTTGCTGGGTGCAGTGGTGTGCACTTGTAGTCAGTCCTAAGAGTGCTGAGACAGGAGGATGGCTTGAGCCCAGGAGGTGGAGGCTACAGTGAGCCATGATCATCACGCCCCGCACTCTCCCATCAAAAACATAAAACAAAACAAAATCAAAAACAAATAATAGCACCAAAGCAAGGTGCAAGTGTGTGGACATTTCCAACTCATAGTTTGAAGCCAATAATAACATACTCTTCAGTTGATCTCATTTAGCAGTGATACATTTAGGTAACAATACATCATTTTCTCAGAGATGTGAATTATATGATCCAAAGGCTAAGCATGTAAATAGGTATTTGGTAGGTGAAATCACAGCCTCCAAATGTTATGGGAAAGAGCCCAAGCCTGGGAGTGAGGTACATGCAGACGCACGTTCCTAATGCCTCTTTGTGCTGTTAGATCAGCAACACTTTCCAATTTTCCCTTAGTCAGAGTTTATATTATTGCTGTTGGTATCAAATTAGCTTCATGTGTCCCGTATTTATTTATAAGCTTCCTGACGACAGTTCAGAGAGCAAGACATCCCTGCAGTGACAGCATAGTTATAGCCATTTGTAGATCTGTGGATATCATATTTGTCTAACACATGATAGAGGAATAATGAGGAATTTAAAATACTGGGAATTGATTTTAAAGAAAGTATAGAGCCACAAAGATTTGTATCTGCAAACTGATCTAGTGTGTGCCTCTTAATGCTGGGTGTGAGGGTTTCTGAGAGTCCTCTGCTATCTCAACCCTGCAAAGGGATGCAAAACAACCATTAAATCCAGCCATGCAAAAAATAATATGCTGTCCTCTAAACATCTCACGAAGTCTAAACCTGCGCTCAGCAGTTTCTCCCTCAAAAAAAAAAGTGTCTTTCGAATATCTCTATTTCCATTTATGAATGCTGTTATAACCCAAGTTACCCAGGCTTAGAACCTTAGAGTCATTCAATAAAAACCTTTACAAATCTCTCGGTATTGAGCTACATACACGGTGGGGTGCTCCCAGCCTGATGGGAGGTCAGAAACCAATCCTGCTGAATGTGCCACAAGCCATGGCAGCCGAATGCAGAAAAGCCCATTGGTCCACAGACTGAGATCCTTCGAAGCAGCCTGAGAGGCGGCGAGACCTCCCTCTGACTTTCTCTGCACATCCAGTCACTTCCCAAAGAGGACTGCATTTGACCTCTCTGAATGACTAGGGGGAAGTGGATGCTCCTCCTTCCCCTGAGAAGGAAGCTCCAGGAGCCTGTCTTTTTTTATTTTTATTTATTTATTTTTTTGAGGTGGAGTTTTGCTCTTGTTGCCCAGGCTGGAGTGCAATGACGCGATCTCGGCTCACTGCAACCTCCACCTCCCAGGTTCAAGGGATTCTCCTGCCTCAGCCTCCCGAGTAGTTGGGACTACAGGCGACTGCCAGCAAGCCCAGTAATTTTTGTGTTTTTAGTAGAGACAGGGTTTCACTATGTTGACCAGGCTGGTCTCGAACTCCTGACCTCGTGATCCACCCACCTCAGCCTCCCAAAGAGTATGTCCTTTTATCACTCTCCTCACAGGTTAAAAAGTGAGTTTCAACTGGGCACATTCAGCAAAAGGCAATCAAACAAAGAGTACTTGTGTCTCCGCTGAAACATAAGTATCAGAAAAACAAAATTATTTTCTGTCTTGTCCAGGCTTGGCAGTTACTAGGTGCTCAATAAAGTTTGTTGAGGGAAAGAATGTAAAAAAAAAAAGGAAGAAATTTCCCTTTCTTCCAATGGCCAGGCATGCCAGCAACCAGGGTAAGTGAATCTGTTAGGGAGACACAAGCCTGGAGTAAGTGTGCCAAGGGCTAGACAGCTGGGGAGAGGAGAGTTGGGGGAGAAGGAAGCACCCAGCCCATCTGACTGCCCACCTAAGTTGTGTCCTCCAAGCCAGCACTTATCAGGGATAAACTCGTATTTTCATCCCTGCGTGCCCTGCTCTCTCCATTCAAATACCTCAGAAATGACATCAGAGGGGTGTTGCTTAAATTCCCCCTAAAACTCCCACATTTCATGTATGGAATGTATGTATAGAGGGCATTTGCCATACGCCTTTAGTACATGAGCTGAGAACCCCAAGAAAAACAAGAATTGGTGAGATTGAAAAGGTTGCTGGGGGAGTCTGGTCAAATGGCTGCTTGGAACCGCTGCAAATAGGCACTACTGGCACCACCATAAACCCATGCCCTCTGAACTCACAGCCAGCAGCTAGTGCAGAACAGAGCTTGTTTTAATAAGGAAGAACCTTAGCAAAACTGCTTCCAATCTGGCTTGCAGCACATGCCTGCTGCCGTGGGAGCCACTGCAGCTTGATCCTGGACTCCAGGAGAGCAGCCAGCCTGGTGCTGTCTTGGCATTTGTGATGAAAACATACTTGCCCCTTTCTGGATTACCTCAGTGGGGCCTCTAGGCAAGGCCCCTAAATAATAGTCAGTGGGCTCTGTGTGGTTCAGGAGGCAATGGTGAGTTCATATTCTGTTTTGAATCGGTAGGACCAGGCCAACAGAGCAGCATCTGTCCCACACTCCCTGCTTCACTGTCCCAAATTCCAGTAGGTGTATGCAGGCATTGAGAGGAATTTGAGGGATGAATCCCTCCTTACTATGTGCCTTGTCCAGAGGCTGTGTCACAACCATTCCCCTCCCACCACCAGCCTCCTCAACACCTCCAATGCTGCCACTCCCATTACCTCCATCACCACCATCACCATTAGCACCACCACCACCACCACCATGATCATCACTACCACAGCATCACAGGCAACACCATCACCAATATCACCACCATCACCACCACCAACCATCACCACCACCATCACCATCACTATTACCATTACCATCACAGCCCCCACCCCTACCTCCATCACAACTTTTACCTCCTGCTCCATTTCCACCATCATGGTTACTGTCACCTCCATGAGCATCTTCCTGCCACCACCATACTGCCATCATACCATCTCTACCACCATCCCACTACTGCTATGATCACCACATCACTCCACCATTACCCCAATCACCACCACCGTGTGATCTCAAGTTGGCTTTGCAATTTTTAGCTGCATAAACTGTAATCCTGAATTTCGATTTTAGAGTTCCAGACCAGTTTTAATTGTAGAAGTATAGTAGATTTGAATCATCAACAAATAAAGAAGAATAAAGCCATGTATTAGCTTTATAGTCAAAATACAGACAAAGAAATTAGATCATTTCAGTGAATCTTCCATGAAAATTAAATGAAGGAATGGCAGCACTTTTTTAATGTCTTTTTTTAGTGGAGTGGCAAAAAAACAACTTAATTCAGTGTTTGTGAACCCAAAGGTTAGAAGTGCACTGACAAGTCTTGCATCTGGATTACTTTATAGATGCCATATTTGCTAGAAGAATCAAGGAGGAGCTAGAAGGCTATGAAAGTGTACTTCACTTTACTAGAAGAAAAGGAGCTGTAGAAGAGTTGTTTATTTTTATAATTTTTTTGAGACAGGGTCTTGCCCTGTTGCTCCTGGAGTGCAGTGACAGGATCATGGGTCACTCATTGCAGCCTCAATCTCCTGGGCTCAAGTGATCCTCCCACCTCAGCCTCCTGAGTAGCTGGGACAACAGGCATGCACCACCATGCCAAGCTAATTTTTTAATTTTTTAGTTTTTGTAGAGACAGGGTCTTGCTATGCTGCCCAGGCTGGTCTTGAACTCCTAGCCTCAAGTGATCTTCCTGCCTCGCCTTATGAGAGTGAGCTACTGCAGCTGGCCTGTTTGTTTTTTTTAGGCAGTCAGGCTAATTAAACTGGAGGGAAGGAGAGTGATTTCAGTGGAAGGAAAGCTGATGTTTCAAAGGGGAGGCAGGGCATGCAGGAAGGGAGATGAGATTGGGCAGATGTGAAAGGGAGGATGAGCTGCAGATGGACCCTGAGAGAACAGTGGAGCTGTGGATGCAGTACTTCAGGACATCATCCCTCAGTAGGTGCAATATCTAGGCTTGTCTGTCATGCTCTAGGTAAGACTGATGCTGCTAGTTTGTGGAGCAAGGCATGGAAGAGCAAGTCATTTGATACAGAAGGGGAATGATCTTAAGATGAGGTTCTACTGTCAGAAATGCCACTGCACTTTCTGGAAATAGCAGGGGCAGGAGAGGGTCGCGATCCATGGAGAGAACCCCTACAATTGTCAAACAAACAAATAACAAAAGATGAAGCAGAGAAAAAGGGGGATGGTCCTTTTTAGATCCCTCAGGAAGGGGCTGTCCACCCTGCTGCACATTGTAGTCACCAGGAAAGCTCTAAACACTACCAGTGCCTGGAAGATCAGCACCACCTGTATTCACCAGGGTTCTCCAAGAAACAGAACCAACAGGAAGTGGACAGAGATGAGATAGAGGAGATAGAGACAGAGAGATAGGGATAAAGAAAGAGATGGAGATGGAGATAGGGATAGAGATGAAGACAGAGGTAGAGATACATAGAGAAAGAGATAAGGATAGAGCTAGTTATAGACATAGAGATAGAAGAGATAGACATAGAGATAGAGGTAGGTAGAGACAGGGATAGAGACAGATAGGGATAGTGATAGAGATTGAGATAGAGAAAGATAGGGATAGAGACAGAGATAGAGATGGGGATAGAGATAGAGAGACAGGAATAGAGATCGAGATAGAGATAGACAGGAATAGATACAGGGATAGAGATGCAGACACAGATACAGATAGGGATAGAGAGAGACAGGGATAGGGATAGAGAGAGAGAAGGGATAGAGATAGAGGGAGATAGGGATAGAGATAGAGACAGAGAGAGATAGAACAGAAAGAGATAGAGATGGAAATAGGACAAGAGAGATAGAGATAAAAATAGAGATAGAGGTAGCTAGGGATAGAGATAGAGACAGAAGTAGATAGAGATAGAGGTAGAGACAGAGACAAAGATCGAGATGGAGATAGGGATAGAGAGAGATAAAGATAGATATAGGAATGGGGATAGAGACAGATAGAAATAGAAATAGAGATAAACAGAGACAGAGATAGAGATAAAGGGATAGAGAGATAGTGATGGAGATAGAGACAGAGAGATTTATTTATTTTAAGGAATTGGCTCACAAGACTGGAGGCTGGCAAGTTTGAAATCTGCAGGGTAGGCTGACAGGCTGGAGGTTCAGGGCAGAGTTGATGCTGCGGCTCAAGCTGAAGCTTGTATGGAGGCAGAATTCCCTCTTATTTGGGGGAATCTCAGCCTTTTCTCATAAAGACTTCAACTGATTGCATGAGGTCCACCCACATTATGGAGGGTAATATGTTTTACTCAACATTCACTGAAATGTTAATTTCACCTAAAACATTATTTCACAGCAACATCTAGACTGGCTTTTGGCCAAAAATCTGGGCACCATGGCCTAGCCAAGTTGACACATACAATTAGTCATCACACACCCCCAAAGACTCAATTGGTTGGGTACAGTATGGCCCTCAGGATTCTTAAAGTCCCCCAAGGGATTCCAAGCTGCAGCCAAAGGTGAGGAGTGGTGCTCCGGGAGCAAAGACTCTCGAAGCAATAACAGCAGCTTTGGTTTGGAAATGTTCTAAGGATGGTTCTTGATTGAAAACCAACATGAGGACTAGAGGGAAATTGTCCCCTGGAACCAGGCTTCCCGGGTCTTAGCAATTTCAAAACAAGAGGCAATAGAAACAGTTCACTCTGTCACAGCACTGCACACATGCCTGTAAGATTCAGTGGCAGCCATGACACTATAGAGGACCAACTCTCAGAGCAGCCTGAGGGGACTCCACACACTGGGCTAGAGGGGAAATGACACCCAAGGTGCAAAAGAAAGTGTGCCACCTCTGTATATTTCTATACTTTGAAAGAAGATAGCAATGTCTCAAATATTTCTCAACAAATACCTCTCTGGGGAAGGAGACAATATGTACAGGTTAAGTAGGGCCATTATTGGTTTGGTGAAGGGACAGTTCTTGCAATGGAGTTAACTGCCCCAGTCACAGTGCTCTGCAACCAAAGGTATCCTGCAGAGATAAAAACAAGGATGATTTCTTCTCTGTACATCAACCTACACTCAGATCCCATGGAGTTTCCATGGCGTATTTGGCATCAGTAACACGGGCCAAGATTTTACCGAGTGTGATGTCCCGAGAGCATGTTTGGATTAGGTAGTTCCTCTAGACAATGAAGTTAGCTGGTGATGGAATGTCAGTGCTGTGAGAATCTTGGCGGTGCAAAGATCATTTTCTTCTCTTTCAAGTGGGAAATGAGAGATTGACCTAACCTAATGCATCCTCTGAAGTCCTGAAGGCATTAAGCACATCATGTTGAAGGGTAGCCCAGTTCACATCTGATTGTTGAAGAGATCCAGAGAACAGAGAAACAGATCCAGAGAACAGAGATCCAATAAACAGAGAAAGAAATGGAGGAAGGCCTTAATTTCATTGGACATTAATATAAGACTGGGAATTATAGACTTTGGATTTGACTTCACAAGAGCAAGAATATTTAATTTTAGACTTTACTGAAGACACAGAATTATTTGAACTTTAACTTCCAAGCATATTTATTAGTTGCCTCTTTTAATTTCTTTCTGAGAATCTCTGCTGGTCCTTAGAGTGGTGCAAGCTACTTCAGCTCTCAGCCTCCAGGCACAAGGGAGGATTGGACTTGTGTGCCCTCTTGAACTCAGGTGGTGCAATGTAACTTTCTTTGGCCCATGAAATGTGACCAGTAGGGACATGGTCCCTTCCAGGAAAAGCTGTAGGCACCAGTGTGTGCCTAGCTAAGCTCAGTTTCCCTCTGGCACACGGCCAGCAGCATTCCACATGGCTGCTGTGCTCTCAGCTGGGCACCAGAGTGAAGACCAGGGAGGCACAGGGCAGAGCCCAGGCTGGCCAGTGAAGTCCATGGAAACAAACCTTCCTAGTGTTAAGCCATGAGATCTGGGAATTGTTTGCTGCTATTTGAGAGCCCCAGGGTCCAGAATACAGCCAGCCAACCTAGCCTAACCTATTAAAAGAGAATTTAATAAAAGAAGAGGTTTAGATTCAACTTTGGGTTGTTGGCATTTTATTCCCAGATCATATTAATGTTGACATTTAATCACATTGCAGAATCTCAGATAAGCTACATTGGGCAATATTGTTGGAAAAGAATGCAAAGAAAGAAAGAAAAAATAAATTTCCAACTTTGACTTCAGTGTGGCTCAAACTTAATTTGAATATTTTACTATTCTGACCCAAGTGACAGCTTCTGAGAACAAAATACATACTCCCTGGCAGTAGTCCCCGGAAGACACTCAAGACACAGTGGCTGATATTGGGGAGTGGGTGGCTGAAGGCAGGGGCAGCTTTTGCCAAGTGAGCAGCCGCAAGAGCAAGATGGTGCCTCCCTGGCCAACCAGGGACTTAACACTTCAATCTAAAGGTTAAGCATTCAGGGAGCAAAAAGGCAGGGCCCTCTTCTTCCCTGTGCCTCATAATTACATGAGGAGGGAATGCCACTTGAGCAACTCTCTTCGTATTCCAGTCTCACTAGCCCCTCACCATGGGGGATGGAGGTCTCAGTCTGTGGGAGATTATATTGGCTCATGGCCCATGATTGGTGAGGCTGATCTACTGGAAAACTATAAGTAACTGAGATTTGATTTCTTTTCTTCCCTTTCCACTCAGAACCAGAGAGGGGCAGCAATTTTGGGCAAAATGTCTGATTTGGAAATACCAACTTTACCTCCATGGGCTCCACAAGAAATCAGATGGGAGAAGGGACAAGCAGATAAGCGCAAGCCCATCAACCTGAAGGCATAAACCACATCCAGCCACCTCCTTCTGATCAGCAGCAAAGCTGACGTTTTGATCTCCATCTGTCTGATTCTTGTGTCTACTTCTCAGTTTACAACTCCAGTGGGAAAGAAAGAGCTTTATTTACAGACCCATAAAAATCCCATCAGTGTCGTCCCCTGCTGAGAGGCCATGTGAGACCATATGGAAAAACAACAGCCATAATGGCAGCATGGCAGTGGAAGGGTTTGTCTTGTGCCCAGGCCTTGCGGTCATGCAAGTTTCTTGTGGATCCTGTTGGGACCAGCCACTCACCAAGGCTGAGTAGGTCCACAAATAATGGGGACTTTCTACCAGACTCACAGAGAACTGCTGGGTTTTTGGGAAGGGTGTGCGTGTCTTTGGGGCATGCAAGTTGGGGTTATAGTGGAGACCCAGAGGATGAGAAAACTTCTCTGCCTCAGCAGAAGAGTGGCAGCTGAGAGAGAGGCAAGAAACTCGCACCCACTGTGGACTGGGGCAGAGAGATTTTGAGGAGAATGAAATCCAGAAACTCTGTGTGGTATTAGTTTGTATCCAGAGGGTGACCCTCTTCTCAAGGAAATGGGTGTCATCAATTTTCTACACTATTAAAGATATAAAGTTCTTGGCATTACTACGTAAAATTTTTAATGTAAAAAGATTACATCATAGAGTTTCTAGCATCTATTCTCAACTTTCCACTCCCACTGCTGGCATCCAGAGCAGGCCTTTATTACCATTCCTCTGGTTCATTTGAACCAAGCATGGATACAGAGAGAGAAGTGGGGGGAAAGATGAGCCCTCCCCACCTACTTCTCCATCTGTGGCCGCTTTGTCTGGAAGGAGAGCGAGGTTCTGTGTGGGCTAGGAGAGAGGCAGAGGTGGCCCTCGGCTACAGTTCACCCTGCATCCCAGCCTCCTCCGTGGGTCTCCAGGCTGGGCAGCTGCAGCTCCAGCTCCATGGCCTGGGGGAGGGCAAATGTGATGGAGAAGAATCCAGGAGGCTAGGAGTAACTCTTCCCCCTTGGAGTGTGGGAGACCGTCTCACAAGGTCAGGGATCAAAGAGAAAAAGAATGAGCTGAACTGGCCTCTGCAGGAGCTAGAGGTAACAAGTACTGGGGCATGACATTCCCTCTGGAAAGCAAGTCTTTTACAATTTAAGTTGATGGAACTGAACAGGAGGAAGATCTGCCTTCTGTAACTAGAGAGAGACTTGCAGGAGATGACCATTGTCTGAATGCTTAACTCACCCTTACAAGCAGTAATTACAAGGAAATGATTGGACCTTTCTGCAGCTATTGGACTGGCTCTGATTTCCAGCAGATCCGAGGACACACTGTGAACGTGAGAGCAGCAGAGCATCAGTGAAAAGGCCAACACCTCACAATGTCATGTGCAATAGCAGTGTGTGTGTGTGTGTGTGTGTGTGTGTGTGTGAGTTTGCACATTTGTGCATTGTTTGCATCTGTGCCTGTGTACTCATGTGTGTGAATGCATGTGTTTACGTGTGTGTGTGGGGGTGGGGGGTGTGGGTATGTGTGGTGAAAGAGCCTATACAGAGGCAAGTAAAATACCATCCCCTTCCTTCCTCTGAAAATGTGTTTCTGTCTTGGGTCGGGGTGGGATGAGGTATGATTGTGCACTTAAGGGTCAGGGGTGTGACCTGACAGTTTCTGCGGGTCATGCTGTGGAGAAGGAGGCACATCTATAGCCCTCATTGTCAATGAGATCTCAAAGGGGCTCTGACTTGGGGTCCCCAAGGCTCTCTGCACTGGTCCTGCAGGCTGTGTTCCTGCATGGAGAGGCATGGATTTTTTATTTTATTTTATTTTTTTAGACAGAGTCTCACTCTGTCACCAGGCTGGAGTGCAGTGGTGTGATCTTGGCTCACTACAACCTCCACCTCCCAGGTTCAAGCGATTCTCCTGCCTCAGCCTCCCGAGTAGCTGGGATTACAGGTGCACGCCAGCACATCCAGCTAATTTTTGTTTTTTTAGTAGAGACAGGGTTTCACCATGTTGGTCAGGATGGTCTTGATCTCTTGATCTCATGATCCACCCACCTTGGCCTCCCAAAGTGCTGTGATTACAGGTGTGAAGTGATTCTTTATAAACTGATGAAGATGTCACAGCTTGGTGAGAAGGAGATGGAGATGCAGACCTAAGTCTGGGAGGTACCTGGAAAGCAGGCCTCCATGAGAGCCAGCTGTGAACGCTTCCTGTGTTCCTGTTTGCTCTTCCAGGGTTAGGGGAGCTTTCTGTTTCATTAAAGTCTTAAATAATGTCTTTTTTTGAGTGATAATATTTTCAAAGTCACAAATTATTAATCTTACCAACCAATTTACAGAGCAGACTCACCGATGAAAGAAGGAACTAGAGAGGCCTCTTACCCACCTCACCCAATTCCTCCTATTTTTTTTTCCTAAAGAGATGACTTAGAGGTCCTATTTCCAGGTCAATCGAGTTGAAGGGGAAATGTATTTGTCAGTATGTTAGCAGTGAAAGAGACCCAGTAGGACATGTATGGAAACTTATTTCAAGGAAGTGGCTTACACGATTGTGAAGTCAGGCTGGGCAAGTCTGAAATCTGCAGGGCAGGTGGGCAGGTCAGAAACTCTCCAGCAGGAAGTCACTCTGTGGTCCACAGGCAGACATTTCTTCCTCAGGGAAGCCTCGGTTTTGCTCTTAAGGCCTTTCCACTGATTAGATCAGGCCCACCCACATTATCAAGGGTGGTCTTCTTATGTAAAGTCAACTGATATTGGCATCTCTCATATATGTATATCATACATGCATATATATGTATATCATACATGCATATATATGTATATCATACATGCATATATATGTATATCATACATGCATATATATGTATATCATACATGCATATATATGTATATCATATATGCATACATATGTATATCATATATACATATATATAAACCACATCACATATAATCTATAGATGTATATAGTATATATAGATATATAGTATAGTGTATATATATATACTATATATAGAGATATATAGTATATAGATTATATACATATCTATAAAATGTCATCATAACACCTAAACTAGTGTTTGAGTGAGTAACTGGATACTATAGCCTGGCCAAGTTGGTATAAAAAACTAACCATTAGCAATAGGACTCTTGAAGGAGGCTAGTAGACAGCAGCTGGTTGACCTTAGGGTCTTTGGCATTAGGATATAAAGAGTCACCATCCCATTGCCTGCTGTGCAAAAGAAAGGAGGAGGGTGAAGAAAAGATCAAAAAGGATAAGAACATAATCAGCAAAGGGAGATAAAGCAAATTTTCAATGAGGGTGCTATGCATTCTCCCCATCCACATGCAGGATGGATGGATTAATATAATATGTATGTCAGCCTGAAAGGTGCCTGACCCGAATGCCAACTTCAGCCAGAACAAAGAGCCCAGGCTAAGACTGAGGGACATGGAAGGACCCTCCCAATCTCAGGGAGACCACACGAGGACTGACGCCATGGTCAATCTCAGCCAGGGAAAAGCGGATGGAAAGTCACCCTTTACCAATGGCCACAAGTATAACTGGACCCCAGAAGTCAGGGGGCATTTCAAGCAAAGTGATTTAAAGCATTTCAAGCAAGTAATTGACAGGTGCACAGAGCAGGCTTAAATTTGGTTTTTACCTGATCAAAATTCAATTTACTGTCACCAGAGGCAGGCTATAAAACAGGCAATGTCACCAATAGCTACGGAAAGTTGGCAATACTCAAAGTCTTGGCATTGGATTTACTTTTTCAAATAGCAGAAGTAATGCATAATTGTTGGAGTAACTAGAGCAATGCAAAGATTTTTTTTTAAGCGAATCTTCTTCCCCAGACTGCTCTCCAGCTTCACCATCCTGGGGGCCTAATGTTAATAGCTCATTCTTCAGCCACAGTTTTTCCTTTTCCTATAAATCATTTACAAGTATTTATACACATTTTCAGGATTTTTGTTTGTCTTTCTCAAACTGGTTTTCAATGAATATATCAAAAACTCTTAATTGGTAAGTGAATATAGATCTATATTTTATCTCCTCACTTATGCATCTGCATACACATACGTAATTCTATATGAAGGTAGTCATACTGTATGTGCTTAGTATTTTCAGTGTACACTTTACATTTTTTGCTTGCCTCTCCCACCCCGTCATATCTCCCTATGTGTTTTTCTCCATGTTCATTTAATCATATACAAACACGTACACAGTTGTTTCATGGTCTTTGTTTTGCTTTGAATGCAATCACATTGTACACACACCCACGAACCTTGCTTTTCTCATTCAGCAATGACACTTGGAGTTGGTTTCCTGAAAGTCAACTGCCATTGCCCTTACTGGTTTTTTAATAGTTTATAACTGCATACGATTTCACATTGTGCTTATACCCATAGCTTATTCTGCCATTTCTTGCTTAATGGGCATTCACTTGATCTTCATGTCTTGAGACAAAGTTACATTAACTATCTGTGTACTTCTGTCCCTACGTAGTGAGCTTTTGTCTCTGGGATAGTTTCCTAATACTGGGCTTGGTGATTAAAGAGCATATGGTTTTTAATTTTAATAGATCTCACCAGATCTTGATCCAAAGAGAATGGACCAACTCATATTTCCATTGGCTATGTCAAGTGTACCCACTTCACATTCTCAACCATATAGGGGCTCTTCATTTCTATTGTTGGGCAATCTAAAGTTGTGTCTTATTATTTTAACTGCTAGTGAATTTGAGTATTTTTACCCTTATATTTGATGCTTCTTTGAGTTGGATTTTCTGTAAACTTCTTATTCATATTATTTGCCCAATTTTCTATTTCATTATTTTCTTATTAATCTAAGGCTTTTTTGAGTATATATTTTTCCAAATCCATAGCTCCTTTAATCTGATTATAATAGATATCATTATAAAGTTTTTAATTTTTTATGATATCAAATATATGTTAAATATGTATGTATGGTTTTTTGTTGTGTTTTGTTTTGTTTTTTGAGACGGAGTCTCACTCTGTAGCCCAGGCTGGAGTCCAGCGGCGTGATCTCGGCTCACTGATCTCGGCTCACTGCGAGCTCCACCTCCCAGGTTCCCGGTTCAAGTAATTCTCCTGCTTCAGCCTCCCAAGTGGGTGGGATTACAGGCCCATGCCACCACGCCTAGCTAATTTTTGTATTTTTAGTAGAGACAGGGTTTCACCATGTTTGCCAGGCTGTTTTGAACTCCTGACCTCGTGATCTTCCCACCTTGGGCTCCCAAAGTGCTGGGATTACAGGCGTGAGCCGCCGCACCTGGCCACATATATGTTTTCATACATGTGTGTATATACATATAATAAATACATATACGTGTATATATCTACATAAATCCAGTCTGGATATTTTAACTCACTTAAAATCTCCTGAATTCCTAGATTGTATTTTTAGTCTCCTAGATTTTCTTCTAATGTTTTTATTTCTACAATACTTACATTTTAATTTTTAAAGCATCAGTTCAATCATCATTGCCAAGTTTAAAAGTTACTCCAAAATGCAGAGGATTAAAATGGTGGCCATTTTATTTTTCCTGTGATTTTGTAGTTCAGGAACTCAGGAAAGACTCAGCTAGGCAGTTCTGGTTTGGAGTCTTTTGTATGGAAACAGTCAGTTGCCAGTGGGGCCTGAAAGTTCAACTAAGCTGGATGCTCAAGGTAGCTCTTACATGTGGCTGCAGCCAGGTCAGCTGGGCTGTTAGCCAGAACACCCACGTGTAACTTCTTTAGCAAGTCAATCTCAGCATGGCCTTTTCTTACCCACCTCTGAAGTTATGCAGCATTATTTCAGAAGTTTAGGTTTCCAGAAGTACCCTGCGGCATTCAAACAATTTCCCTGGAACACACCATTATTTATGCCATGGAGAGAAGGGCAGAGAAGTGTGGGCCAATCCTTTTCCACCTCACCTAAATCTCTTGCTGGAATAATACTATTGATGATTATTCTTCACGTGTTGAAGAAATAACTACTATTTTCCACCCAACATATTGCCATGATGTCAGAAATAATGGACAGCTATGGCATCCATTCTTATGTCCACATGATGCTGGCACAGTGACACAGTGAACAGGGATGGATTAGCAGGAATACTGCCAGAAGTGTCCGTGTTTAACAATGAGCTCTCTTTTCAGAGAAATTATCTCAGTGTGTTTGCTTAGCAGTCAGGCAACCACTTGTTAAAAACGCCCATATTTCTAAGAGGCATTAGAAACTGGCAGAAACATTTTGCTGCCATCACTTGTGAATTCATGCCAGCTGTGATGAATGCGAATGAGAAGGAGTTCTAAATGGATCCGTGCAGACGCATCGCAGCACTCCCAACATTTGACAAGCTGATTTCCAAGAAGAGCGTCAGGGCACGGGTCGGCAGTGGGGCAGCTGGTGTTGCCACTAGGGACCACAATCTCAGCATTAGCATTCTCTGCACAGAGGACACCAGCTTCAGTGTCTAATTTCAGTGTCTAAAGCCATATTTTTGCATCTCATAATATCATTTAGGTAAAACTAATTCTGATTGATTGGCACAATTCTTACTTTTCGTTCTGGACTTGCTTGCTCTGTCTGTAATAGGATTGAAATATACATAATGGCATGGGGAGAGTTGAGGACAGGCTGGCTCTGTTTCAGTCATTACTGTTCTATAATTTGTCCTCCGACATTAGGACCATAAATAACATTGGAGATCCTCTGGGAGGGACAGATAGTGATATTATGGACACTGATACTATGTATATATTTAACATACATTTGAATTTATAAAAATTAAAAGCTTTATAATGATATACTATATATTTTTTCAGTGCCAGCTATGGATCCCACAACTACAGAGTCACCATTATCTCTGCTTCTGTGTCTGTTTTTCTGACCTGAAATCCCAGAAGAAGGGGAAGATGTACTTTCTTAGAATCTGCCCCTAAGAGGGTTCAAATATTAGCCACCCTTTCCCCAAGATCCCTGGATAAGACAAATAAGACTCCGCAATCTGTACCTGTTGGGAAGAAGTCCGGGATGGCTATGACTAAGAGCTGTCTTCTCTTATATTCTCATTGTGTTTTAAAATAGATATAAGATACCTCTGGGAGGATAAATAAGAAACTGACAACATGTTTGCTGCCAAGGATAGGAGTTGAGTAGATGGGAGACACAGGTAGAAGGGACACTTTACTGTGTACCTTTTGTCCCTCTTGATTTTTGAATCATGTTGGAAGAGTAGTAGAGAGAGAGAGAAAACAGGAGATGGTTAATGGGTATAAAAATACAGTTAGATAGAAGGAATAAAACATAGTGTTTGGTAGCACAATAGGGTGACTGTAGTTAATAATTTCTTATATATTTCAAAATAACAAAGAGTGGAATTGGAATATCCCTAATGCAAAAAATGATAAATGCCTCAGGTGGTGGATCATCCACTTACCCCAATTTGACCACTACACATTATATGCTTGTATCAAAATATCACATGCACCCCATAAATGTATACAATTATTGTGTATCCACAATAATTAAAAATAAAATGTCTTAAGTTTTTTAAAAGAAAAAGAACATAAAATATTTCAAAGAAAAAATGGTATAGCTAATTTAAGAATAAATTAAAGAACTAAAAGAATTCATTTTTAATGGCTTTGTCTGTAATCGAATTGAAATATACATAATGATATTGTGGGAATCAATGCTAAGTACTGACTATTGTTAACCATTTTTCATCTATGATTTTTCTTCCTATAACCATGTCCTCAGGTCCTGAGTTCTCAGGTAGAATGTAGCCTTACTAAGAGAAAAAAAATAAGCCATCACACTTCTTATAGAACCTGACCTAATGTCCTGAAAAAATGCCTTTGATTAATAATTAATAAACAATCTCTTTTAAAAAATCAAGGTCTTTTTTTCTATGCCCAAAACATTTTTTCTAAAGCAGCCATTTTTTTTACCCTAAATTAAGGCCATACAATGTATGGCATTGGCCAAAACATATAAACAAATCTGAGAGCCGCTTGATGCTCGATTCCTGGATCTCAGGACCCCCTCTGGGACTTCAAAGAAGTCCTCAAAGACCTCCTCTTGTGGCAGAGCATGCTCTTCAGTGTTCTCTGAGCAGACAGGAAAAGGGAGCATAAGCTTGGGCCCAAGTGAATCTCGGAAACCAATGCTTCTTATACTCCTACTGCATTCTCGCCCTTCTTGCCCTAACCTCATCCATTAATTCTATAAATACTGTATTAGTCCATTCCGACGCTGCTAAGAAAGACATGTCCCCCAAATGGGTAATTTTTAAAGGAAATAAGTTTAATGGACTCACAGTTCCACATGGCTGAGGAGGCCTCAAAATCATGGTGGAAGACAAAGGAAGAACAAAGGAACATGTTGCATGAGGCAGGCAACAGAGCATGTGCAGGGAAACTCCCATTTATAAAACCATCAGTTCTTGTGAGACTTATTTACTACCATGAGAACAATATGGAGGAAACCACCCCCATGATTCAATTATCTCCACCTGGCCCTGCCCTTGACACATAGGGATTATTACAATTCAAGGTGAGATTTGGGTGGGGACACAGAGCCAAACCATGTCAAATACTCATTGAACATTATGGCCAAATTCATTGATCTTTACAGCCACGATGCATGTCCAAAGTCAGTAGTTTTTCATGATTTTTAAAATAGTTCTTGTGAGCAATGACAGCAAATTCGATGTTTACTTTAATTTCTCCTCCCTTCCTGAGTTTATCCTGAGTTCAGCCCCTTCCTCTGCCCAGCAAAGAGCCAAATGCCCAGCCTAAATGTTTAGGAGAAAACTTACAACCAATTCTCTTGCCTGACTTTTGCCATTTAGGGCAGAGCTCCAAGACTTTTGTACAAGGTAAATGCTGTTTTTTATCTTTCAAATGGAGTTGTTGAATGAAGAGATTTGTTTAGCTCATTAGAAGTGCTAAAAGTAAATGCTCAACATTATCTTATAAACATTAAACTCACACTTACCCTCTTCTTTGTGTAAATTAGACATCCCAAAGTCTATGCAAATGCACTTCTCTGAGTATTGAGTATCAGTAGTATTCCACTACATGGAAATACCTACTCAGTCATTTTTATTTGATATGCATATACAAGACCAATATTGGTGTGCCATTAAAATGTGAGGTTCCGTACCTAGTGGCATTTATTTTCAGTATGAAGAGTTTGTTTCTGCAAAAACCTGGTTTGTTCATGAATACTTATCCCAGCAGCTCTCTAACCTCTCCCACAACCCTGAAATCTGCAGAGCTCCACCATCCCAGTGTGCCCCCTGGAAGGGCCTTTAATTCCACAGACAGGCAGAGTAGAAGAATACTGAGAAATGGTGAATACAGTGCCAGGCAAACAGTTGCATGCTTGGTTCATATCTAGAAGGCAAGTTAATGATACACCTTTCCTCTGTAACAACAGAACAATGACAACAAAATGTAACTAGAAGGTCAGTTCATGACTGTGATTTTAGTAGACACAGAAAAAGGAGGGGACACTTTTAAATAATAAACACAAGCAGTATGTAAATGACGTAGTAACCCAATTTTAAAATAAAGGAACTAAAGTCAGCACCAGGACCTTTTCAATAATAGAGTAGTGACATTATCTTACATTTCCAGAATCCTTTGTATTTCATTGTGAATTCACTCTAACTCTTAGACCAACCACATGGGGATAGGATAGATATTATCCACAATTATAGATGGAGAATCTTGATTTTCAGATACATGAAATAACTTTCCCAAGGTCATAGAGTTAGTAAACTTTTGTGCAGGAACCATGAGCCCTGATTTTTTTTTCAGATAAGTGTGTGAGATAACCCAGAAGGAGTCATTTCTTCCTCTCCCTTCCTTTACTATGGGTTTGTCAGTCATGTTTCACTAATACCAAGTCAAGTTAGAGAAGGCAGACACAGCCAGTAGAAAGAGGAAAGATGCTGTTCAGGAGGGTAGTAGGTAGCATCCTATCTCAGCTGAGGCACAGCAACTGGGAAAGACCAGTATAAAAATATTTAGGGTTGTCAGAAATTAAAGGAGTCAGTAGGTAAGATACATAAACTAAGACCACAAGTCAGGACACATAACGTAATGAGAGGCTAGAGTAGGCAGCCCACTGATAACTCAGGGTAGGCAGTTGTTAGATCAACACGTTGAAATGCCATAGGATGAGCCTCACCTTTTATTGGAATAAGTGAGGATTTTGTGGTGATTGTCACTATTGGTATCTGACGTGTTTTGGCTGTGTCCCCACCCAAATCTCACCTTGAATTGTAATAATCTTCATGTGGCAAGGGCAGGTCTAGGTGGAGATAATTGAATCATGTGGGTGGTTTCCCCCATCCTGTTCTTGTGGTGGTGAATAAGTCTCACAAGATCTGATGGTTATATAAGTGGGAGTTCCCCTGCACACACTCTCTGGCCTGCCACCATGTAAGAATTCCCTTTGCTCTTCCTTCATCTTCCACCATGATTGTGAGTCCTTCCCAGCCATGTGGAACTGCGAGCCCATTAAACCTCTTTCCTTTACAAATTACCCAGTTTTAGGTATGTCTTTATTTGCAGCATGAGAACAGACTAATACAGTACCAGCATGTCCCTAATGCAGTAAAGGCAGAAACATGTTTGGCTCATGGGATCATAGATCGTTCTACTGACCTCATCATACATCTTGAGAACAGAGATATTGCAACCCAGCTCTAGGAAGCACACTTCCAGAAGCTTAAGTAGAAAAATGCCCTTTTGAAGACACTCGGGAAAGTCACCTTCAACACTCAGGTGCAGAGGCGACTCCCTGCCTTCTCAAAAGGAGTTGTGCTGAGCCTTGGAAGCAGCCAAAGCTTATCACAGGGAAATGGAGCTAAAGGGGACTTTTGTGTTGGAATGTCTGAGAAAGAGAATCCGTCCAAGCCTGGGGATATGGACCCCATGAGGAGGCGTGGTGTCAGTGCTCAGGACCCGGAAGGCCGAGGCACATTTTAAGCCATAGACACATTTTAAGAGGCCATGTACAGAGATGATAACAAAGGCTGTGACCCTGGAAAGCTAAGAGAAAATGGAAGTACCTATGGGTGAGCTTGGCATTGAATAAGTGGGATCTTCCACCCTTGACTCAAAGATCTTGGAGGCCCGTGACATGGGTGGCACCTTCCCTGACCCTTGCTAAGAGCATATTGTTCTCATTTGCATGTTCTGCTTCTTCCTCTCAGTACTGCCTGACTGTCACCCGTCAGCCTCTGACAATGCTCTCTTTTGCCTGGGGATCAGGCAATGTATCAGAGCCCTCCACTCAGCAAGAGTTTTTGGTTTGTTGTTTTCCATTTCCCTGAAAAGAAAGATGCTTTTAATACTTCCTCCTTGTCCTTATTAGGCAGAACCATCCCAAATCAAACCTTCGAGCCATCTATGATGTGCAGAATTGATCTTGAAACAGAGCATAATCAATACATAAACATGGGCATAGACTTTGTCTTCTTCCTTTCCTGATAATCTGCTCACTAAGGGTGTGCTTGTTAATGCTATTGACCAGCTTACTGAGACATGAGAGACAAGCAAGTCCTGTGTGAATGTGGCAATAGAGCTTGATTATTCAGAAAATCTCTTAAAGGGCACTATTATTAACTGGAAATTTTTTTCTATTCCATTTTAAGACAAAGGAGAAAATCACAAAACAAGATGATATTTTGTATATTGGTTAAATATGGGTTTTATGTTATCAGCGTCTTAGCTGTGATCTCCAGAGTATGACATGCACACACAAAATTATCCATTGAGGTAGACAAAGGAAATATTTTATTTTCATACTAAAAAATGAAAAGAACAATACTTTACTACTATTTAGTGCATATGGATTGAGATTGAGGCAGAGGATTGTAATGCTCACCAAATACCCATGGGCTCCTTTATATTTCCCAGACCCCTTTGCAGCTATGATCAATTCATGTGGCCAGGATCTGGCCAATGGGATTGGCCTCCTGGCCTGATCACAGCCTTCCTTTCACATTGCACTGACCCTAGAAGCAAAGAGATCATGCAGAGAAGCTGTCTGGTCCATGCTGTCTCTCTTAGAGTGATAAATGAACTTGAATTGTGTTTAGACACTGGTATTTGGGGGTTACTTATTACCACAGCATAGCCTAACCTCCCATGACTAATGCACCTTGTGCTGTAAGTAAATATCAGACCTTCATGTGTCACCCGCAGTGAGGGAGGTGTTTCGAGGGAGGCTGGCTGTCCATTGGCAATAAGGGGTCCATATCAAGTCTTCCTGTCATTGGTTTGATTTCCATATAATAAAACATACTGACTTATGCACACCCAGTTAGGTGAATTTAGAAACTACATTATCTCATTTAAGCTGAGCCAATTCTCACACAATGAGCAGCTGTTTTAAAAGGCAATCCTCCAAAAAACAAACCCTGTGGACTGAAGAAAATAACCAAAAAAATACAATCGCAAGAGAACCAGGGTAAAACAACAACTAATATGTCTAACCACATGACAAGATAAAAACAATGACAGCCTGATTCAAACTGAGATGAAAACCAATGAAAAAATTCGGTATTATTAAGAAACCTATCTGAAATATAGTCTTTCATTTAATATATATTTATCAAATGCCTTCTACATGCCAGGCATAATCTAGGTACTGGGGAGAAAACAGCAGACAGAGCAAAGCCCTACTCTCTCATGGAGTTAATCAGCACATATATAAAATGTCGGGTGGTGAGCGGTGCTAGGGGAAAATAAGGCAGGGGAGCCAGTGTCAGAAATGCCTGAGAAGCTGGGGGAGGCTTCTCTGGTAAGGAAATATTTGAGCAGACCCTAAAGGAAAAGAGTCTTGTGCATACCAAAGGGAGAACATTCCAAGCAGAAGAAAGTGCAATTGCAAAGGCAGGGAAGGAGGGGTGGGGGGAGCAAGGCTCCATCGGGCAGGGTGTTATGTAAAGGCAATGGGGGCGGCCAGTGTGGATGAGAAGCAGTGAGTGAGAAGAAAAGTGGGAGGTGACATGATCCAAGCACTGGGGGCTGATGAAGGTCGAGGTCATGCAGGGGCCTATAAGGACTCAGGCCATTCCTATGAACGGGAGGAAGAGGCACTGGAAACTCTGCCCAGGGATGTGACAGGATATAACCTGCTTTTTCTGGCTGAGATTAACAAAAGGAGTGAGGGTGGAAGCAGGGAGACCATGTAGCCATTGAGTTTGCAATATGGATTGTCCTTTAATAATGAAAGTCATTCTGGGTGTGTAATTGAGCCTTGATATCATCACAATTAGCAGGACACTTAAAATTAGAACCTAAAAACAACTACCTGTTTATTTATTTATTGCTTAAATTTAAAGGTACTATATACTCAGCCCAGTACTTAAAAAATTCCACTAAGCTTAATGATACTTGTTTAGAAGATCTGTTGAAGTCTCTTACTCAGTAGCAAAACCCTCATTAGGGAAGCACTTATTCATCCTCTTGAAGAAAAATGGCTAAATGGATACATAGGAACCAATATATGTTGACAAATTAAAATGCTTTTCATTGTCAACAAATCAGGAAGAGATTTCAGTAAAATCTTGAAGATAAAAGTATGGGATAAATTATACAGTGGAAAATGTTAGATTATTACATGGATGAGAGTACAGATATTTCTAATGCCTCAGCTGATATATTTGCTAGATCCTGTTTCAGCAAGGCAATATATGATAAACTACATTTTTTATAAGCCACCAAGTGGAAGATTTATTAGATAAAACATCTTCATAGGAGTAATTTTTTTGAGTAAAAACAATGTTTGATGGAAAAACAGTGTAGCGGAACCCCTAATGGGGAGGCTGCTTGACTGTAACTTTACAAACAAAATCTAGGTGAGCATTACAGATATAGCTGCACAAATGAAATCCAAGCACTGCATCCTTTGAAAGCAAGCTATTGCTGCAATGATTAGTTGGATTTATGAAACTAATGCAAAACATGTGTATTAGTTATTGATTGCTGTATAGTATAGGTACTGGGGAGAAAAGAGCAGACAGAGCAAAGCCTTACTCTCTCATGGAGTTAATCAGCACATAGATCAAATGTCAGATGGTGAGAGGTGCTAGGGGAAAATAAAGCAGGGTCGCTAGTGGTAGGAGTGTCAGGAGTTCAGGAATGGCTTATGTGTCAGGGTCTCTTTCAAGATGGCAATCAAGGTAAGGGCCAGGGCTGGGGCCTCATCTGAGGCCCAGCTGGGGAAGGATCTGTTTCCAGGCTTCTGTGGTTGTTGACAGGATTCAGTTCTTCACTGGCTGTTAGACTGAGAGCCTCCTCTCCTGCTGATGTCAGGCTAGAGGACACCTTCAGTTCCTGGCAACACGGTCCTTTCCATATGGCAGCATAATTCATTAATGCCAGCAAGGGAAAGAGTCAGTAAAGAGAGTTCCTTAGCAGGATGCAAGTTACAGTCTTATGTAAGATAATCATAGAGTGACATCTCCTCCCCTGTGCCAGGTTCTATTGGGCAAAAGCAAGTCACAGGTCCCACCCAGACTCAAAGGGGAGGAATTACACAGGCCTGTGATTCCCAGGAGGTAGGAATCCTAGGGGCCATTTTGGAGTCTGTTTGCCACAACCTGTAAAATGTAGTAAAACCAGTGCAATACTTTGTAATGAGTCAGGAATGACCAGGAAAAGTTTTTGCCAGATGGAGTCTTCCTTGGTAGAGTTTCAATGTCTATTTTATGACAAAATACTTAAAAGAGTTGACAAAATGATTAAAAAAAAACATTTGAGTACGTTTCCTTAATGAAATGGCAAGTGTTCCAGAGAAATAACTGACAGTGATATACTACTTCTTAGATATTTTGAAAGGAAAAGACAATGTTCTCTTTCAAAATAAAGGTGACGCTTAACAACAATTTTAAAATAATTTGTCTTATTCTGTCTGAGGTGCTATAACAGAATACAATAGGTTGGAAGTCTTAAAGAGCAGACATTTATTTCTCATAGTTCTGGGGTTTGGAAAGCCCAGGATCAAGGCACTGGCAGGCCCCCTGCTGGGACAGACCTGCCTCTAGTTTGCAGATGACTATCTGCTCATTGCATCCTCACATAGCCAAGAGAACGAACATCTCTCTCTGTCTCTTCTTTTAAGGGCACTAATCCCATTCGTGAAGGCTCCACCTTCATAAAATAATTACCTCCCAAAGGCTCCGCCTCCTAACAGCGTCACATTAGGACTTAGAATTTCAACGCAGGAACTGGGGGGTGGTGGCAGATATTAACATTCAGTTCATAAAATGACTGCTTATGGAGAAAGCACTTTTAAATGGATGTTTGCAAATGCTTTCATCTATTGTTCAATGTGATATAAATGTGTCACCTACAAAAAACTTTAGGAAAAATAAAATTGAAAAGAAATCTAAAAACCTTTTATTTTTTATTTATTTTTATTTCTTTCTTTATTTTGAGACAGAGTCTTGCTCCCTCACCCAGGCTGGAGTGCAGTGGTGAGATCTTGGCTCACTGCAACCTCCACCTCCTGGGTTCAAGCAATTCTCCTGTCTCAGCCTCCCAAGTAGCTGGGACTACAGGTGTGCACCACCACACCCGGCTAATTTTTGTATTTTTAGTAGAGACCGGGTTTCACCATGTTGGCCAGGGTGGTCTTTAACTGACTTCAGGTGATCCACCTGCCTTGGCCTCCCAAATTGCTGTAATTACAGATGTGAGCCACCATGGCCAGCTCTAAAATCCTTTTAAATGAAGTTTAGTGACTTTTGAATCCATTTGTTAAGTTTAAATATATTTAATTTTTAATTTAGCTTTCAAGTATGAGTTTTTGAGGGAAGTGAGTGCTTTATTTCTTTCTCTCTCTTTCTCCCACTCTCTCTCTCTTTATCTCTGTATCTCTGCGTGTCTCTGTCTTTTTCCCTGAAGAGAGACCCATATCAAGACAAACACACATACATACACACATACTGGTACCCCAGTAAATCATATTTGAAGACCCAATTTGACCGGTATATCCACAGTTTTTTCTTGGAGTTGGTGCCTCAGAGGTGAAGGCAGGGACAGATTGTGTGAAGCCATGCTGAAATCCCCATAGATGTGACCCAATGTTAGACCTAAGAGTGAGACTCACCTAGGATGCTGAATAAATACTGTCCATTTAGCCCTGGGAAGCCCAAGTATCTTGGAACAGGAAGTAAATTTTCTCGTGGGGTTTCAATGATCTTAATTTCAACTCCACTGAAGTTTTAAACTGTGTACAATGTTAAATTAGTTCTAGTTCATGCTATGTTATGATTTCTCCTCTCTATAATGAAAAAGTAAATTGGCTAAGGATCTATATGTAACTAGATTTATTGGGAGAGCAGAACCATTAACATGAGTCTCCACATGCATTTTCTCATGCTTGGAGAACAATCAGAACTGCTTAATTAAGTGCCAAAGAACAAAGCTCTATTATCGTCCACAAGATGAGAATGTCAGTCCTGAGCCTACTTGTCTTCCAGTCCGTTCCCCAAACACCATAGTAATCCATGATCCAAAGTAGGCACTGTTCATTACCTCGTCTACTGCTTCTTAAAAATGTGTTTATGCATTTCGTATTTGTACGTCCTTGAGTTAATGAGCGTTATACATTTTGTGGGAAGTAGTACTATGAGGAGAAAACCAAAAAAAGCAAAACCTTGCTCTTCCCAGAACATTGGGTTCAGTTAACCACATCATAGCTGTTCTTAAGCTGTGTTCTGTGGTGGATGCCTGGGTGTGTGTGTCCGTGTGCACGTGCACACACAGACACACACACACACACACACACACACACACAGTTGCACTTGCATTGCATTCCACAATCACACATTGCCAAATAACTTTGTATGGTCTGTCTACTTGTCATCCCTGGAGAGTCACTAAATAAATCAACGTATTAAATGTTCTTTGAAGTTTTACAGCTAGGAAACCTACTCGCTTTTGTTTAACCTAGTAGTTCCCAGACATGTCTGACCATGAATCATCTTTCCTTACTAGAACAATATCTTAGTTTGGATTCCCCTGCTATTCATTCCAGTACAAGGAGTTTATTTGGGAAATGATTGGAGGAAATGCCAATGAGTATGTGAGAACATGAGCTGAGGAAAGGAAGGCAGCCAGGAAAGGGTCTGTTATCAAGCGACTCACCACCCTGGTTCTAGCTAGTAATTAAGAGCCCAGGTAGAGCATCTGCTTCTGCTCAGTCACTGACTGAGGAATATCCGACCTGCAGCACTCATGGACAGAGCATTCTAGAGCAAGAGAAAGCAAAGAGACACAGATATTTGCAGTTGGAAGCCAGACTACTACAATGGTAAGACCAAGGTGTCAGCAGAGCACCAGCATCTGACAAGACAGCTTTCAAGACAGTCTTGTAGCTTTCAGAACACTCAGGTTGTGCAGAATACAGTCTGGGGAATACTGGCATGTATCTCGGATTTTTTACATGCAAGCAATGGTGATATTCTGAATAGACATGGCCCTAGGAAATAAAATGGGAGCCCCTGAAGGAGTAATATTAGTGAAATTCTGCAGAAAGAAAGGAACGAGCATTGACTGGGCAGCAGACTGAAAACCGGAACTCAGTTCCAGCACTCCCAAGGGTTTGATTAAGCTGTGGAAGAAGACACGAAGGCTGAGGGAAGTTTCTGAAACCGTGGGGCAGTGGGGGTGGGGGGAGTAGTTCCAGGTTTTTCTGTGAAACATGATTAAAATGGAGGGTGTTCTTATGCACACAGAGCAATTGAAAGAAAAGTAACCTACACCAGAAGGCAGAAGCAACAGTAATATCTGGATTGGGAATGTACTTCAGGGAACTGAATGGAAGATAAAAGAACAAACCCCCACCAATAGCCTAGAATTAGAGAGACCTCTGGAGGACTCCAAAATGACATCTTAACAAGCCTGTGCTGATAGATCTGAGAAGCTCACAAGAGCTTCTCTCCAAGGTGTGAGTTGAAATGGAGGAAATGGTGGTCACTTAGCTGACATGAGAGTTTCCATCTGAGAAGGCTTCTGAGAGGCTTCTCATGG
The DNA here is from genome assembly GCF_000001405.40 of Homo sapiens. Classification (NCBI taxonomy): domain Eukaryota; kingdom Metazoa; phylum Chordata; class Mammalia; order Primates; family Hominidae; genus Homo; species Homo sapiens. The sequence goes on along the minus strand of NC_000021.9, from coordinate 38,036,564 downwards.
GGAAAGGGGGAAGAAATGTCTTCTGGAGAGTAATACTAACAGTGAACACTTGGCTTTAGTTTGGGTCTGCCATGAAGCTGATGTTAAGATAGGATTAGACACACAAGAGATTTTCTGAGGGAAAGAACAGGAGAGATGGAAACGGGGAGAGCCTTCAATTGATGTTACAAGTTTGACATCTGGGAAGAAGAGCAGGAAGGATGAAAGAGTGTATTAGGAAGAGTCTTGGACTGCAGCGCAGTTCCAAAAAGGTTTGAGGAGGCCAATGGGGAGTCCTCAAGTCAAAATCACCTGTTAAAATAATCTGCGCCTCTCTGGAATGTGTGTGCGTTGACAGCCTGCCACACTCTGCTGTTGGCTGGGAGCTGCCTGCAGGAGGCATGACCTCAGTATGAGGACAGCAGTCAGCTACACTCTAAGCAGCAGCAGATCTCTGCAGTGCATTTTCAGGACCGTCACCTCCTTATACAGCGCTCACTATGTGCTAGGCTCAGGAGTCCTCACGTCGGCCCCACAACATGAGCATTTTACAATGATTCTGTAGCAGAGAATACTAATGGACACTTTTCTAGTAGTCAGACTGTAGAGTTTATTTCAATTCTGTCCTAATTTTGTTCTTTAATCCATTGCCTAATCACGGAGTCATTTTTTAGGTTGTTACTGTTTTGTTCAGTTTTATTTACCTGTTTCCAAAGCTCCTTTAAGAATGCTTATTTTTTATTTTATTTAATTTTTTGAAAGGAAAAAGTAAACAATTTTATTTGCAAATCATCTATGTAGAAAATCCTATGGAGTCTATAATACAGCTATCAGAACCATTAAATGAGCTTGGCAATGTTGCAGATACAAGATCAGTATAAATAACCAATTGTATTTCTATATACTAGCAATAAAGAATTGGAGATTAAAATTTTAAATACAATACTATTTAAAATGACTTCCGAAATGTGAAATACTTAGGAACAAATCTGACAAAATTACAAAATATTGCTAAGATAAAATTTAAAAACCTAAAGAAACGGAGAGATACACTGCGTTTATTGGCTGAAAAATGAAATGTTATTTAGATGTCAATTATCCTCCAAAGTGGGTTTCTTATAGGTAGCATCTCTATTCACTCTGCCAACATCTGTGTATTAATTTTGGTGTTTAGATCATTTAATGTGATTATCGATATGGTTAGATCTAAATCTATCATCTTGCTATTTCTTTTCCGTCTTCCCCATCTATTATTTGTTCTCTGTTTCCTGTTTTTTTCTTTTTTATTTATTTATTTACTTATTTTTATTTATTTATATATATATTTTTATTATACTTTAAGTTCTAGGGTACATGTGCACAACGTGCAGGTTTGTTACATATGTATACATGTGCCATGTTGGTGTGCTGCACCCATTAACTCGTCATTTACATCAGGTATATCTCCTAATGCTATCCCTCCCCGCTCCCCCCACCCCATGACAGGCCCCTCACTCATAGGTGGGAATTGAACAATGAGAACACTTGGACACAGGAAGGGGAACATCTGTTTTCTATTAGATGTAAATATTGTTTATGATTCCAAAAAATGCTTATTTTAAAAAATTAACATGTCCAATAGAACTTTCTGAAATTATGGGAGAGTTCCATGTCTGTGTTGTTCAGTATAGCAGACGCTGGTCACATGTGGCTGCTGACTGCTCGAGATGTAGCTAGTGAAACTAAAAAACTGGGTTATTTCTTCAATTTAATTAATTTATTTATTTATTTATTTTTGAGACGGAGTCTTACTCTGTACCCAGGCTGGAGTGCAGTGGCACAACCTCGGCTCACTGCAACCTCTGTCTTCCAGGTTCAAGCAATTATCATGCCTCAGCCTCCTGAGTAACTGGGACTACAGGCGCCCACCACCACGCCTGGCTAATTTTTTGTATTTTTAGTAGAGATGGGGTTTCACTGTGTTAGCCAGGATGATCTCGATCTCCTGACCTCGTGCTCTACCCGCCTCGGCCTCCCAAAGTGCTGGGATTACAGGCGTGAGCCGCTGCGCCCGGCCTTTTTTTTTTTTTTTTTTTTTTTTGAGATGGAATCTTAATCTGTCACCCAGGCTGGAATGCAGTGGTTTGATCTTGGTTCCTCCATCTCCTGGGTTCCAGCAATTTTCTCTTGCCTCAGCCTCCTGAGTAGCTGGGACTACAGACGTGCACCATCAAACCCAGCTATTTTTTTTTCTTTTTTTTTTTTTTAATATTTTTAGTAGAGACAGGGCTTCTCCATGTTGGCCAGGCTGGTCTCAAACTCCTGGCCTCAGGTGATCCCCCTGCCTCAGCCTCTCAAAGTGCTGGAACCACAGATGTGAGCCACAGTGCACAGCCTATTTAATTTTTAATTAACCTGAATTTAATTTTAAGTGATGACGTGTGGCTACTGGCCACTGCACTGGACGATGAAACTTGCAGATTAATTAGAAAATATCCAGAGCCAGTAGTTCCCGCCCCAGGAACCTCAGAAGGTATCTCATTAAAGTGGAGAGCATGCTATGATCTGGGTTCAGACCCACCGCCTCACAAGTTCAGAATCAGACTTGCCAGTACAGCAAGAGAAAATCCACCTATTAGGCATAAATCAAGATAATCTGGCTTGGAAAACTGAAATAAACTACAGGGACAATTTAATTTATAATAGAAGTAACTGCAAAGCAGTAAGCCAAGCTCTTTGCATCAACAAAATCAGCACAGTCCCTTCCTACAGCCAAGTTGACTAAGAATTCCATTGATTAATGAAGAAGTTACACAAATTCACATAAAGAAATTACATCACAAGGCCTAATTTTAAAAATGGGCAAAGGACTTGAGTAGACATTTCTCCAAAGGAGATCTACAAATGGCCAAAAAGCACATGAAAAGATGCTTAGTACCACTAATCATTAAGGAAATGCAAATCAAAACCACAATGATAACCACTTCACAGCCATTAGAATGGTTAATATAAAAACATGGAAAATAACAAATGCTGGCAAGGATGTGGAGCAACTGGCACCTTCGTGCATTGCCGCTGGGATTATGCAATGGTGCAGCCAATGTGGAAGACAGTTTGGAGATTCCTCAAAAAGTTAAACAGAGACTTGCCATAGGACCCAGCAATTCCACTTCTGAGTATCTACCCAAACAAATTCAAAATGGGAACTCAACTAGATCCATGCACGCCAAAGCTCATAGCAGAATTGTTCACAATAGCCAAAAGGTGGAAAAAACCCATAATGTCTATGAACAGATTAATAGATGAATGAAATGTGGTATGTGCACACACTGGAATATTATTCAGGCTTAACAAGAAAGGAAATTCTGATACATGCTACGACACAGGTGAACCTTGAAAACATTGTCCTAAATGAGTGCAGCCAAAGTCACAGAGACAAATATTGTATGATTCAACTTAGATGACATATCTGGAACAAACAGAGACACAGAAACAGAGAGTAGAATAGTGGTTACCAAGGGCTGAGAGGAGAGGGAAATGGGGTTTTATTGTTTAATGTGTACAGGATTTCTGTTTAGGATAATGAAAAAGTTCTAGTAATAGTGATAAGGATAGCAAAACATTGTGAATGTACTTAATGTTACAGAATTGAATACTCAAGAAATGGTTAAAATAATTACAAGTTATTTTACCACAATACAAAATATTTTTAAAACATATCACAAAAACACTAAAACTCAAAATGCCTATTCCAAAGCATTTCTTCCTTTAGTTAAAAGATCCACCCAAAAAGCCACCTTCTAATCAGAAAGTTGCAAGCTGACTATGGAACTGGAAATGAGAAAGGAAGGTGGTTGCAGGAATGAAGTGCTTGGTAGAAGTGATCTTATCAGCAGGTTCACTGGCTCTTATCCCCGTGAATCCTCTCCTCAAAAGCCAGGGTCCTGTTCTGTACTAATCAATTGGAATCCCACGTGGCTGCTCCCCTGGCCACAGAGCTCAGATGGACAGAGCCAAGTTCCTCCAGTGACTTCCCTTTTCTTTACTTACAGTGATGACTGGCCCCACCTCTTCAGATTGATGCATTCTTTAAACATGCTCATACTTCCAATAAAACTACCATTATCATCCCCTACACCTGCAAACCATTCCGTCTCTTTAAAGTACTTTCCTTATATCTGCTGTGATCTGTTGATTGCTTACTTCATCAATTCTAAGTTCTTGTCTTGGGAAGAGGGGTGACTGTACAGATTCCCTTAACAGCAGAAACCACAACTGCCCTTGACCTTACAACTTTCCCCAGAGCAATTTGCATCTGCCTGTGCAGGAGAAAAAGGAAGACATTAACTAAAATCACTTGAAGAGCTTTAGATGCCACATAATTGACTAAGTGCTATACAAACGATTAGGACAGAATTATTGCCATTAATAAATAAAGATAAAACAGCAGGGACAGACTTAATTTGCTCAGTTCTCCATATATCTTTCAAATAAGCCATACTTTGTTTTCTAAGCAATTTATGATGCTAATGGCTTAAGCATGATTCCTGCCACTGGACAAATAATATTGCATAGAGTTTGGGGAAGGGAAAGCTTGCATAAGGGAATGTTCTTGTATTTGAAGAAATATATGTTCCTCCACTGACTTCCCTTTTCATTACTTACAGTGATGACTGGTCCTACCTCTTCAGATTGACACCTTCTTTAAACATGCTCAGGTTTAAATTTAGAGCAGGTATTCAAGAGTGTTAACTACTCTGGATTTGGTGCTAGAGTAGTTAACTCTAGATTTGATTTTTGCACTTCTGTGCAAACTATACCAAAACCCTTCTTGAGTACCTGCTAAGAGCAGTTTCTATGTGAAGTGCTTGGAGATTATTAAAACACATCACTGCCTATGAGACGCTTAAGATGAAGTGAAGGGAACACCTAGGCCTAGGGACCCAAGCAACCTGCTCTAGTTCAAATCTAGAGCAGGTACTCAAGAAGGATTGTGGTATAGTTTGCAAGATGGGTTGTGGTATAGTTTGCATAGAAGCGCAAAAATCAAATCTAGAGTAATTTCCAGGGCTGTGGATTTGTTTAAACCGGCAGAGCAGGCAAAATGTGGTACAATTTACATCAAAAGGACTTAGGTAATCATGCAATTTCTTACCTCATGAAATATACTTAATATATGTTGCCATTTTTATTTAAAAGCTATCTCCTCATACTTGTACAGCCAATAGCACCAGAACATGAATGTTTAGGTGAGTTTTACATGTTTAGGTGTGGTTTTAGGTTTCTTATATATGATATTGAATATGTTGCGTTAGGTGAATGGGGGTGGAAAGTTAACAAGCTTAATTTCTCAATCATACTTTATATTAATTGAAAGACTTGAGTGAGGCATTTGTATACTTTTAACAGTATAATGGAAAGGTTCTTTTTATATTGTATTCAAGCCGGTTGTGATTATTGCAAATAATTGGTTGTATACAAACATCACAGAAGACAGGTGTTTTGGTGTTTTTCCATTTCACACTTTTTTCAAGTCTACAGTCTCAGTTCATTAACAGTTTTATGCTGTGAGAAGGCCACCAGTGACCAGTGACGTGACCTGCAAATAACCATTGATGGTGAAACCAAGGTTTTTAGAAGGCCGGGCGCGGTGGCTCACACCTGTAATCCCAGCACTTTGGGAGGCCGAGGCGGGCGGATCACGAGGTCAGGAGATCGAGACCATCCTCGCTAACATGGTGAAACCCCATCTCTACTAAAAATAGAAAAAATTAGCCGGGCGTGGTGGTGGGCGCCTGTAGTCCCAGCTACTCGGGAGGCTGAGGCAGGAGAATGGCGTGAACCTGGGAGGCGGAGCTTGCAGTGAGCCGAGATCGTGCCACTGCACTCCAGCCTGGGTGACAGAGCAAGACTCCGTCTCAAAAAAAAAAAAAAGATTTTTAGAAATCTTATATCTGAATGTAAGTGGGGAGATGAAGTTGGTGACCTCTGTTAGGAGTTTCAGATGACATTTGACAGTATTGTGATTGACGTTACAACCATGGACACCAGAAGGCCTGGATCCTACCCTACTAGTCACTCCTCCCCCATGAACTTCCCAGAGAAGTGAATAGCTATTCACCCAAGAACAATAGCAGATGAAAGTTGGATTATTATATTAAGGGTTACTCAAACTCTTCCTGGTGAGATAGGGTAAAGGACGTGTTGGAGATTTGTGGGATTACAGATCTACAAGTCCATGCATCTAGTTAAATATGGCCTGGCCCAGGACACAAAGTTGTCGCCAGGACCCCGCCCACATTTTGTCTTCTACATCAGCTTCTTTCCCAGGCACCCTGTCCTCTATGGGAGCTCTGTATATCCAGCTGTGCCTCCTACCTGCTCAGCAGCCATAAAGAGGGTATCTCTTTCTCCATAGGTCCCTGAATGTCCTCAGATTACTCTGCTCTGGTCTGACTTGGGTCACATGCCTATTCCCAAACCAGCCACTGGACAGGGATGTGGAATACACCAATGGGCCAGGCCTCTCATGTGAGTCCTTGCCAAGAAGTGGATCAAGCCACACTTCAGAGTCACATGAACCAGGTATGGCAGAAGGACAGTTTTTCAGAAGAAAAACAGTGTAGTGCCAAAAAAGAGTGGGGAGAGGGGGACAGAAAAAAAAAAACAGCAGATAGGCATTATACCCCAAAATCCAGATCTTGGAAATAGCAAACTTAGGCATGCTAGACAGAGACAGAGAAGCAGAGACAGAGAAGCAGAGTAACACTCAATCAATAGCAGTTGAAGGTATTATGCTCTTTCTAGGCTCCCGTGCTCAGCTGCACCACTGCACTTTCTCATTATGTACAGTTCTCTGGGTCTCTAGGAGTTCCCTTCACTTCACCTTGAGAGCCCCATAGGCAGTGATGTGTTTTAATCATCTCCAAGCACTTCACATGGAAACTGCTCTTAGCAGGCACTCAAGAAGGGTTGTGGTATGAATTTTCAAGATGGAGAACTAAGCTCTACCTGAAATATTCTTTGGGGCATTTGCTTTAGAACTTAGAAAGTTGATCCAGGAAAAAGCAAATCTAGCTCTCTCTGAAAATAGAAGCTAATAAACATCTCAGCATAGCATGACTCTATGCATTATTCTAGGCTTGATTTCCTAATACAACCATAAAATCTAAACGAGTTCCTGAAAAAAAAATTGTTACCTGATGAAACAGACAGCTTGGGTTAGCAGAAATAATGCAGGATTGAGCATCAGATAGCCTCAAATCCCGGTTTCCTTATTTACCAAACTTAGGGAAAATTACTTAACTTGTCATCTTCTGTTTTCTCATCTCTAAGGATTAGTGGACTGTAGGCAATGTGCCTGAAACATAACAGTCATTCAATAAATATTGGCCCTACTGGGCTTAGGTAGACACCCACTATGACCTACCCACTCAGGCCACCAAGGGACCCAAGATGGCTCTGAGGACACCCTGGCCACTCAATGGTGAGACGTTACTGCTGAAGGAAGCAGCTGTGGGAAACAGAAGAGTGACTATCAGGATGGGGAAAACTGGTTTCCTGGTTCCTTCCTCTCTGTGTGTTCCCTGTTCCATTATTTTCTGTTTCTTAGTAAAATCAGAAGACTACACAGGTAGCCTAACTCCCAGTTTCCCAACTTGGAGGACAGACTGCTATACAGAAAGACATAATTCTGAGGAGAAAGGGATTAGCTGATTTAGGAATCTTTCAATCCAAGGAGCACCCAAACTCATCAGTTTATAAATGCCCTCAACATCTCTGTTACCTTTCCTCCTCCTCCTCCTCCTCCACCACCACCTCCTCCTCCTCCTTCTCCTTCTTCTTCCTCTTCTTCTTCTTCTAGATGGAGTCTCGCTCTTGTCATCCAGGCTGGAGTGCAGTGACATGATCTTGGCTCACTGCAACCTCCGCCTCCTGGGTTCAAGTGATTCTCCTGCCTCAGCCTCCTGAGTAGCTGGGATTACAGGCACCCACCACACCCAGCTAATTTCTGTACTTTTAGTAGAGACGGGGTTTTGCTGTATTGGCGAAGCTGGTCTTGAACTCCTGACCTCAGGTGATCCACCTCCCTCAGCCTCCCAAAGTGCTGGGATTACAGGCGTGAGCCACCGTGCGGGGCCTCCTTCCCTTCTTTGTTTATGGTACAGAAAGGCCCTCCATCATCCTACTTTAGAAAATTCTGTCTTATTTCCAGGACGGATTTCTCTCCTCTGTACCAGTTTTCCAATCATCTTTAAGAGTGGGGCAGTTATCATCTTAATGCAAACCAGACAATTTAATAGGGAGGAGGAATTTAATAGGGAAAACGAAGAAGACAACCATGAGTCAACTCCATGAAAAAAAAATCAGTAAAACCAATTAAATGGTGGACTAAATTGGCTGGACATTTTATCTCATAAAACAAAACTTATTGTTCCATTTGGTCATGACTCATATGTCAGTGCAAATCTCCACCCTCTATGATCACTTCCTGGGTGTATCATCCCTCCCTGCTCCCCCGACACACACTCATCTAAGCTATTAATTCAGTCTTATCATCATGGATATTTTTTTCTCCCATTACCATTGCATGATTTCACTTTCTTACTTTCTCAGGCCTAATTTTATTTCTTTTTCCAATTAGTTTTGTGCTTCTTTTGTATGAGTCATATTTCTGAGTATAATTAACAGGAAACTAGTCTTTGCTTATCAAATACTTGCTTGCTGAAATTCCAGAGGTGCCCAGAGCAGGTAGGTAAGTATTCATTATGCTTTCATGGGTGGAAGAACTGACCTGAGTGTTTGGGTGTTGCGGGGAGAGGCACACTGAAAATAGAAATAGGAGATGAATAGACCTAATTGCCCTAAGAAAGATCTGCATCTTTGATTACAGGAGTGAAGGCAGAGGTGTGGGTGGGTTTGCAAGCAGATGAAAACCTTTCCGAAAGAGAGTGACCCTCAGCTGCTTTCCCTTCCCATAGTTACTGGACTTGGCTGGATGAAGTACTAGTCAGAATGAGCAGGATGTGTGGCTCTAATTCCAGTGATTTTCTGCATAAGCAAATTAAGGTACAATTAGAGAGATCAGGTTATACATAGGGAGGTTGTTTCATTCCCTTAGGCAGCACCCAAATTTGCTACAGAGCCCAAAAAGTGGATGCAGGACACACTCTCATGTTTTCTCAGAGCTGCCGTGCTAGCTACCTAACTTTTACAAACCTGGCCAGAAAGATCTCCATGACTTTGCTGTCAGAGGTGAGGTCACTGAAGAGTTCAGCAAGCAGGTTAAGAAGTAGATTCCTCTCCTCATAAAGAGGGCAGGCAACCCTTTCTGCCACCTGACCTAGGACTGGTTGCACAGTGTGATCCAAATAGGATATGTACCAGGAATGTCTGATGATCCTCTGTAGAGCAGACCCTTTCAGAGCTTGTAGTTGTGAAGTTCCATGCTTTTTCCTTATCATTGTCTCCTCCCCCGCATTTACAGAATGTGCATAAAATGATAGGGCCAGAATGAAGTTCAGGAAAGACCTAAATCTTAGACTGTGTCGGTTCATACATTAAAATGACAACCATATTTGGCCAAAGTATGCAAAACATCCTATATTATCCATTAACGGGGACTGCTACAATTGTGGGCCACCTCTGAACTGGAGACAGCCAGTGATGAATTCCAATCACCCAGCAGCAGAAAAGCAGGATGCAGAAGGGTTTTCTTCCATGGGGCATGCGTGGGATGGACTGTAGCCCCTACCACGTACATAGACTTTTCTTGCAGAAGTCGCTACGGCGCATGAAGAACACTTTGGATAAAACAACCTGCTTTCCAAGAAGTAAGAGTGTAGACCTGGGTCCGAAAGTTGACCTAAAGTGTGATCCATGTGGGAGAGAAGCTGATCCCTTCTCAGGGGACAGACATGACTTCTGCCCAATGGGATGTTAGGAGGTTAAAGAAGTTTACCTGTACAGAGAGGTGACATTCTATTTCTCCATAGCTGCACTCAACAACTCATGAGCTTTCGTTTCTTCTGGTATCGGGGGAAAATGTAATCTTGACTCTCACAGGCAACTTAGTGACTTCCAGGCTAAAACCTCTGGGAAAATGCTTAGGCAATTCAAAGCTTGGGTATTTAATCAACAGCTGTATATCAGCAGACTCATTTTGACAGAGGAATGAACTGTGTTCTAAGATATCTACTATACCATCAAGCAAAGTCCTTACCCACCTGCACACACTCCAGCAGGGAAGGAAGCACTAAGCATTGGTGCTGGGGTGGGGGATTTGAGGGCCTTCTCTGCAGAAACTCACACTCAGGGAAGAGGAGCACAAGGAGGTGGTGGTATAGACTTGGAGTGGAAGTGTTGCTTTCTTTAACTTGCTGCAAAACAATTACTAAATGCAAAGACTGGCATCTTCTAAACTCAGGTAGATTAAAGAAAAAAAGTAAACCAAACTTCTTTAAACAAGGGATGAATGTATACATTCTGGAAGAAAAAGATAAGGTGAATCAGATGTTTAAGCCATCACCTGGAGCCTCTTGGAGCAAATGTGTTGATTTTTTTTTTTTTTTTTTTTTTTTTTTTTTTTTTGAGACGGAGTCTCGCTGTCGCCCAGGCTGGAGTGCAGTGGCGCAATCTCGGCTCACTGCAAGCTCCGCCTCCTGGGTTCACGCCATTCTCCTGCCTCAGCCTCCCGAGTAGCTGGGACTACAGGCTCCCGCCACCTCGCCTGGCTAATTTTTTGTATTTTTAGTAGAGACGGGGTTTCACCGTGTTAGCCAGGATGGTCTCGATCTCCTGACCTCGTGATCCGCCCACCTCGGCCTCCCAAAGTGCTGGGATTACAGGCGTGAGCCACCGCGCCCGGCCAAATGTGTTGATTTTGAGACTTGCTGGGGACTCTGGGGCTGAAGTTACTGAGGGCAACGTATGGCCACCGGGGTGACCTGCCCTTTTGGATGCCTGTTCTCCATGTTTCTTCCCTGCAGTCTTAAAGGAAAGCACTGATGTAGGGCTTCATTCCTTCATTGCCCCCAGTTCTGCTGGGGAAGCCATGGTACATTATGCCAAGGAGAATAGACTTGGTGTCATGAAATCGCGTGGCATGGTCAGGAAATGGTAACATCTTAAGTGTAACTATAGTCTACAGTTTATAGTGAAAAGCAGAATAAAATTACAGGTGAATCTTGAAAGAAAGCAAGTTCAAACCACAGAGAGTGATGCCAGAGATCTGGGACCTTCTGGGAAACATGCCAGGAGCCCACTGAAGGGTTTCCATCAGGGAAGTAGTGGGATCGGACTGGGATATGGTGAAGCTCCTGTGAAAGAGGACTTCAATTAGGGACTGACAATGAGAATGAAAAAGGAAAAATTATCAATGAAATATGTTCAGTGGATAATACAAAGGGCTTACATTTCTAATGAGATATGGGGCAGGATGGAAAAAAGGGGAGTCAGGGTGGTCCCACTTCTCTTGGGTACATATAGGGCAGATGATGATGATGCTATAAACTAAAGTGGGGGCACGGAAGGCAGCATAAGTTGAGAGGGGTAGAGACAGAACAAGGGAGATAATGAGATCAATTTAGGACAAGATAAAGCTTGAGAAAGGAGGACTATTTGTGCCCCAAGCTCCCTTTGTCCATAATGTGTCCATGGGAGGTGGTAAAGGCAGTGATGGGATCGTCTGGTACACAAGATTTCAATTCCTTGTTACTATTCTGCTCCTTCTCCCTGAAGGGAGACGGTGTGGAAACCTGGAATTCATGGTGTCATATTTTAATACATTGTGCTGTAAAGGCAGGTCTCTCCCTTCTCCTTCTCATCAGTGCAATAGGTCTTCTGTTTCCCTGTTGTCCTTCTTCCTGCTCAGGTATCACAGCCTGTCCTTGCTTTCTGTCTCCTTGCAGCCAGCCACGTGGGTAATACTTGGCTCGGAGCACATGCACCAGAGTGCCAAGGATGGATGCAGGTGGCAGATGGGGGCTGTATTCATGTCCTGTGGCTGCTATAACAAATGACCACAAACTTGCTGCCTTCAGGCAATCGCAGTTCATTCTCCCACAGTTCTGGAGGCCAGAAATTAGAATCACTGGACTATAATCGAGGTGTCAACAGGAAACCCTTTGGTGGCTGCCATCATCCCTTGACTTGTGGGGATGCTATCTTCTAATCTCTTGTCTTCAAGGCCAGAGTCTTCCAACCTCTCTTTGCTCTCCCTTCAAGTCACCTTCTCCTCTGAGTGTTACCAAATCTCCCTCTGCCTCCCTGTTACAAAGAGTACATGTGATTGTACTTAGGACTAGGACTCACTTGGTCATCCAGGAGACTCTGCCCATCTCAAGATTCTTAATTACATCTGTAAAGATCCTTTTTTTATGCCACAAGGTAACATTCACAGATTTCAGGGATTAGGACATGGCTATCTTCGGGGAGGCATTATTCAGCCTCCCACAGAAGCTCTGAGCACTGGGCAAATCTGTGTTCTCCACCCAGGCTTCTCAGAAGCCTTCCATTTGGGTAGGCTTTGGGCACTTGCCCAGCCATTGACAGAATAGTGAGGTCTCTTTTGAAAGAGAGAATCTTCATGGCTACACTGCATTGAACAGAATCCTAGAAAGAGGGAGGAGTCTTAGGCTTAGAACCCTTTCTAGCTAATTATGATGCCTGTAGACTTCTGATAGAGAGATCTAGAACTCATCAGTGATGACCAAAGGCCAAAGAGTGAGCATTTTTCTTAGGGGATGTGTTTAATGACACTAGGGAAAAGCCAAGGACCAAAATCCAACTGTGCTGGAGGCAGCATGACATCAGGTCATCTCCAACCCCCTGGGCTATACCTTGGCAGCCTCCTAACAAACAATCCCCTCTGGGTGGTTGAGGAAGGGTAAATGTGTCTCAGGTCTCCTTCTCCGAACTGCAAAAAGTTCTGCTGTTAGAAGTGGTCACTGGCTGTGAGTGAAATTCATCTTAAGCACTTTTATGTTGTAAGATTTGTGTACACATCTAATAACTTAAAGACTATTTCTAGCGTTGTTTTCAACTACAAATGAGTTCAAACTTGTATTCAACTGACCTAGAAATAAATTTTTCTGGAACAGAGTTCTTCTGTATTTTGAGGGCTGCATTTATTCCAAAAACAAACTTGCCCTAGTTAGGGTACAAAAGAATCCTGACTACATTTACTATAAAGAACACGGTAACAGTGATCGAAGAGACAAGTCAAACTTAAATTATGAGGCTTTTTTTAAGTTCTGTGAAAGCCAGGCGACAGACGAAGACTGCTAGTTGTAAAATCTTCGCCAGTGACATTCACGCCACCAACTCTTTTTAAACTTGTTTGTGAAGTCTGTTTATCTCATTGACTTTCTGACTTCCACGGTACACATCTGAGTGTTTCTACTTGGAATTAGGAAGCCATCCACTTGTAACATCTCATATTTTCAGACTTTTCTATCAAAGAACCCCAGTGTAGCAGGTCAGTGTTTTTCTTGTTTTGTTTACATTTGTCTTATTTCTTTCTTTCTTCCTTTCTTTTTTTTTTTTTTTGTTGAGACGGAGTCTCGCTCTGTCACCCAGGCTGGAGTGCAGTGGCACAATCTTGGCTCACTGCAACCTCCGCCTCCTGGGTTCAAGTGATTCTCCTGCTTCAGCCTCCTGAGTAGCTGGGACTATAAGTGCATGCCACCACGCCCAACTAATTTTTTGTACTTTTAGTAGAGACAGGGTTTCACTATGTTAGCCAGGATGGTCTTGATCTCCTGACCTCATGATCCACCCACATCAGCCTCCCAAAGTGCTGGGATTACAGGCGTGAGCCATCGCGCCCAGCCCGTCTTATTTCTTTTTTATTTAGTAAAACGTACATAACATAATTTACAGTGTTAACCATTTCCAAGTGCACAATTCAGTCATGTTAAGTATATTCACATTGTTGTGAGACAAATCCCCAGAACTTCTCATCTTGCAAGACTAAAACTCTTTGCCCATTGAACAACTCCCCATTCCCCCATCACCACCCCCACAGCCCCATTCTACTTTCTGGTTTTATGAATTCGACTACCTTAGATACCCCACATAAGTGAACTTATATAGTATTTGTCTGTTTATGACTGGCTTATTTAACTTAGTATAATGTCCTCAAGGTTTATTAATGTTGTAGGATGTATTAGAATTTTCCTCCTTTTTAAGGCTAAACAATATTTCATTGTATGGATATACCACATCTTGTTTATCCATGCATCCATCAGTGGACACTGGCATTGCTTTCACCTCTTGGCTACTTGGAATATTGCTGCTATGAACATGGGCAAGCACATATCTCACTGACATCCTGTTTTCAATTATATTCATTATATATCCAGAAGTGGAATTGCTAGATTATATGGTAATTTTATTTTTAATTTTTAGGGGAAACCTCATACATTTTCCATAGCAGCTGCACCATTTAACATTTCCACCAACACTGCACAAGCATTTCAATTTCTCCATATCTATACCAACACTTGCTAGTGTGTGTGTGTGTGTGTGTGTGTGTGTGTGTGTTCATAGCCATCCTAATGGTTATAGGCAATATCTCATTGTGGTTTTGATTTGCATTCCCCTAGTGATTAGTGATGTGGAGCATTTTTTCCTGTGTTTATTGCCATTTTTATATCATCTTTGGAGAAATTCAAGTCCTTTGCCCATTTTTAATTGGGTTACTTGGGTTTTGCTGCTGTTGAGTTGTAGACATTCCTTATATATTCTGGATTTTAACGCCTTGTCAGATACATGATTTTCCTTTCACTCTATGCACTTTGATGCACAGAAGTTTTAAATTTTGATGGAGTCTAATTTGTCTATTTTTATTTTTCTTGCCTGTGCTTTTGGTGTTAGGCCAGTACTTTTTATACTTTATGTGCATACAATTCATGCATGGACATTGCCAAATGCGTATTCTGATTGAGCAGATTTTAGGTGAGGTCTGAGATTCAGCATTTCTAATTGGCTCCTGGGAGATGCCAATGCCACTGGACCACAGGGACCACCGTTTACTAACCAGGTTCCAGAAAAACAGAGAGAAGGGCCACCAATACAATTAGCCATAAGTTATTAAGTACTTTCCATTTTCCAGAGGCTCTGATAATGAAGCCCTTAACATAATACAAAATTTAATTTTCACAACTCTATAAAGTCAATATTTTATTTAGCCAGAACTTTTTAAGTTCCAATCGATGAAAACACAACCAAAACTAATGCCAATGAAAAGGAATGCTAAAGAAGCATCACAGGGAAGTCTAAGGGTGAAGTTAACCTCAGGGATGACAAGGGTGGGTGTCTCCTCCACTGTTACGGGCCCCTTCCTCTCTCCCTGATCCCCTTATTCTCAGCTCTTTTTGGTTTATTCTTTCCTGTTACAGACAAGATCTCTCCTGTGCAATGGAGACCATGGCTGCCCATAGTTTTTTTTAGCTCATGGGCCTAGGAAAGAGTCAGGGTCTCGCTCATCATCTGTAAATAAGACCCCAGAGAAGGATTGATTGACCTTATTTGAGTCACATTCACAACCTTGAGCCTGACTCTGAGGCTAAAAGGATAGGTCACTATCACTGGCTGGGCCTGAATTTCATGGCCCCCTCCATGACCAGAGAGGTGGGACTTGTGGCATTGGCAGTGCCTCTCCCCAGCACCAGATGGTGCATGGCTGCTTCTCAAGGAAAGGGATGCTGAGCAGACAAAAACAACAGAAGCCAACAACAGTGTCATCATCCCTACTGTATTGTTATGGACTCAATATTTGTGTTCCCCCCAAATTCATATGTTGAAGCACTTACCCCCAATGTGATGGTATTTGCGTGGTGAGGCCTTTGGGAGGCTGATAAAGTTAGATGAGGTCATGAGAGTGGGGGTCTCTATAATGGGATTAACATCCCTGTAAGAAGAGGAACAGAGACCAGAGCTCCCTCCCTCTTCACCATATGTGAGGATACAATGGGAAGGTGGCGGTCTGCAAGCTAGGAGGAGAGCCCTCACCACAAGCTGAATCAGCCAGCACCCATTATTTTGGACATCCAGCCTCCAGAACTGTGAGAAAATAAATTTCTCTTGTTTAAGCCACAAAGTATGTGGTATTCTGTTATAGTAGTCTGAGCTTATTAGGACATTTATCAGTGAGAAAACTGAGGTTAGCAGAGTTTCAATAACCTGCCCTAGTTACACCTCTAGTAAAGAGGAAGAGACTGGTTCCCCCAAACCGTGTGATGAGTGCTATTCAGATGCATACTGTAGGGCCTGGAAAACCCAACTTCTTGCTTACTTACATTGTGCTCACAATGACAGAGTCACCCGGTAACTGCTGGGAGAATTTGACCTCAACTCTGTTGGAAGAATATTCTCACCTGCAATGAAGGGAATCTCACAATTGCACCACATATTTTATTGAATAAGCTTTTCTTGGCATCTTGTAATTGGTGATAAGAATAGAAAATTTCTCTCCTAATACACGATTCTCCTATTGAGAAAAGACCTAGTATTGGACCTAGCTGAGTCAGAGAGAGAAGGATGTGTAACAGAAGAGAGAAACAGCAGGTATGAGCAGGGAGCAGGCTCAGAGCTGGACTCCCAGACCTCCAGGCTCCTGACCCAAGAAAAGAGCCACAAGGTAAGGTAGAGGGGCAGGAGAGGCAGAAGGGGAGGCTTCTTACAATGCTAAGATGGTAAGTTTGAAGCTGCACCTAAAACATGGAATAAATATGAGATTATCATGTCTGGACAGACCAGCTGTTTCCCTGCTATCTCTCTCTCATTCCTCAGATATCAGCTCAAATGTCCCTTCTTCCTGTAGTTCCTTCTTGACCTTCAAATTAAACCAACCCCAGCCCCATTTCAGCCTCTCCTCACACCCTGCATGTGTCTTCATTAATGACTAACTCCTCCACTCAACTGAAAGTTCTGTGAGCTCCCCACTCTATCCCAATACCTCAAATGCCTGATATACAGAAGATGCTCAATTAATAAACCCTGAACTATTATCTATTTTAAAAGAAAAGTTCTATGGTATTTTCATCACTGAGCTAAACAGCTAAAAATAGTATATAACATGATACCCTTTTAACTAATTTTATGGAAATATAAACCAAATTATTTATATTGCTTATTAGTGGGTGGTGACATTGAGGCAGGCTTGTGATATTTTAATGTTTTCTAATTTTTTTCTACAGTGAAAACTTTACCACACAATTTCTGGCATAACAAAAATAAAAAGGGGAAAGCTGTTGTGTTCTAAGTTACTGTGTTTAAAACTAATCAGAAGTTTCTGGACATTAATCCAACACAGAGTTTCCAGCATTCTTAATCTTTAATGCTATCCATTATACTCACAGAAATGTACACCTCATTTGGTGAACATTTGGCAATTCCAAGGATTCTGCATGCTAAGGTTTGCATTTGCATGTGCCATTTGGGTTTGTGTGTGTCATTTTCTAAAATGTTACTATAATTTCAACGAAGTTTGAATTGGTCTTTGAATCACTTTACCAGATGAAAGTGTAAGACAAATGCCTCCCAGTTTTGTACTTCCTAACAAGGTAGCTTCCAACTGTGGCATGTCATTAAAAAGAGATCACTGTCTTCAGAAATGTCTGCCCACCTCAAACCTTAGTTAAGCTTGCAAGACAAAACAAATGAGGGAGTTAAAAATGAAGGTGAAAATTGGTCCAGCAAAATATGGAAATAAAGCCATTGGAGGGAAGGTGTATTAGTCTGTTTTTACATGCTGACAAATACATACCCAAGACTGGGCAATTTACAAAAGAAAGAGGTTTATTAGACTTACAGTTCCACATGGCTGGGGAGGCCTCACAATCATGATGGAAGGCAAGATGGCAGCAGGCAAAAAGAGAGCTTATGCAGAGAAACTCCCACTTTTAAAACCATCAGATCTCATGAAATCCATTCACTAGCATGAGAACAGCACAGGAAAGACCCACCCCCATGATTCAATCATCTCTCACTGGGTTCCTCTCACAACATGTGGTAATTATGGAAGCTACAAGATGAGATTTGGGTGGGGACACAGAGCCAAATCATATCATTCCACCCCTGGCCCCTCCCAAATCTCATATCTTCACATTTCAAAACCAATTATGCCTTCCCAACAGTCCCCCAAAGTCTTAATTCATTTCAGCATTAACTCAAAAGTCCACAGTCCAAAGTCTCATCTGAGACAAGGCAAGTCCCTTCCACCTATGAGCCTGTAAAATCAAAAGCAACTTAGTCACTTCCTAGATGCAATGGGGGTACAGCCATTGGGTAAATACAGCCATTCCAAATGGGAGAAATTGGCAAAAACAAAGGGGCTACAGGCCCCATGCAAATCTGAAATCCAGCAGGGCAGTCAAATCTTAAAGCTCCAAAATGATCTCCTTTGACTCCACGTCTCACATCTGGGTCATGCTGATGCAAAAGGTGGGTTCCCATGGTCTTGGACAGCTCTGCCCCTGTGGCTCTGCAGGGTACAGCCTCCCTCCCAGCTGCTTTCATGCTGGTGTTGAATGTCTGTAGTTTTTCCAGGTGCACAGTGCAACCTGTCAGTGGATCTACCATTCTGGGGTCTGGAAGATGGTGGCCCTCTTCTCACAGCTGCACAAGGTGGTGCCCCAGTAGGGACTCTGTGTGGGGGCTTCAACCCCACATTTCCCTTCTGCACTGCCCTAGTAGAGGTTTTCCATGAGGGTCCTGCCCCTGCAGCAAAATTCTGCCTGGACATCCAGGCATTTCCATACATCCTGTGAAATCTAGGCAGAGGTGTCCAAACCTCAGTTCTTGACTTCTGTGCACCTGCAGGCTCAACACCACACTGCCAAGGCTTGGGGCTTGCATCCACGGAAGCCACAGCCTGAGCTCTACATTGGCCCCTTTCAGCCACAGCTGGAGCGGCTGGGATGCAGGGCACCAAATCCCTAGGCTGCACACAGCATGGGGACCCTGGGCCCAGCCCACAAAATCACTTTTTCCTTCTAGGCCTCCAGGCCTGTGATGAGAGGGGCTGCCATGAAGATCTCTGACATGGCCTAGAGACATTTTCCGCATGGTCTTGGGGATTAACATTTGGCTGCTCATTACACAAATTTCTGCAGCTGATTTGGATTTCTCCTCAGAAAATGAATTTTTTTTTTCTATTGCATTGTCAGACTGCAAATTTTCTGAACTTTTATGCTCTGCTTCCTTTATAAAACTGAATGCCTTTAACAGCACCCAAGTCACATCTTGAATGCTCTGCTGCTTAGAAATTTCTTCCACCAGATGCCCTAAATCATCTCTCTCAAGTTCAAAGTTCCACAAATCTCTAGGGTAGGGGAAAAATGCCACCAGTCTCTTTGCTAAAACATAACAATCACCTTTGCTCCAGTTCCCAACAAGTTCCTCATCTCCATCTGAGACCACCTCAGCCTGGATTTCATTGTTCATATTATTATCAGCATTTTGGTCAAAGCCATTCAACAAGCCTCTAGGAAGTTCCAAACATTTCCACAATTTCCTGTCTTCTTCTTAGCCCTCCAATCTGTTCTAACCTCTGCCTGTTACCCAATTCCAAAGTCGTTTCCACATTTTTGGGTATCTTTTCAGCAATGCCCCACTCTACTGGTAGTAATTT
Organism: Homo sapiens; assembly: GCF_000001405.40. Lineage (NCBI taxonomy): Eukaryota > Metazoa > Chordata > Mammalia > Primates > Hominidae > Homo > Homo sapiens. The sequence goes on along the minus strand of NC_000021.9, from coordinate 38,016,970 downwards.
ACTGTATTAGTCTGTTCTCATGCTGCTGATAAAGACATACCTTAGACTGGGCAATTTACAAAAGAAAGAGGTTTATTGGACTTACAGATCCAAATGGCTGGGGAGGCCTAACAACCACGGCAGAAGGCAAGGAGGAGCAAGTTACATCTTAAGTAGATGGCAGCAGGCAAAAAGAGCTTGTGCAGAGAAACTCCTGTTTTTAAAACAATCGTGCCTTGTGAGACCCATTCACTATCATGAGAAAAGCATGGGAAAGAATTCCCCCATGATTCAATCATCTCCCACCGGCTCCCTCTCACAACACGTGAGAATTATGGGAGCTACAAGATGAGATTTGGGTGAGGACACAGAGCCAAACCATATCAGAGGGGCAGGGCATTTTTCATTAGAATTGGAAGATAAGGACAGACATATACAAAATAGGGCACTCCCTTGCGGCTCAATACTTCTATCCTACTCATACTGTGAGATTCCCTATTCTATTTGCCATCATCAGAAAACCTTTCCCTGAGACAAATAGTGAAATAACTGAGACATATTGTCCAGCATGGGTAAGACACGCTGAGAAATGTTTCATTTATTTGTAGAATTCTAGATTTAAAAACAAAAAAGGTAAAGAAGATTGGATCTGCAGAGATAGACTAATTAGATAAGTTATGGTTTGGGGAGGGATAGGTTTGAACCAGGGCATGCATCAGAATCACCTGTGCAGCTTTTGATGGTCAATGAAAATACCTAGATATACTAGATATATTCCATACCTACTAAAATAGAATACCTGAGGGTGGATCCAGGCACATCAATTTTTTTCTTAAAAAAAAAAAATGCTCTGTTTACCAAGTGCAGCGGCTTGCACCTCTAGTCCCAGCTACTTTTGAGAGGCTGAGTTGAGAGGATTGCTTGAGCCAAGGAGTTTGAGGCTGCAGTGAGCTAGGATTGCACCACTGCACTCCAGCCTGGGTAATAGAGCGAGATCCTATCTCTTAAAAAAGAAACAAAACAAAACAAAAGGAAAACCACACACAGAGAAAAAGCTCTATTGATGATACTGGAATATACCTAAGTTACCTGATTAAAAATAATTCATTTTAAATAAAGCTTTAAGAAATATATTTACCATAGACATAGTTATCACCCTCTTGAGTACATCCATTGGTGTCTTTGAGAAACCATGAGGAACATCAAAGCCATTTCCCACTGGGAGGAGAATGCTGACTGTACTTGAAACTGGATGACAGCATATGAATTTCCATGTTGTCAATCTTCTCTAATCCCTTTGAGAAGTAATTGAAGGATAAATTATGTAATAAGCAAGAAGCCAGTAATAAGTAATAAGTAAACAACTGTAGCAGGATATTAAAATGTTCCTCCAAGGTACAATAGTTATGCAGTTCCAAACTAAAATGCCAGACCAAGAAGCAAATCTCAACAGATGTAGTCCCAAAATGAAAAGCAGATACAATCCCCATGAGTTCCTCGTCACCACAGGTGTTCAAGGGTGGGTGTGTGTGAAGACAGGAAGGGCTTTGAAGAGAATTTCTTTACCAAGAGAAAAAGGGCAAGGGACAAGGGGCAACACATAGGTCTGATTTTTCCTAAGACTTCCAAGGTTCTAAAGACCAGCTGGCTGGCTTCTTCCAGAGGATTCTGAGGCAAGGTGGCTGTGTCGGGATGGGCCTGCCGCCCAGGAAAAGGTCACCTGCAAGAATCCCACCACTTGCCTGGCATGCATGGTGTAGAGCCTGCTGGTAGATGAGGAGTCTGCTTGGCTTTAGCTTTGGGGCTTCCCCTTCTTCTTCCTTGTGCCCCACACCTGGACAAGCTGCAAAGAAAGCCTGGGGCCTCCCTCTGTTGGCACTGCCCGGAGGTTCAAACCATGCAAGCATGTGCCCACTGGCTCACTAGAGGGCTCTTTCAGCCTGCTCTATCCCTTAACCACCAGGTCAGTGTCCTTTCCTATTCTCTAAGCCATTTTAGCCTGTTTGAGAGGCCCACTCTGCCCTCCCCAGAGACCACAATTATGTAAGTTGCAATGCTTTTCGTGCCCTCTTGGATTGTGTATGGATTGGATTATGTGCACCTCTGTCTGCGCATTCAAAACAAACTTTGGGTGGGGGTCCATCTGCCCTGCGGGGAACCATAACACTGTTTGATTGGGACATTAGGACAAATTGCCCTTGGCAAGAGAAGCCACAGGGATTGAGGGCTCCTGAGGTCTGCAGAAAGAGTCAGTGATGAGCTGTGGTAACAGACATCACCTCCACTGAGGGATTACTCAGCAAGAGAACAATCTATGAATAAAAGCAACTTACCAGAGAAATAAATCAGCTTTACACACTGCCTAGGCCCCTGGGGTGTGATGCCAGCCTTCAGCAAGACCTGTTGAGAGAGATTCTCCCTCCCTTCTTATTGCTTTTCTGTCCCCATGCTTCATGTCCAGACAGACCACGCCAAATCTTTCAGAAACAAATAGGGATGATGACTCATAGAGGAGACAATCAATCCCTCCAACCTCCCTTCCCAAGAAGACATGCTTCATTTCCTTCTTCTGAGAGTCAATATCTATCAATGGCACATGCATATACATATTTGACATTGTATAGTAATTTATGATTTACAGAACACTTTCCCACATGTGGTCCCTAGCTTTATAGCAGAATCAACACCTATCATTACAGCATATACGTACATGTGACATTTTGTAGTGACTTATGGCTTATAAAACACATTCCCATATGCTGTCTAGCACTTATAGCAGCCAAATCATACAATGAACTCATTTCAAAAATGTTAATCATTAGACCCTCTAGTCTTTTTTGTAGATGTCATTGCTGAAAAACTTCTCACTTCTCTATATTTGCGAGGAGAGTTTTAGGATGCCAGGGCAGCTTCATGAAGTAGTGAATCATGATAAGTTTCATTTTGAAGGATTCCTGTTCTCATTCAGGGTGGCCCAGATTCTCACAGACATCCCCTGCCTCGATCCCAGCTGCAAAGCAAGCACGAATTTGAATCACTGGGCAAGAGCAGAGTCTTGTGGTTAGGAGCCTGGGCAATGGAATCAGAAAAACTGGGTCCAGATTTTTGCTCCAACCCTTTGCCATCTTGGGTATACTTCCGTTCTTTGCCTCCATTCCCTTGGATAATAATAGGTTCATTACAAGACCTATGTTCTGTGGGTATTAAGTGAGATCATCCTACAGAGTCCTCTGCACACAGCTGGGGCATGGTTAGCACTTACTCACTGTCACTTATGTTTACTATTGCTGCTGGTAATATTTTGGGTGTCACTGATACCTGTTTCCAGAGTATTTGTTGATAATATTGAAGACAAGCGCTATTGCACACCAAAAGAAAACTCCCCCATACAGACACCAACTCATTTATTAATCATTTAACATAAAAATTGGTTTCTTAATTTATTTTGAATATGATCTCTTCAAATTTTTCATATTTTCATATTTATCTAACCTATAAGCCTAGTAATACATTCTTTTTCAACCTTTTAAAAAATTTTAAGTTATTTTGCTTTTATCGTAAACTTATAACCTATTAATAAAGCCCTTAAAATGTTCTACAAATTCATTTCTTATTAAGACAATCAAAACGGAGTTTCAGTCAGTTATAGATGATTTGGTCCAAAATGTCTTTGTCTAAACACAAATGTGTGAATGAATGAAGAGAGAGAGAACTCATTATTCTTCCTAGCCTGTTATTAATCTGGATATGCATTTCAGTGTATGCATCCTGGTTGGAATGGTGACTTACAAATCCATGTTCACAAACTGAAGAGCAAAAGAGAAATTTCAGAAATCATGGTGGATTTAATGACCTTAAACTGACATGCAAACTGTCTGACAAGGAATGTGATTTAGGAATTTCTTCCATCCAAATCTTAAGGAATTGATAGAAAATGAGGTGTAGCTGTTAATGGTGCTGTTATGCAGGAAACAACTCCCAACCGCATGAATACAGAAAAAGAATGAAACTCAAATGCAAAACCAGCATCAGGCACTGAGGACGGCAGCGTCACAGCAAACATTCACAGTGCAGCTTGCATAATGAAGCAGGGACAGCTTATTCTGCAGCAAAGATGCTGACTATACTAATTCTAGAAAGCCTGACAAAGCTCTGACCAGCTTCCATGAGGCATAGCATTTACCAGAAACAGCAGGGGAATTGTGACTCTCAAGTTGAACGAGACATGTTATCCCTTTATTTTGCCAGAAGTTCTGATTTCTCTCTTTGTTCAGTCCTGCACAGCTGATGTGAATAACAGTGTCTAGACTGAAGGACACACGAACAATTGTGTTAAATTACTTTTGAAGTCTGTTTGAGAATACATACCTAACTGTTGATGTCTGTTTGCATATATGTTGCCATCATTTTTTGCAGTTGCTCCTCCCAAGCCTAGGAATCCTAACAGCTCCCCACTCTTGCTAGCTCCAAAGTACTGCACTACCCCAAGAGTCTCCTTCCACTTGCCCGTAGCTCTGTGAATAAATGTCTTAACGTGTCCTCGGTTGCTTCACTTGAGTGTGTCATGTTTTCTACCAGGACTCTGATACAGCCTTCCTTCTTCATCGTTTTAAAAAATGTAGAATAAAGAAAGAACCATAACTGTAAGACATTTAAGGACTCTGTTTTGTTGGGCACCTCAATATGTGGATTACACAGTAACCCCAGGAGGAGGGCCTATTGTATTGTTGCTTAGTTATTCTGCTTAAACTACCACAGATAAAAGCACATATTTGATAATCATGGCTAGTATTCTTTCGCAGCGAAAATGAGTTCCAGAAATTTGAAACAAGTGATTTAAATTAGGTAATTATATTGTATTCAAGAATGAGAGATATAAGACCTTTAAAAACTACTAATCTGTCCAGACCATCCTGGCTAACACGGTGAAACCCCGTCTCTACTAAAAATACAAAAAATTAGCCGGGTGTGGTGGCGGGCGCCTGTAAATCCAGCCACTCGGCAGGCTGAGGCGGGAGAAGGGCATGAACCCGGGAGGCGGAGCTTGCAGTGAGCCGAGATGGCGCCACTGGACTCCAGCCTGGGTGACAGAGCGAGACTCCATCTCAAAAAAAGAAAAAAAAAAACTACTAATCTGCACTTTGGGAGGCCGAGGCAAGCAGATCACCTGAGGTCAGGAGTTTGAGACGAGCCTAGCCAACATGGTGAAACCCTGTCTCTACTAAAAATACAAAAATTAGCTGGGCATGATGGCAGGCGCCTGTAATCCCAGCTACTCAGGAGGCTGAGGCAGGAGAATCGCTTGAACCCGGGAGGCAGAGGTTGCAGTGAGCCGAGATCATGCCACTGCACTCCAGCCTGGGCGACAGAGCAAGACTTCATCTAAAAAAAAAAAAAAAATTACTAATCTGAAAGATGGGTGAGGAGGGAGATAATTGCAGTGATCCAAAGGTAAACCTATATCTGAAGCCCATTTAGTTTAGTTTCAACAAGCTTGGTTTCTCAGATTCAACGAGTGCCCTGTGGTGACATAAGACGGTCACATTAAGGGAACAGAACCTGGGTGAGGGAGATCCAAGGGGAGCTCTCAACACTCTCTTTGCAACTTTTCCGTAAATCTAGAACTCTTCCAAATTTTAAGTTTATTTATTAAAAAAACTCAGCCTAAGGAAATACAAAACTTTCCATATTAACAATTTTCATTATAAGTCATTTGACCTGTACTCACACATTGATAACTAAGAAAACAGAGTATTCTGAAAAAAAACTTAATTTTCAAAAGGGGAAATCGTATAAGCAAGCTTCTGAGAAGCAGTCATCAAGGTTTTTTTCCCTGCTTTATTTCTTGGTTATTTTTTAGGTTTTATAAAACAAACTTGTATTAATATAATTTAAAATGATATTTTATGATATCATCAGGTATGATATAATATTTCATATACAGAGTGCCAAGATATATTGAATATATGTTTCAATATAAAATATTTTATATTTTAATATGATGTGATATTTTATAACAATTCATTTCAGTTTTAGTTTTTAAAAGTAAAAAAGCTCCTTGTGGGGAAAAGAGTGTCCACTGCTGAGTATACTTCCAGCCCCACCTACCCTTTCATCCTATAATGGAAGAACGCCTATTGTCCAAAAGTTCCTTCTTCTTTTTTTTTTAATTTTATTATTATTATACTTTAAGTTTTAGGGTATGTGTGCACAACGTGCAGGTTTGTTACATATGTATACATGTGCCATGTTGGTGTGCTGCACCCATTAACTCGTCATTTAGCATTAGGTATATCTCCTAATGCTATCCCTCCCCTCTCCCCCCACCCCACAACAGTCCCCGGTGTGTGATGTTCCCCTTCCTGTGTCCAAAAGTTCCTTCTTAGGTATGGGGATCTCAGCAGTTTCATTTCAGTGGCCACAGCTTGGGAAACAGACTTCTCCCAATATCAAAGGGAATCAAGTCCCCCTTTTTTTCTCCAGGCCTCGGTCTGCAGCATCTGTGATGCATCAGGTGGGTTTTGTCTGGGGTTTCTCTCTCCCTTTTCCAGCCACTGATTGTGCTGCTGGAAATGAAAAGCAGCCCCTCATTCTAGAAAAACTGGTGCTCCATCAACAAGAGGTGCAAGGACATTTGTAATAAGGAAGAAACACACTGCTTAGCTACAACAAAAGTGGGCAGAAAGTGATGAATAGGTAGAAAAGCAGGCTTTCAGTTCACAGCTAACATTTTTGGAGTGTTGATAAACGGCAGGAGCTAACTACTCCAAGTGCTGTACAAATGGTACCTCCCAGCAACCCCATAAAGTGAGTATTGCTGTCAACATCATCCTCATTTTACAAATGAAGAAACTGAGGCACGGAGAGATTAAATGGCAGTAAAACAAGAAGCTGGAATTTGAACAGAGACATCCTCATTCTAAGACATGAGCTCCTAACATCTGGGCTATAATGATCATTGCCAGTACCTGAGCATGGAATATCTATCACAAGAGGAAAAAAAAATCTAAATGAATGTCTATTATTCATTAAAAAATCACAAGGCCATCTTGTTTGCTTTTTCTGAAAGAAGAGCACGTAGTTTCATATGTAGCTTGAGTATACTTAATGGTTTTAATGGACCTATTTGACAGTCTCATAATTTATTGAATTCACACATGTGAAAACAAAAATCCCCTCAGGCCATTTTGGATCACAGCTTTCTCACCATCATTAACAGTGGTTTCTTATCCTCCTGATTCCCCCTTCACACGGATTTAATAACAGCGTTTGACTCTCATTATTATGTCTCATTTTCTAGGCAATCTGTCATGTCTATTGTTTATCATCTCATCATCAGAGAAAGCCAGTAGGTCTTCCTCGTATTAAATCTTGTGCAAGCGGGCAATTGGTTTATGATCTATAACAAAATTGCTCAGCTCATTCTTGTGATCAGTCAAGTGATGAACAAGTATTCTCTGTGTTTTAAAAGGGAATTGTTTTCTGCTTTTCTCAACCTTATCTCCCTTGGCATCTCCACATGAAATTGATTTCAGCCAAAGTGGTCTACTTCCCGACTCCTGAAATGCAGTTTTCCTGTGGCTCCCTCCCTCATCTCTGTGTGCCATTATCGTCCTCCATTCAGCCCTCCGCTCTGGGGCTATTCCAGCCAAGAGTCATATATTCGAATTCCTATGGCAACCACTAGTTTATGTTCCTGCAATATCTCTTCTGGTGTTGTCTGAAACACTTATCACAATGTCATACTCGTTTAACTTTTTTGTGTTACTGTGCTGAAATCTACAGAGTGTAACTTTCTTGAGGCAAGGACTGGAGTCTGTCTCCTTTTACCTCCTGGAGCATACTGCCTTCTCCATAGAGGAGGGCCATAAATTTGTTCATTTATGGATTCACTCCAGATCTCTGGCTCCTCTCTGCCTCAATGCAGGCTTCCCAATGGAACAATAAGGCAGCCATCTCCTTCACACCCCACATCCAGCCCACCGGCAAAGCCTTCCGGCTCCACTGTTAAAACAGCCAGAATCTGACCACTTCTCTCACTTCCACCGCCACCATCCTGCATTAATGCAGCAGCCTCTTCAGTAAGATCCTGCCCCCCCTGCTTGTAAGTCCTGTACAAGATTCTTTATAGAGCAGCCAGAGTGGTCTTTTTAAACAGCTTTATGAAAATATAATTAATTCACATATCCTATAACTCACCCATTTAAAATGTACAAGTCAGTTTTTTTTAGTGCATTTACAAAGTTATGCAACCACCACCACAGTTAGAATACCTTCAATACTCCAAAAAGAAACCCATTCCCCTTAGTCCTCACCCCTTCATTCCCTACTTCCTCAAGGCCCTGGCCTTCACTAATCTGCTGTCTGTCTCATTGAAATGTCTGGACATTTCACATAAACAGTATCACACAGCACATGGCCTGCTGGGTCTGGCTTCTTTCACTTAGCATAATGTCCTCAAGATTCATTCATACATGTCATAGTATTTATCAGTTCTTGACTACTTTTTATTGCCAATTAATATTCCCTTGTATGGATATACCACATTTTATGTATCCATTCATCAGCTAATGGTTATTTTTGGTTGTGCCTTTTTGGCTATATGAAAATCCTGCTATGAACATTTGTGAACAAGTTTCTGTGTGGGAATGTTTCATTTTTCTTGGACATAGACATAGATGTGGGGTTGCTGGATCATATGGTAATTTTATGTTTAACCTTTTGAAAAACTTCTAGACTTTTTTCAGAATCAGTTGCACCACTTTACATTCTCTCCAGCAATGCACAAGAGCCCCAATTTCCCCACATCCTTGTCAACATTTGGTACTGCCTGTCTTTGTGATTCTAGCCATCCTGATGGGTGTGAAGTGGTATCGCATTGTGGGTTTGATTCGTATTTCCCTAACAATGAATAATGTTGAGCATCTTTTTATGCTCAATGCCACTAGCCATTAGTGAAATGTAATGTATATTGGCCACTCGTAAATCTTCTTTGGCGAATTGTCTATTCACATCCTTTGCCCGTTTTAATTGGGCTATTTATCTTTTTATTACTGACTTGTAAGAATCCTTTATATATTCTATCTGTAAGTTCCTTGTCAAATGAAAGATTTGCACATTTTTGCCCATTCTGTCTCTTCTTTTTTTTTGAGATGGAGTCTCATTCTGTCACCCAGGCTGGAGTGCAGTGGCACGATCTCGGCTCACAGCAACCTCCACCTCCCGAGTTCGAGTGATTCTCCTGCCTCAGCCTCCTGAGTAGCCGGGACTACAAGCACACACTGCCACGCCCGGCTAATTTTTTGTATTTTGGTAGAGATGGGGTTTCACCGTGTTGCCTAGGCTGGTCGCAAACTTCTGAGTTCAGGCAGTCCATTCACCTCAGCCTCCCAAAGTGCTGGGATTACAGGCGTGAGCCACCGTGCCTGGCTCCCATTCTATCTCTTAACAATCCTTTTAAACATATCTCGTTTCTCTTCTGGCATTCCTTCTCACTAGAGAGGGAAATTGTGAGAACTTTGATTTCTTGGCTTGCTATTCAATCTGCCCTGCTCCCCGTCACTGACCTGACCTCATCTCCTACTACCCCCAGTTCACTCACTCCATCCCAACCATGGGGGCCTCTTTGACAATCCTCCTGCCTTGAGACCTGTGCATCTGCTATTCCCTCTTCTCCCAGATGTCTGCATGTCTCCTTCACTTCCTCGAAGTCATTACTCAGATAAAAGGTTCTCAGAGGAGCCTTCCCTGCCCACCTCATTTACCTGACAACCACCCCACTACCTGGAGCTCCTCACCCCCATCTTTGCTTTTCCTTTCTCTGTAGTACTCATCACCAAACATACTATCTATTGTTCTTATTTATCTGTGCATTTCTCTCTCCCCCACTAGGCTATGAGTCTGTAAAGCCAGGGTTTTATGTTTTGTTCACTGCTTATATTCTCATCACCTACAGTGGGCTCGTAGGATTTGAAGTAATGTGCTTCTGAAAACCTGCAAGGAAATCAAAGTTCTAACAACGAAAACATATTTTAAATTCAATCAAGAAATGTATTTTATAAAGTAAATACGTACGTTTTATGACACATAGCCTTAGAAAAAGAGGTTCTTCCAGACCTGTCCATTTTATAGTTTTTCGTAGAATCTTTTTCTTTAATTTCAACAGACTGCAATTGAGCCATCCAAGGATACAATCATAGCAATCAAAAAGAGTGACTGGAGGAAGAAGGAAATGAACATAGAAGAGGAAAAAAAAGAAATCTTGATTTTCCCTCATGCTATAGAAGGGAATGGTGCTGTTATATTTTTGGCCTATCCAGAAAACCAATTATGAAAATAAACATAAATGGTTTTCTGCCTCATGGTTTAGAAGCACCTCTGTGTGTTTGCTCACTGAATTGTTGTGATGTTTTGCTCTCCATGATTTGGAAGCCAAACCAATAAAGCAATTTTATCCTCTCAATTTGCTTATGTTGCTTTCTGCCATTATTAATAATGAGCCCAGCAACTGGGTTAGTTCTGTAATTTTAGGGTAGATTGACAGCTACAATGTTTTGACTAGGATACCAGCCACTTACCTCTGCTGTATATAAATATCAAGCATCCTGCCCATAAGTCCATCTCTCTTTTCATTATTCCTTGATCTATCTTGATTTTATTTACCCAGATTTTCTACGACATAACATCACATCACTTCACCCATCTCCTGTCTTCCACGAGCATTGGTAGAAATCCTTCAAGTCACTACTTCCACTGCTATCGTGTGGTTCAGATGTCATTATTTCTCACTAGATTCTTGCAACAGACTCCTAACTGGTCTGTCTTCATGCTTCCCCACTACCAGTAAGCAAGCAGCTCTTCCCCACAAAGTAGCCTGAGTGATCCTTTTAAAGCCTAAGTAACAGGAAAAGCTTCATGTCATTCCTCCGGAACCCATTTCATTCAGAGCAGAAGTCATAACCCTCAGACAGCCACACCCACCTGCTCACATCCAGCTCCTCTGGCTTTGCTGTCCCTGAAGCATGCCAGGCACACACACAGTCCCACCTCAGAGACACTGCACTCGATGGCCCTCTGTCTAGAACATTCTTCCTCTAGATGCCTGCCTGACTATCTCCTGCACATCCTTTGGGTCATCATTCAAATTACATCTTTTTCAGTGAGGACTTCCCTGATCATCATATTTAAAATAGCTGTGTCTCCCCTAACCCCAGAACCTGTCTAACCTATTCCATGACCTACTTATGTTGCTGATGGTCTGTTCCTCCTCCCCACAGTGCAGTGAGGTAAATGAGGGCACAGCTTTTTATCCATTCTGTTCACTACTGCTTCTCAGTGCCTGACACATAGTAGACACTCAATATTTTGTTGAATAAATGAATTAAATGTGTGAATGCACACTGTCTGCCTACATGGGTAATAGCTGTAATCGCTCCTGAACAGCTTTTCCAGCACCTTAGAAGAGAATAGGTTTTCATTTCTCCTGGGTATACACCAAGAGGTGGAATTGAGGGGTCAGGTAATAAACCTATGTTTAACCTTTGGAGGAACTTCCAGACTGTTTTCTAAAGCAGCTTCACCACACTACATTCCCACCAGGAATCTATGAGGGTCCCAATTTATCTACATCTTGGTCAACAATTGTTCCCATCTGTCTTTTCTATTCTAGCCATCCTAGTGGGTGGGAAGTAGTATCTCACTCTGGTTTTGATTTGCATTTCCCTGTAGAAGACATCTGCTGGGTAGACCTCAAAGGGACAGAGGGACACAACTGTAGCAGCCTCAGGGATCCTGGGCTCACCTCCAACAGACCCTCAGCCAGAGGGAAGAATGAAACTTAGTTGACTGTGGAGGGGCTGGAATGTAGCCACTGTTTGCTTTCCCTGGCATGGTCAGAAAACACCAGTGGGAAATAAAGGAGACCCAACTGGGATGATAAGCCCACACCCCAGTTCTTTCAGGCTCCACCTCTGGCAGGTGAGTGGGTTGAAAGCACAGGTTTATTTAAGGGTCTTCCAGGGAACAGTTCCTGTTTGAATGGCAGGAATGACAAAAGTGTTATTGGAGATGCCAGTCTTACAAATAGTTTGAAAATCTCTAAGTAAGCTCAGTTTGTCAGCTGCATTTTGGCCTCACCAATCTTGCCATCTTTTAGAGCTTATCATCAACTAGAATTGAGGGGCGTATACCAGACTTCAAAATTAACATGACAAGGGACTGAAATGGAAACTGCTCAAATTAATATTCCCATTGTGCGTCTGAGCTGAAGGGTGTTACAGCCTTTCCCTTCCCCTGCAGTTGCTAACTATTGAAAAAAAAAAACACCAGGGATTACCTGCAACTCTCTCCTTTAAAGAAAAGTTTGCCTTCGCCTTCCTGGTTAAAAGGCAGCACTTACGTCCTTGTGTTCTATCAGTGCTAGACTTTAGGAAAGGACCCTCCAGCCAAGATGACAAATTGTCCCAAAATAGTGTTCTCCAGCAGAATTAGGAGGAGAGCACCCTGAATGAGTAGCTGCCACCATAATGGTCAGCGGCACCTCTCCACTCCCAGTCATCTCTTCCCCAGCTACCTGCCACCCTCTGGGAGAAGACAGGAACTGAGAAAGGGGAGATAACTGTTGGGATCAAACGAGCATCGTAGGTCTTACTTACGCTTGTCCTGAAGGTCAGTACAACCTGCTAGCGTTCTGTGAGCCAGACTAGCATGAAAACAGTCCTGGATCCTCATAACTCCATTTGCTTGACTTTTTATCCTATTAAGCATTACACCCCACTGTGTAGTTATTTCACTGTGCCTGGGCAAGTGTGTTATCTTCATAACGAGCTTGAAAATGTTTCAGGGGCAGAAACCGCATCTTGTCATTTTCTATTTTTTCCCTCAGAGTGCCCACCAAGCCCAGTGCCAACTCCCCAGTGGGTGCCCAACTGACCCCTGATGAATCAAACTCACCAGTGTTGCCTTCCTAGCTTCATACACCCGTGACACATGGTTAAAATGTGTGGGAATATATGTAGGGTTAAGGAAATGAACATATAAATGGAATGGGAAGCTGAGGCAGTACCTGCTATCCACTAAGATGGGGGCCCTCAGCTGATTTCCATGTGATTATTTTCCAGATACCTCTAAGCATCTCTCCAGACAGCTCCATGAGTTAAGCCTACATCCTCCTACCTTTAAAGACATGAATCTGAGATCCACAGAAGTCAAGTTATTGGCTTAAAGTCATAAGAGTACTTGGTTGTGAAATTGACACAGATCTTTAGCCACCCCTCTCAGGGTTTAAAAATGCTAGTTTTTAAAGATACTTTTAAAACAACCCTTTGATCCCTTTCACAAGTCTAACTTTCACAAGTCTAACTTGGTCTTCAAAAGCTGTCTCTGTTCTCTTTGCACTAATATCCCATTGCCTTACGGTCTACAGTCTGTTCAGCAGACCCATGGAGTGAACTCAATAAATATGGCCAACACATGAGAGCCACTGGAGACATGGTGGAGCAGGAGTCCTGTGTGAGTTCACAAATTATTCATGACAGGTGAGCACAGCACCCCGTGTGTCCATGACAATGAGTGGGTCCTCAGTGCGTCACATGGAGCAGCTGTCCCTGGGAGTTGCTTTCTCCTTCAGTGTCCTTCCAATTTATCTTCTTCCCTGCTGGACATTCTTCCGCTTACTACCTAGATTTTTTTTTTTTCCTGGGAAGCTAAATGGCACTTTGGTGCTCAAATGGACCACCTGCCAGGTCGTGAACATTTTTAATTTTTCTGCTAGATTTAAGTACTGCTGAGAGCCTCTTTTGAACAGATATTCCCTCTTGGTCTGAGCAAGAGGCTGCTGATGGTTTCCATGGAGCGGGCTGTGCCAACAGACTCCAGAGGCTGGCTGGCAACCACTTTGTCCACAGGCAGTCAAATCCCTCAGCAGATGGTCTGGGGGTGCTTCATTTTGGCCAAGGCTGCCCCTGCACATTGATTCTATGTCCCATGTCCAGATCAGGAAATGTATCCAGAGGAGAGGAAGTCAACCAGAAGGGAAGTCATCTTCAGGCTTATTTGAAGAAGTGATGTACAAGTTCATGTTAGGGTGCTCACCTCATCACACAGAAAATCCAGCATCCCATGTCTCAAGCAGATAAACTGCATCCTGCTCATAAATCTCACTTCAGTTCATAAATTGTGCAAAAAATAATGGTGTTGCCTGTTTCCAGTACTTCTCTGGGGAGATATTATGGCAAGAGCAATTTTCAAATCACCGTTTCTCTTTTCCAGACCAGGTTAATGCAGTATTGTTAACATAGAAAAGGGCTCACTGGTTTTACTTTGCATCGTGAGGACTGGCTCCACAAAGCACCAGCTGTTTTTCTGAACCTACCAAGTGTTCCCAAGCCAGCAGTTTGACAGCCTCAAAAGATACTTGCATCTAACTGGGAGCATCTTAGTAAGAATGCTTTCTTCAGTCTACAAACTGTAATTCTCTATTCCTCTCCTACATGCTCAGCCTGCCAGTAAATAGCCTGTTGTATTCAACTTTGATCACAACTTGTTCTTGATGTTAGGTTTTCTCCATGATACACTGAGCACCAACAATGACACTGAGTCTCAATGTGGTTTCTCACTGGATGCTGATGGTCTACTGCATCCGAATTTGGACTGCATGTTCAGTCAAGGCAAAATTCAAAACTTTTTGATAAAAGTTCAAATCAATGGAGGAAGGATGGTTTTCTCAACAAATGCTGCTGGGGCAATTGGATATCCATAGGTAAAAGGAAATTAACCTTAACCAAAACTCACACAGTTCACAGAAATTTACTAAAAATCGACCATAGATTTAAAGGTAAAATGTGAAACTATAAAACTTTTATAGGATTACAGAGTAAAAACCTTCATGACCTGGGCTATGCAACGAGTTCTAGACGTGATGTAAAACCACAGTGAATAAAATAATAAATCTATGAATTGGACTTTATTAAAATTTAAAATATTTGTTCTGTGAAAAGTCCTGCTAAAATGATAAAAAAAACAAGCTGCAGTTTGGGAGAAAAATATTTGCAAGCCATGTTATCTGACAAAGAACCTATATTAAGAATATAGAAAGAAATCTAAAAATTTAACAGTAAAAAACAATCCAATTCAAAAATAGGCAAAAGATGTGAAAGGACACTTCACCAGACAGACTATGCAGATGGCAAATAAGCACATAAAAAGGTGTTCAATATCATCAGCAATCAGAGAAATGCAAATTAAAACCATTATATCACTTTATATCACTATGTATCTATCCAAACAGCTAAAATATAAAATGATGACACCACCAAATGCTAGCATTGCTGATGGGAATCTAAAATAGTGCAGCCACCCTGGAAAATTTGGCAGTTTCCTAGCAAACTAAATATACACTTACCATACAACCCAGCAATGGCATGCCTGGGCATTTATCCTAGAGAAATGAAGTTATGTCCACACAAAAACCCACACATGAATTTTCATTGAAATTTTATTTGTAATATCCAAAAACTCAAAACCATCAAAACGTCCCTCAACAGGTGAATGGTTTAGCAAACTGTGATTAATACCATGGAATACTTCCCAACAATTAAAGGGAGGGAAGTATTGATACATGTAACAATTTGGATAGATCTCGAAGGCAGTATCCAGGCTGGGAAAAGCCAATC
This sequence comes from Homo sapiens, assembly GCF_000001405.40. NCBI lineage: Eukaryota > Metazoa > Chordata > Mammalia > Primates > Hominidae > Homo > Homo sapiens. The sequence continues at coordinate 38,001,320 of NC_000021.9, read as the reverse complement.
TTAACAAGTCATATGCTATATGATTTCATTTATGTAACATTCTTGAAAAGAGAAAATTATAGACATGAACATATTAGTGTTTGCCAAGGGGTGAGGGATAGTGGAGAGAGTATTGGAGGAAATGACTAGAAAGGGATAGTATAAGAGAGGTCTTTATGTTGATGGGACAATTCTGTATGGCATGGAACTATATGCATACATTGCACCATTATAAATATTCTAATTTTGATATAGTGCTGTAGGTAGGTAAGATGTAATCATCAGGGAAACCTGGTGAAGGATACACAGGATCTCTCTGTACTGTCTTTGCAAATTCCTGCAGATCTATAACTATTTAAAAATAAAAGCATTGAGAAAATAAATAACCCAAACCATGAGGAACCTTTGAGAAAAGGCAGGAACATGTGAAGAATATGTTACTACAATTTTTGTGTGAGCTGTGGCTCACAGCTATGAGGTTGTCGTGGGCTTCCCTGACACTGCCAGAGTTCTCAGCACCTGAACAGCCTCCAAGCAGATGTAACCCTGGCCAGGTGATGCTGCATCCTCAGCATGCCGTGTGAAGTGGGGTGTTGGCTGTGGAGCTGCATGAAACAGGTCTGCAAGGAACACACCATTGGAGGCAAAACTTTCTGGAAAGCAGGGGAATGAAGAAAATTGAATTTACCAGAATTCTCAAGAGGATTAGCACGCATAGGTGAAAGGAGTTCTTGGATAAGGTGCTGAGGGGACAGGCAGGTGGATGTGATATCACAGATTCAGGTAAACTAAATCCCGCCAAGTGACCTGAGTCCCCTCACCCACGGAGTTTCCTTGTACAGATTTGGGAGTGCTTGGAACCAGGATAGAATCCCTTGAGACTACTGAGGAGGGACCAGGGATGTAACGGGTGACCTTCCTTCCACACTGAGGCCCCCTAGAAACAGACCCACTAATCAGAGATTACTGATGTGGAAGGGCACTGAGATATGAGCCTGGCACTAGCCTCCGAAGCCGCTGCTGCCACCGAGAATGGGTGCAGAATCTCGCAGGACCCAGCATGTCCCAGGCTGAGTCTCTCCATCACTTGTGTGGAAGGAATGGGTTTGTGACAATGACCAAGCGGAGAAATGCAGCAACCGAAGCCCAGAGTCAGGCTTCCAGGTCAGTTTTATTCTCAAAGCATGACTTCACCACCTGTTACCCTTCCCTTAAATATAATACTCATAATTTTGTTATTAGGATCCTTGTGAGTACATTGCTCCTACCCTAGAAATCCCCAAGGCCCTCCCATTTCAGGATCCTTAATTCAATCACATCTGCAAAATCTGTCTCACCATGTCAGGTAACATATTTGCAAGTCCCAGGTATTGGGACAGGGATATCTTTAAAGATTGTTATTTAGCCCACCACAGATACCAAAACAAACAAACAAACAAAAAGCTGGCGGTGGCAGTTTAATAAACGCCAGGGTGCGGGAATATACGAGTATTTGAAATTAGACAATTAGGTAGCATTTATGAGGATAAGTCTGACTAAAAACAGAAACATCCTATAGTGGCAAATCTACAGGGCTATTTCTTCATTAATTCAAGAGCTGAAATTATTCTCTTTCTTCTGTCAATAAAGAACAAGGCATGTAAATAGTAAGCACGTGATACAAAATAAATTTCTAAAATTAATTATTTTCTACATATCATTAACAACCAATTTAAAAACATGGTTGGGAAAGATTTCAGTCACCATTGCAACAAGATAATTAATGAGAAATCTATTAATACAAATTAATAAGAAGTGTGTGGAAGCCATATGAGGAAAATTTTTAAACTTTATGGAAGGATGTAAAAACACTTACGTCATTATATTGATTCTTTATGTTTCTGGATGGAAAGACTAGATATGGGAAAGATAGCAATTCTCTCAAATTAATTAAATGTTCAATGCAGTGACATTATGAAGATGGAACTTAAAATCGAATTCTCAAATTTGTCTTGAAAAATAACAAAGTTTTTTGAAAAATAATTTTAGTGAAGAATGGTTCTAATATTTTATCAGGTATTTGAGAATATTTATAAAGTTATAGCAATTTCAGAAATAATGGTTCTGGCTAAAGAGTGAGCAGACAGAACAATGGAACATAATAGACACCCTGGGACAGTCCTGAATATATACATGAGAATTCAGTTTATTATGTAAGATGGCATAACAATAATGGCAAAAAGAAAAATCATTATTTGAAGTAGTTTAGAATAACTGATTAAATATTTAGAGAAAAATATTAGAGCCTCAACTTAATACTATACTCCAAAGCAAATTCCTGGTGGATTAAAAAAAAAAAGTCAATAATGAAAAAGCCTGGAGAAAAATGAGTTTGATCTTGAGATGAAAAAGCAACCTTCTGAGCATAAAAAATAATGAGAGAAGTCACAAATGAAAAAGAAATTCATAAAAATGTGAAATATCCATATGTCAAAAAGCTAACAAAATATTAAATAACAAAATGAGAAAAGATGTATATCAGAAATATTACCATTAAAATGTTAAGACTCTGAATATATAAAATGGTTACAACCCAATGAAAAATGGACAAGAATATATTATGTAAGATGGCATTAAAATCATGCATAAAATTATATCTCAATTTGAGTGAGGCTGAACACTTTATGTGAATTAGTCATTTATGTTTCCTCTTCTGTAAATCTGCTCACTGATGGTGAAGTTGTGATGGCTGTTTATACAGAAGCTCTTCTCTCCCTGGGAGCCAACACAAATGCATTGAACCACTAGAAATACTTCATAAGATATTTTTATAATCATGCATTCGGGAAAAGCATGGCTTGATCACAAATGCAAAACATTTTTCTACAATGTATGGCATATGACGAAGCCACCTTCAATTGGGGATGTCAAGATGGGCTCATCTCATGATCTTGACAGACAATGCCCCTTAGGTAATATGATTTTGTGGGTAACAGCATCAAATAAATTCATTATTTTGGTTATAGTTACCAAAATCTGGAAATGTCAATTAATCTGGGGCAGGTCAGATCCCAGGCATTCTGGGAAAATGGTATTTTATCCTGTGTATAAACTTTCAACCTAAGGAATCTTCAAAATTAAATAGAAAAATTTAAACCTCAGAGCTCAAGCTTATTAATTTGTCCTCCCCTAAAGACATTGTTGGCAAATGTATCAAGCAGTGATAGTCATGATCATCAGATCGATTTTTGGTTTATAATTCGTTTGCTGAGTTCAGTTCAGTTTTGAGTGCCTTAGAAGCAACACTAATCCCATCATGTCTGATAAGTATAAAATCAAAAAGTGGGTGGAAAATGTTAGAATGCAGATGGATAAGATTATTACTGAGAAATAGAACCAATTAAAGCAGAAGAAGTAAGATAAAATGACAAATTTCATTTGGATGTTATTGTAGGCAGAATTTCCAAATGGGACTCCCAAGGATTTCCTACCCTACTCCCCAGAATATGTGCATATGATGAGGTACAGTCACACATCCTGTGAATACAGAACTGTACCATGTGCTGTTACATGGCAGAGTTGGGCTTAAAATTGGAAGATTATCTTGGGTGACCCAATGAGACTAATGCAATCCCACCAGCCCTTAAAAGCAGACAGCTTTCTCCAGCTGGTGACAGAAGTCAGAGAAACTGGAAGTATGAGACGGCCTCCATAATCATTGCTGTTTTGAAGATGGAGGAGCTATATGAGCCAGGAACACAGGGGGTCTATGGGAGCTGATAACAATCCCTGTCTCAAAGCCAGCAAGGAATAATCTACCTTGCTGTTGTTGTGATAGTGAGTGAGTTATCAGAAGATCTGATGGTTTAAAACCGTGGCCCTTCCCCCACCACTCTCTCTCTCTCTCCTGCCCCCGTATAAGACGTGCCTTGCTTCCCCTTCGCGGTCCACCATCAGTGTAAGTTTCCTGAGGCCTCCCCAGCCATGTGAAAGTGTAAGTCAATTAAACCTCTTTTCTTTATAAATTACACAGTCTCAGGTAGTTCCTTATAGCGGTGTGAAAACAGCCTAATACAGTCGGTGTGTGCTGGAAAATGAATGTGTCACCCATGATAGCCGAAGTCACTGTCATTAACATATGAGACTACCTTGATGTCCAATTCATTTAGCTTTTAGCAGGCTCTATTGTGATGGTGTTCAAGTGCTCCTTTGATGTTCTTTTAGCCTTGAATCAAAATAGCTCTCAAGGCCAGAAGTCTGAGACCAGGCGGGTCTGGTTCCTTCTGAGGTCATGGGAGAGAACCTCCTCCAGGCCCTCCCATAGCGTCCAGTGGTTGCTGGCACTCTTCGGTGTTCCTTGGCTTGTAGCTGTGTCACCTCAATCTCTACCTTCATCTTCACATGGAGTTCTCTCTCTGTGTTTCAAATCATGCTGATTTCCAAAAGTATTTAATGACCTAGAAAATTTTTCAAAACATAATACCAAATTTAAAAATAAGCATGCAAAGCAGTCATATAATCTTAATTTTATAAAAATAATAATGGTGTATGCATTTTTTCAGAGATGGAAATAAAATACAACCAAGAGAATAATGTCAATCCATGATTTTTTTTTACATTCACGTTTTCTACATTTTCCTCCAAAAGCAAATATTATGTTTACAACATGAAACATGAACAAATGTGATAAAAGAAGTGTGGGTAGAAATTCTTTTAAAATGGACTCTTGCATATGTGGGAAATACAAAGAGATGTTCCACTTAATCACAATACCATGATAAGTATTCGTTAGGTACCATGCACTGTTCGAAGACTTGGTGTGTAACTCATTCTATCCTCACAAAAGCCCTGTGGGGGCCACCACCTCTCCAGGCCTGCTTTTCAGATGAGGAAAGGGCAGTGTGATCAACAGGTCCAGTCCAATTCAAGCGTCGAGGTGACACCCTCAGGCTCTGATCACTTGCCAGCCCATCTGGGGGAATCTAGTTTTTCAAACATCATTTGACTTTAGTACAGTTAAACTCTGTTAGTGATGAGGCCAAGAAAGGAACTGGTGAGTTGTTGAGTTTTTTGTTTGTTGCTTGCTTGGTTTGCATTTGTTATGTTGAATATTTTGACTGCATTTTTTGCTTTTCAGCTTTAAAAATAATAATACTGCCTTGCTATCATTTTACCCTAAGAATCACAATGTGCATTATTAAGCAGAAGTTTTGACTTCACGGTCTCTCCAGCCCTTCCTCATGAAAGTAGATAGGGGAGAGAAGAATTAGCTTAGTCTTGAATCAGAGGTCCCAGTCCTGCTGAAGTCCAGCAGTGTGGCCTTTCTCTACATTCATTCCATCTGTGAAGTGAGTTGCCTGGGGTAGATTTCCACCAACTCCTTTCCAGTAGCCATAGTTAGTAAGCGATAAACCTGAGCTGACACTGGCTTCTAGGTCCACGACTTTAAATTAGCCTTTAAATTTAAGGCCAGTCTTTCTTTTGTGAGGGGCTAGGCTACAGTGATTCTCTTTATGTTGTCCCATCAGGCTTTACTAGGAAAGCTGACCTTCACTGCACTGGTCAGCGTTTCTAAATCAGCCATTCTTTTGTTCACTCCTTGAATGCTTCACCTGGAGAGCTGACTTATGGCTTGGTATCTGTGTGGATCCTACACAGCTTAGAGCAATCACAGGTCCTGGGACAGCCCACAGGTGCTCACCGCAGTGCCTCTCCTCCCAGATCTTCTCAGTACCTGTGAATGTAACCTTATTTCAAAAGAGGGTCTTTGCAGGTATAATGTTAGAGGAGGTCATCCCAGATTATGGTGGGCCCTACTCCACTGACTGGTGTCTTTATGAGAAGGAAATTGGGACACATGCACATCCACAGGGAGGAGAATGTGATGTGAAGACAGAGGTAGAGATTGAATGCATCAGCACTGACAAACCAGGGAATGCCAAGGATTGAAGCAACCATCAGAGGCTGGGAGAGAGGCAGGGAATGGATTCTCCCTCAGCACCTCCAAAACGGGACCCACCCTGCTGACACCTTAATTTTGGACTTCTAACCTCCAGAGCTGTAAGAGAATAAATTTCCATTATTTTGTACCATCCAGTTGTGGAGACTTGTTACAGCAGCTCTGGAAAACTAACAGACTAGGAGTTAATTTCACTCCAGTAGTAGATGCTTCCAATACAGGAACCATGCCTTTCCACTGGTTATGAGCCGAAGAGTATCTATGCCTTCTTGTTAATAGGTCCATACATCTAAGTAGTTGGGTCCATTTGGAAAGGTTTACTACAAAACCACCAGAGGGAAAGTGCCCCCACACCCCAATCCCTTCCCCAACTGGAAGAAAACCTGCACCTAAAACTTCCAAGGCAGATGGTTGTTGTCCTCTTTTGATATAACTTCCAAGATTAGAGTTCCCCAGCCACCCTTAGGTATTATTTCCCATCCTTCCCAGACAGTGCCCTTCAGGCTGGTTTTTCCTTAAACCCAGCACTCCATGCCCGTACTCACAGGGTTTCCTCAGGCAGCAGAAGATAGAAGGAAGTCATTTCCCTCCAGCTTGACAAGCTCTGGCCTCCTGAACCCAGTTGTCTGTCCCTTCTATCAAGGTGGCTAAAGTCTCGGGAACTTCTCCTGGTTTTCCAGGCCCCTTTTTAAATTCATACGCTTTACTTATATCCAGAATAATATGAAGTGAGTGATCATAATTTAGAAATGACATTAAAAGGAAGAAAAATTATTTTGTTTTAGAGTTTTTCACAAGAATCATTTTTAAAGCAGTAGCAAAAAAAAATCATTGCTCTTATTTCATAGGGAAAAAGAAAGCTGAAAAGTGGTAGAGTGTAAATGTGGGAATTGGGCCATTTTTATCAGGCTAAGTTTGTATGGGAGATGTAAAGGAGGCTGCTGAGAGCTTCTTGGCAATGCCCTCTGTTCTCCAGCAAAGGCAGAATGAAGTGACCTGCCTTATGACTCAGCAACATTCAAAACCTGTTTCCAAGAATGTGCATTGAAGTTCCTTCTCCCCGTTCTGGTCCCAGATGGACACAGGATTAAACCTAAAACATTCACTACTATCTGATGATATTTTTGTTGTATGTTTTTGACGGTTTGCATGGTATTCATCGCAATCGTAATTAGACACATATCTCCTTGCTCAATGTGAATAAAGTTGAATGAATTGGGATCAACACATTCCATTGCAAGTAACATCATTTGTTTTGGATTGAGATTCATGGAAGTGAAGGGAGGTTTCGTGTCATCTCATGAAAACTAGGACATAGAGTTACTCTAATAATACCAATTTCCATTTCAGACTTCATGAAGTTTATCTAAACCAGGAGTTGGCAAATATTTTATGTTAAGAGCCAAATAGTAAATATTTTAGGATTTGCAGACAAGATGATCTCTGTAGGATCAACTCTGCCATTGCAGCAGGAAAGCAGCCATGGAGAATCCATAAATGGCAGGTGGGTAGGTAGAACATCAGAAGGGTTTGGAACAAGAATACCCAATATGGGGATAAACTGACTGCAGAGCCAAATGATTTAATGGAGAAAATTGAGCTCATAAATACAGAGTAATTAATAAACACTCAGTAAGTTTCCATTTTTTCTTACTTTACCTGATAAGGTTATTAATTCACTCCAACACAGGAAGATAGAAATATAGTTCTCTGCTGTATGCATACAAAGTTGAATATTCCAAAATACTAGTCCAGACCCATGTTCAGCCATAATATAATGGCACAATGAAGAAATTCAAAGACAACCAATGGAAGTCATTGTTTATTTTTCTCATATTTTTATCCTACCCAATCAATTCAGCAAATTCAGTTTTATTATCATATTTGATAGCTGTGTATAAAAGAGAGGACTGTGTATATACAACCCACAAGTAAATATTATGATAAAACTTTGGATTTTATATATATATATATACACACACACACACACATATATATAATATTTATTTCATTTCTTTCTGGTTTTTCCTCAAACTATGTAAAGAGCAATTCTTTAGATGAAAGAATATCATCCAATGATTGGAGAACATAGGAAATCATCACCCTGTTGCCCAAGTTTCCCAATACATGACGTAATAATAGATTATCTCAAACCAATGGGATGTTTGATGTGTTGATAAGCAATCTAGGAAACATTAAAATGAAGCATTTTTACTGATGAATCATAATTGCACCTGAAAGAAGTTAATTCTAGAGTTTTGGTAATTTATGACTTTTATAGACAGCCAAAAATGTTAAGTAAAATTTAATTGGAGGTGATCCAAAAATAAATCTAAGAAATCACATTTGTTCAACTCTTCTACCAGAAATATTTTCAGTTTTGAGAGGGAAATGCTACCCTTTGGTATTAAATATCAATGTTAATTTAAAATAGTCTACTAAGACAAAATCACATTATATAAATTTTAAAAGATGAGATATATGCTGACAAGCAGTGAGGCTCAATATAAAGCATTTTCTTGAACTTGACTATAGAGACACGTAATTATTCAATATTGAGAAATTGTATTAGTTAAACCAGGACTCAGGCCTTCGAGAGCTGCCCTTTTTGGGAGAAAAGGCATCCACGGTCACTGTGGGAGAGAAACCAGAAGATGAGGCTCCAGCTCTTAGAGGCCTGGGCCTGAAACTGACATCCATTATTTCCTCTTTCAGCGCATGGGTGTCAGCCTGAAAAAAAAAAGACAGTGAAGAAAATTATCTCCAAATATATGGAGTTTATGCGGGAGTGAGAAATGAGGATTATAACATAGAATGCATAGGATGGTAAACTGCCAGTGCCTCCCGTGAGGGAAGGCAAAGGGAAGATTTTATTAGCAAAAGAGAGAGGTCCACATAAGCTGCTTAGAAACAGAGTCCATTGGTCCAGAGGCTCAAAGCCAGTTGTTGTCAGTTCATTGGTAAAGATGCTGTCACTGGGCAAGTGTTCTTTCAAGAGCATCTCATCTGGATCACTGCAGTCCTAAAGAATGTCTGGTGGTAAACCTTGTCAAGGCCAGAGATTCGTGAAGGACGTGAAATGGTTTCTTATGGGATTTTTAGCAAGTCCTTAGAAGCAGTATTTATCTCAGACACATAAGCCTCCTCTCCTTCACGCCTTCCCTGTCCTATTTTGGCAGGGTCTGACCAAGCAATTTCATCCTGGTATCTGCAACTTTCACGTGGATCGGGGCTCTGTCTAGATGAGCCCATGGAGAGCTGGTGAACAATCATTACAGCATGTGATGTTATAAATACCAGCTAGAAATACAAAAGAAGTTGTAACTTAATAGATGAATTTGAGTCTAAACACAGGGGAGAGATGAAGAAGCCAGCTAAAGGCGATGGGAGAAGGGAGAGGATGGATGTCCTGCCCAGAAGTTCAAAAACCCAACTACCTCCATGAATTTCATGTGGGAGACATGATTTAACAATAGCAGTGAGGACTGAAAAACAAAACCTAGAGGTCTTGGGAGATGATAGACACAATTCACATCCGTGAATAAATTTTATATTCGGCTGCCAGAATAGAATTTTATTTTCAACAACAGGGAGGTGTTAATTTTGTTCTCTTCTAGAAATCTATCCAGGTGTGGGTGTGTGTATGTGTGTGTGTGTGTGAGAGAGAGATGTGTGTGTGAATGTGCATGTGTAAGGGTGTGGAAGTAAGAGTGTGAGAGACTGTGACAATGTAGAAGTGGGTGTCAGTGTGCACAAGTGTGAGAGTATGTGTGAGTATAGTGGTCCCCCTTATTAATACATTATTTTTAACTAAAGTCTATATTTTTTTCAGATTTCTTTAGGTTTTTTAAATATATATATACTTTAAGTCCTGGGATACATGTGCAGAATGTGCAGGTTTGTTACATACATCTAGACATGCCATGGTGGTTTGCTGCACCCATCAACCTGTCATCTATATTAGGTATTTCTCTTAATGCTATCCCTCCCCTAGCCCCCCACCTCCCGACAGGTCCTGGTGTGTGATGTTCCCTTCTCTGTGTCCATGTGTTTCCATTGTTCAACTCCCACTTATGAGTGAGAACATAAGTGTGTTTGGTTTTCTGTTCCTGTGTTAGTTTGCTGCGAATGATGGTTTCCAGCTTCATCCATGTCCCTGCAAAGGACATGAGCTCATCTTTTTTTTATTGCTGCATAGTATTCCACGGTGTATATGTGCCACATTTTCTTTAACCAGTCTATCATTGATGGGCATTTGGGTTGGTTCCAAGTCTTTGCTAATGTGAACAGCGCTGCAATAAACATAGGTGTGTATGTGTCTTTATAGTAGAATGATTTATAATCCAAGACCTGCAAGTGTCTCTGGCTTCAGTCTCCCTTGAAATGTAAATATGCAGGAAGATAGCCTTTAGGTTTTCCTAGCATAGCACCTAGGAGGCTTAACTTGGGTTCCTACTCTGGGTTGTGACTATTTGACCCTTTGGAGAGAGAAGAGAAATTTTACTATCCCCTTGGAAAACAACAACTAACTAAACAAAAAGCTACAGATCTGATTCTCCTGGTATGTGAAGAATCTTTGGTGGCTGGGGCTTTTTACAGGAACCCAGAAATCGGGGGGTGGGAGGAAGAGGGATTATGTCCCCACAGCCACCTTCCTACTTTCAGACACTGTCATTTGAGGACAGCCATCTGGCAGACATGGGGGACAATGTTCCTGGCACTCTGAGGTTGACAGAGGAGAAAGATGCTAAACTCCAGCCTTATAAGCATCTCTGATCCACTGAACCGCTTTTCTTCAAACTTCTCCTACCAGAGATAGTAAATATCCTTACTTGTTGAAACCACATTTAGTTGGATTTTTTATCTACAGCCAAAAAGCATCCTAATTCATATAAAATTACGGGAGAATCTTCTTGTTCTCCTTCCTTTCTTCTTTCTTTTTCTTTTCTTTCTCCTTCCTTCCTTCCTTCCTCTTTCTCTTTTAAATTAATGAGTGCTAATGGAATTAATAAATCATTTGATCTCTGTGAAAAACATCACTGAAAGTGGATGTCCAAGACAGTTTGTGACTTAAGGAGGGTCCTAGGTCACAGGGGGCCGGAACTCAGAGGTGAGTCAGGGGAGTGCACAATGGCTAGCAGACTCACACCTCCTCTGAGGCCACTGAGAACAGCAAAGGAAACAAAAAGTGGGCTTTGCCCTGCCTCCATTTGGCTAACCCTCACTTTCTGAGATTAGCTCTCAGGGACCCAGGCAGGCCAAACCTTCTCGCAGAGCAGACTTGCCCTCAAACCATGGTAAGCATGTGCTAACAGGTGCCTCCACCTGCTGAGTACTTCAGTGCTAGGCATAAATGCTGAGGGGCTAAGAGTAGGACATGCAGAAAGTCTAAGGATATCAGGGGGCACCTGATGGCATGAACTGATGCCCTTTGCTCTGTCTGCAGCAACAGAGCCAAAGAAGCCAAGAGGAGAGGTACTTGGCATTTCTGATATTTCCTACATGATTTCTCATACTCTGCCAAAGTGTACAGGTAGAAAATAGAGTCAAGAAGCGATTCGAGGCTTTAGTTTTTCATTGGAAGCTAATTTTGGAGTGTATCAACAGCCATCTCTCCAGAAAAACCACCAGAATTACCTGTTAATCAAGCAAAGTGAAGTTTCTTATTAACTGCAGAGAGGGAGGCATGGCTTGCCAGGGTCAAGGGTCCAGGCCTGCTGACCTGGACTCCTCAGTGAGCCTCCCCAGGTATCAGTGGGGTTGTTCTCTCACCGTGTGTTTTAGTTTGCTCCTGCTGCCATAACAAAGTACCACACACGACGTGGCCTGAACAATGGACATTATCTCTCACAGTTCTGGTGGCTGGGAAGTCCAAGGTCCAGGTGCCGACCAATTTGGTTCCTGATGAGGGCTGTCTTTGTGGCTTGCAGAGAGCCACCTTCTTGCTGTGTCCTCACAAGACCTCTCCCCAATGTGTGCACATGGAAAGAGAAAGAGATCTGGCATATTTTTTAAAAATACGCTACTCCTATTGGATCAGGACTCCACCCCAATGACCTCACTTAACCTTAATTACTTCCTTAGAGGTCCCATCTCCAAATACAACCACACTCTATTTGGTTGTATTTTCAGCATATAATACCATGTCTCACTAGAGTATTTTTGCTCCCCCACTTTCTGGTAGTCTGGTTGTTTCTGTCCATGGCCTCTTGAATGGCTGGTGCCTCAACTCCATGACTCTGCACAAGTGCTGGAGCACAGGGTTGGCCCCTGTCTTGGTCCTGTGTTCTGTCTACATTTCCTTGTGAGAACTCCATCCACCATGAGAGAGTGACGGTCTTCCTAACTTCTGGACCACTAACCCACCTCGGAAATACCCTGGAGGAAAACTTGAATTCCAAGTTTCCATTGCCTCTCCTTGGGTCTTTGTGGAAACTGGCACTGGCTCTGTCTCCATTGATTAAAATTCTAGGGAATGGGCATGGGCCATCCTTGATTCATTGTCTAAGGAAGACTTTGGTAGCGTCTGGAGGCCAATTCTGCATCTATCTTTTCAGACATTTCCAGAGGCTCGTCTGTCTTCACATCAATCTGTATTGCACTGGTGAAGTTGCATTCCCAGAGGGAATGTTGCAATGGGCTAAATTATGCCCAAAATGTTGATGTCCTAACCTTCAGAAGCTCAGCATGTGACTGTATTTGGAGATAGAACCTTTAACAAGGTGATTAAGGTGAAATGAGGTCATAAGTGTCACGCCCATCCATGTGAAGAGACCACCAAACAGGCTTGGTGTGAGCAATAAAGCTTTTTAACCACCTGGGTGCAGGCGGGCTGAGTCCGAAAAGAGAGTCAGCAAAGGGAGATGGGGGTGGGGCAGTTTTATAGGATTTGGGTAAGTAGTACAAAATTACAGTCAGAGGGGGTTGTTCTCTGGCGGGCAAGGGCAGGGGTCACAAGGTGCTCAGTGGGGGAGCTTCTGAGACTCATTGTCCAGGAGAAGGAGTTTCACAAGGTAATGCCATCAGTTAAGGCAGGAATGAGCCATTTTCACTTCTTTTGTGGTTCTTCAGTTGGCTCAGGCCATCTGAATATATACATGCAGGCTTGGGCTCAGAGGCCTAACAATAAGGGTGGGCTATAAACCAATCTGTCTAGTGTCCTTATAAGAAGAGGAGATTAGCAGCCGGGTACTGTGGCTCATGCCTGTAATCCCAGCATTTTGGGTGGCCAAGGTGAGCAGATCATGAGGTCAGGAGTTTGAGACCAGCCTGGCCAACATGGTGAAACCCATCTCTACTAAAAATACAAAAAATTAGCCAGGTGTGGTGGCAGGCACCTGTAATCCCAGCTACTCGGGAGGCTGAAGCAGGAGAATCGCTTGAACCCAGTAGGCGGAGGCTGCAGTGAGCCGAGATTGTGCCATTGCACTCTAGCCTGGGCAACAGAGCTAGACTCTGTCAAAAAAAAAAAAGAGGAGATTAGGACACAGACAGATATGCACAGAGGAAAGACCCTGTGAGGACACCAAAAGAAAGTGTCCATCTACAAGCCAAGAGGAGAGAGGCCTCAGGGGAAATCAATTCTGATGACATCTTGATCTCAGACTCCCAGCCTCCAGCCTGAGAAAATACACATCTGTCGTTGAGGCTACCCAGTCTGTGGTATTTTGTTATGGCAGCCCTAGCAAACCAATAAAGATACCAAAGAGCTTCACACAGAGTAGGGAGTGAGAATAAATTGTTGCAAAATAGGCTTTTTCACAAAGAAGGCTTTGGATCACTCGTAACTTTATTGAACATGTATTCTTCCCTATACCTTCTCTAGAAATGATTCTGTTAAATGAGTAAGGAGATGACAGATAGATAGATAGATAGATAGATAGATAGATAGATAGATAGATACATACATACATACATACATACATACACACACACACGCATGCATGCATACATACATACATACATACATACATAGACAGATACATAGATAGATGGCAAAGGAAGCTCTAAGCTATGTTTTCATGTGGCAGCCATCACAATAGTGCCAGGCAGGTTGATAAGGGTGTTGTCCTTACAAACTACAAACAAAGCTGAAAGAGGAAGCACTTACGATTTCCCCAAGCAGTTAGAGGGAATTTTACGAGAAAGAAAAATGTTAGTTGTGGTTTATTCCAGGATACATGTTTACTGCCTTAGGCAACCTGGAGGGCAGCCTCAGGCAAGTCACCCACCCCATAAACAAGTACAAGACAAATGACTGCCTGAGCCCCTGCTTGGAAGGCTGTGCCCTAGAACAGAGAAAAGGCTGCATTTATATAAAATGCTAATTACAGGGAGAAATGAGAGATACGCTGTCTAAACACACAAAATGGGTAGTAATGACTTGTGCAAATATTTGCTAGCAATATCCATCTAGAGGGTATGAAGCCATTGGCCAAGTTAATTTAGGTTATGTTTTATAGTGCCATATAGCTGGAAATGGTTCTTAGGAGTTGTGATCTGATACAGACAATTTGGAAAGTCATGAGGCTGGAATGGATCCAATACTCAGTGTATAATTGGAATGAGTCTTTTATTACATCGAGATAATATTTGTGACATCTGTGAGCCAAGTCGGAAGGCCAGACTCTCCCATCTGCCTGCCTTGCAGGCAAGGTAATGAGGACTTGAGCACCAAAGGAAAATCTGATCAGGAGAGACTGTATCTCTTATGAAGTGAAATGCACAAGGTACCAAAGCAGCAGCCCAATTCATTTTGTTTTAATAATAAGGACACTCTTTTATATACACTTAAGTACACCAAGTACACTAACTTCCCTTATTCTTATCTTCTTAAAGCAATTTAAAATAGCAACTTTCCATTCTTTATCTTGAGAGAATAAATTATTACTTCAATGCATATGTATTAGTTATCTACAACTGCATAACAAGTTATTACAAACTTCATGGCTTTAAACAACATACATTTATTAGTTCACAGTTCCTGAGGGTCAGGATTTCAGGCATGGCTTAGCTGAGTTCCCTGCTTAGTGTCTTTTTGGGCTGAAATCAAGGTGTTGGCTGGGCTGCGTTCTCATCTGGAGGCTTGACCAGGAAGAATCCAACAACCCAAGTTGTTGGCAAATTTTATCTTCTTGCGATTGTGATTAAGCTCCCCAATTTCTTGCTGAGTGTCAGCCAGGAGTCAATCTCAGGTCCCAGTGGCCCCCCAGTTCCCTGCCATATGGCCTTCCCCGTATACTCCCTCACAACATGACATCTTATCTTTAGAGCCAGCAACAGGAGCTGCCCTCTCTCTCAGGGAGAGCTGAGCCCCTCTTTTAAGGGTTTTCACCAATTAGGTCAAGCCCATCAATAATAACCTTCCTTCCAATTTTATAATCAACTGATTTGAGATCTTAATTGCTTATGCAAAATACCTTGACCTTTGCCTTATTCTATTGGCTAGAAAGAAGTTGTAGGTCCTCCTGTCACTCACAGAGAGAGGATCATCTAAGGGCATGGAGATCAGAAGATAGTTCAATGGGGCTCACCTTAGGGTCTTCCACTGAAGCATAATTCACTGTTTTGTTTTTAAAATTAGCACTACATACTAATATTTGTATGGAGTTCTCATGAACATTGAGTATAATGTGAAAGAAAATTAAATCTTGGGACCCCAAATTCATTAAGCCTGAAAGAAAAGTCAAGCTGGGAACTGGGTTACACAAACCTGACTCCCCCTTTTTGCTTCCTAAATAAGATGGCTACAAGATGAAAAGCTGCACACCTCCCCTATATTTTTGCCCTCAAGGAAATTCCTAGTGAGCTGCAAAATCTTTACTCTAAGGTGCTTCTGTAAAATTTCACCATGGCAATGCCAATTGATAGCTTGTCTTTACAGGTGCAGCCATCACCCCTGCCGTCCACCAGACACAAATGCATATCTGATTATTCCCCTGCCCCATTTTGTCTATGTTATCTTATGTAAAATGCAGATTCCCTGCATTTTTCCTCTGCTCCATTTGTCTATATCATCTTATGTAAAAAAATGCAGTTTCGCTAAGCCAGACAAAAGCATGAATGACTATTTTTCCCCACCCCTCTCTTACATGAAAACTGTGTACTTCTTAATATCCTGCCCTTTCCCCTTTAAATTTGCAGCCCTCAAAATTATCTTCGGAGAAAGGCATAGACCTGTCTCCCAGGCGCGCATCCTTATCTTTGACAAATAAACCTCCTAAAATGATTGACACTTGTCTGGTCATTTTTCTTGATTGACAATAACAACTTTTAATGCTTGTATTCCCTCAATACCCTTGGCATGTGTGGATAGAGTATTCATGGGATTCTTGAGATGCTGCAGGGAACGGGTGGAGGAGGGGGTAAATGGGAGGGGTGATTAGGGGTGTTATACAGAGTCTGAGTCCATTTGTTAACTGACAACAGCTTTCAGGACCCTCCTCCCTCTACCCCTTTTCTCGCATTGGGACAAACTAAGAAAGCCCAAGTGCTTCCTCCTTCTGCACCTATGGGTAGCTCAAACTGCATGAGCTCTAGTCTATGAACGTTCCCAAGTATGGGAACCCTCATCCCAGCCCCATCCACTAACCACCACAAAAGTCCAGCCAGCCTCATGTCTCTGCATTCTCAAGCCATTGTCAGACCTGCTTAGGAGCCCACCCTACTCTCCAAGGAAACCTCATTATGTGAGTAATAAACCTCATCACACCCTCTTTACAGGGGGGTGCAGCTTCATCAGACTTGACATCCAAGCCAAATTTGAGTGCCAGGTCCATCTTGTTTACTCAGGTAACCACAACAAAGAGATTTATTTTGTACTTGTGGAATCCTCACCACACCCTCAAAAAAAATAAAACCGCCAAAACAATGTACTAGTGAGACCAAGCTGAGTATACTACTCACCCCGGTAAGAAAGACCACCATCACAACAGAGTCTGAGCAGTGTCTTGGAAAGGAAAGGGATATTTATGAGGTATAGGGTTTGCTTGAAGGTGAACATTTTAAAGAAGAGAAGTGTTTATTAGGGCTGGGAAAATTATCATCTTATAATAGCCTAGAATTCGTGGACACAAAAGCATAAACACTTGTTTGATGCTATCTATTAAAATGTTTAACAGTTTTACTGGGCAAGGGGGGGCACGCCTGTAGTCCCAGCTACTTGGGAGGCTGAGGCAGGAGGATTGCTTGAGCCCAGGAGTTTGAGGCCAACCTAGGCAACAGAGCAACACCTCTCTAAAACATAA